>NC_000011.10:45211515-45514545 GCF_000001405.40 Homo sapiens | reverse complement strand
CAAAATTCTGCATTTTCATAAAACTTGATAAAAAATAATATTTCAAACTGTGCAGTCACCAGAGGTACACAGTTACCCCAAATGCACATACTCCACTTGGCAGCCCCAGCGCCTTCAGCTTTCTGTGCCTGCTCTGTGTTGGCAGCTGCATTTTCTGCAGGACAATTCCCCTCCTTGCCGGCATCAGCTTCTCCCATCTTCCCTTTGGGTCCCTTCTCTCCCTTCTTGGGTCCTTTTAGGCCTGGGCTCTGGCTTTGGAGGAGCAGGTTTAGCAGACAACCTTGCAGATCTTCTCTGTGGTTTGTCCTCCCCTTGGTTTCATTTCCCTTAGCATCTCCTTCAGCCTTTCACTTGGGCTTGGTGGTGACAGTAGCGGGACGTAGGTGCTGGACGCGGGGATGCAGGGGCGTGCAGGCTTTGGTGGGCCCGAGAGTCGTTCATGCCTCTTCTTCACACTACTCCCTACCTCTTTCCTAAACCATGTGATGACCTGGGGCCAGGCCTCCTCCTTCCCACAGGGTTCTGCTTCTTCCTGTTTTTCCTACACAAGCCTCAGGCTGCTCTTTGAGGCTTCCTGCACTCACAAACATTTGCTGGCTTCCCAGTGCCTGCAGGAGAAAGCTGGAGCCGTCACCTGCAGGCTCTGCCATTGGTCTCCTTCCTCCCTCTGCCTTCACTTCCTTCTGCTCCATCTTAAAATGACTTTCCATGTTCTACCTTGGCACCTTGGCCTGTGCCATCTCCCTGATGCAGGCCTCACCCTCCTGTCAGCACCCACAGCAGGAACTCTCATGCGGGGTAGGAGGGGGAGCTTAGGAACTTAGACCCAGCTGGTTCTAGACCTGGCTCTACTGCTTAGCAGCCAAGACACTTCAGTTTCCTTGTATGTGAGATGGGAGTGTTATCGATGTGTAACACGCAGAGCTGGGCAGTGTCCCTCTTGCTCACAAGATCTGAAGTCCATGAGGGCAGGGATCATGAGCCCCACCCTACCCCTCCCTGCTCCAGAGTATAACATCCTTGGGACCTAAAACAGAGCCTGGCACAGGGGTATGTCCCAGCACGAGTCTGTGGGCGCATGAATTAGTGAAGTCTGGATTGGCTTTTTTTCTAGTGCCTGGTCTGTGTTTGGTAAATGCCCCTCCCTCCTCCTGTTGGCCTGTTTTTGACAAGCATTTCTTGGATGCCCGACATGTGCTGGGCATTGGATATGGGGCTTCACTTGTAGGAGTAGATGAATAGAGTCACTCATTCATGCATTTCTTCAACTCATGTTTCCTGGGGTCCTACTTTGTGCCAGGCAATGTTCCAGCGCTGGGGTCATAGCAGAGAGCAGGACAGACACCCCTGCCTTCATGGGCTATTTCCTAGTGAGAGGAGAAAATGACAAACCATCACTATAATAATAATTAACTAAATAAGCAGACTATCCAGTGTGTCTACTGGCAATGAGTGCTAGACAGAAAATCAAGCAGGGAAGCGGGTGGTGGTGACAATTTTGAAGAATGTGTCAGAGTAGGTCTCAGGGAGGTGACATTGGAACAGGTGCTGGGGGGTGGAGCCATGTTAACATCTGGGGAAGTAGCCTTTCAGGCAGAGGGAAGAGCAGGTGCAAAGGCCCTGTGACAGGAGCCTGCCTGGGTTGTCTTGGCTGTAGGTAGTTGGGAAGGTAACACTAGGGAGGTGACAGAGGCCAGGTTAGAACTTGAGCCTTTGTTCTGGTGGAGGGGAAGCCATTGGGGGGTTTGAAACAGTGGAGTGAAGTGACCAGACTTATGTTTTCAAAGGATTCCCCTGGCTATTGTGCTGAAAACAGACGGTAGTAATAACAGCAGTCAACATTTACCAAGGGCTTACCCTGTTCTGGGCACAGCTCCAAGCCTTTTAGACAGTTCAACTCATTGAATCTTCACAACGACACCATGAATTGGGTACTACAATCCCCATTTTAAAAAAGAGGAGAGGGAAGACTCAGAAAAACAATTTTCCCAAGTTCATATAGCCTGTACATGACAGAGCTGGGGTTTGAACCCAGACAGCAGTCCAGGCCAGGCACCTGTGTGAGTACCATTACTCTGCACTGCCTCTTGCATGGGGAAAAATGGGGCTGTGAATTCAGACAGACCTGAGTGTAAAGCCTCACTCCATTTGACAGCTGTGTGGGCTTGGGCAAGTTACTTAACTACTCTGTGTTCTAGTCTCATCTGTACACTGAAGATAATAATAACAACTGTAGAGGTTGCCAAGGTGAAACAAGGTCAAGGGTAAAATTCTATATGTGGCCGGGTAGAAGTCAACACATGGTAGCTTTTCCTTATGAGCCGAGGGCTTGGCTGCTCAGCCTGCCCACTGCAGTCTATCCCTCCTGTCCCCAGCAAGGGATGACATCAACCTTTAAAGATGGTGTCTTTACAAGGACTGTAGGACCTTGGCCCAGTCCCTTCCTTTTTCTGGGCCTCAGCTGTCCCTTCTGGAAAGAGGAAGGGCCCACGTGGTGCTGGCGTGGGTCTCTCCCAACTCTGCAGTGCCACAGTTGTGCCTAGTAAATTTTGCCTACCCCTCCCCACCCCACCTGGCCCAATCCGTGCAGCTCTACCCCAGGGCCCCAAGAAGTAGAACAACCTGACAAGGAAATAAACACCGGACTGAGCCCTAGCTCCTCACTTAAGGCCCTGCTGCTGGGGAGGCAGCCAGGCCTCCTTATGGCCAAAGACATTAAAACCCTTTGCACGTAGGGGCTCCATGGTGAGAGCTGACTGCGTGGTCAGGAGCTGCGCTGCCCCAGCCTGCCCGAGACCCAAGGGGCCCAAAGCAGATGGCTTCTCTCAGAGTCTAATTATCCACCCGCCCAAAGCTCCAGACAGGCCCTTATTGCGACAGTCATTGTCTGTCTTCCTTGCCCTGGAAAGGGAGCAGATGAGAGAGGAGGGCAGCTGGCGAGCTGGTCCACTGAGAGGGAGGCCAGTGTGGGCTGGGGGATGTTCCAGAAACCCGCCCCAAGGAAGGTGCTTGTGTTTGGGAGAAGGTGCCCCGTTCTGGAGTCAGGGGATGCTCTGGAGTCCTGGCTCTGCAGCTTCCCGAACAGGTAACTCAAATGCTTTGGGCCTCTCTTTTGCTCTCTTTTCGTGTCATGTTGATCTGTTAGTTTTGGGGTGGGGGTGGCTCTCAGAAAAAGGTCTGAGGTGTGGCTTATGGGAGAGGTCAACCACTGCTTGAGCAGATCCTTCTATCACGGCACTGGTCACTCTGGCTTATGATCACGGTTTCCAAGCCCATCTTCCACTAGCTTGGGCACCCCAGAGGGCCAGACCTATGTCTGGTTGCATCTAGCATCCCCAGTGCCCTGCACACAACATGGTATATAGCCGATGCCTAATAGTTGGGTGCTAAAATGAATAAATAATGGCAAAAGTTTGCCACTGAGTGAGTATTCTTTTTCTTGCCTTTCAGTTGCAGTCAGGGATACTCCCTGGCAAAATTGAGATGAATGAAGTTTGTCTCTGAGCCCTTCCCACTTTACTTTCCATGTCCTTCTCTCTCCTCATTTGGTATTGTGTGTCCTCCTCTATCATCAGGCAGCTGTTAGGGAGAAAATGATCTGTGTGTCTAATTTATACTAAAGTGAAAATGACTGATACAACTATCAGTCATTCTTTACATTTCTGTAATGGACAATTCCTAATCCAAAGGGATGAAACTTACTGGCCCAACTGCAGGGAGTCCCATACCTCTTTCTAAAGCCTCATCTCCTCGTACTCATGTGTTTTTCCTCCTCCCCCTCTCCCCATCTTGTGAATTTCTGATTCTACCACATCACATACCTCAGTGGCTCATCAGAACTTCAGAGGTGATCACAGCCACCCAGTGCAGGGTAAGATAGATTGAAACCCCCAATGACAGGAATTACAAGTGATGGGGAGTTCACCACCTTTAAGGCAGCCCATTCTATTGCTCTGACTGATGCTGAAACTTCTGTCCATTAGCCCGTTTCATCCTTCTCTGCCTTCTGGAGCCAGAGTCAAATGCAGTAACCTGGTCCCCTTTCACATCATAACCCTTAAATGAAGGACTTTATGTTCCCTAAATAAAGACCTCTAGACTTGCTATTCCTATGTGCAGAATGTACTTTCCTCCCTCTGAGCCTTTGCTCTTTCTCACCTCTCTGTGCCCTCTCCCTTCAAGGTCACTTTCCAGTCTGAGGTTATACCTTGCTGTTGGTTTATTTGTAGAACAAATATGATGGACAGCACCGCAAGCCCAGTGGATTTGTGGTGATTCTCAAAAATTCCCTGGAGGAATGGGTTTGGAGAGTGCTGTCTGCATTAAATAAATTATAACAGGCAATGTTCATTGAGAGCTCTCTTTGTGCCTGCCACACACTGTTAGAAGGAGATATTACCTAATATAGTCCTCCCAGCGATGCCATGAAGTGGGCTCTTTCATCATCCCCACTTATAGGTGGAAAAGCTGAGGCACAGGGACATTTTGTCATGTTCCCAAGGTCCAATAGCTAAAAGTAATGGAGGATTTAAATCCAGGTCTTCAAATTTTATAGACCATATTCTGACTACCAAGATCTGCTAAATGTATGATGCTGCCACCACTGCCTGCCTGCACACACACACACGCGCGCGCGCACACACACACATACTCTCTCTTTCTCTCTCTCTCTCTCTCTCTCTCACACACACACACACACACGTGCATGCACATACATAGAGGTCATTCTCCTGCTTGTTACAGTGGATCAAGCCGTAGCAGGAGATGTGGCTTCAAAGTGTCTATTCTGTAAGAACCAACTACCTGTGGCTTTTGCACACACGACCTGGACCCGTACTCTGTGCTTAGCCCTAGCCCTGTCTCTTAGCTCCAAATGTCTGTCTCACCTTTACTTACCTGGTCAATTCCTATTCATCCTTTAAGACTCAGCTCAGATGTCAGCTTTTCCAAGAAGCCTCCCTAATACCTGCTTCTCTGTGAGCTGCCTCAGAGCCCTGTGATCACCCATCCTGAAGGCATCTATCACATTGTCTCAAAAATTAGCTCCTCAAGAGCGGGGGGCCATTTCTCATTCTCTTTAGTTCCCCAGGACCTAGGACAGGGGCTGACATACAGTAGGTGCTCAATAAATGCTTGCTGAATTTAACTGAACCATGGAACAACGTTAGCCATGGAACAACGTGAATATCTCTGATCTTCCAAGCCCTTGTTTTCCCATCTGTAAATCACGAATAATAATAGCTGCCCTGTTTTACTCTGCAGGGGTTTTGTGATGCTCCCTTAGGAAACTGGCTGTGAAGATGCTTTGTAAATTACAAAGACTGTGCACATGTAACAGGTCATAGAATTGATGGTGATTCTTTACAACAGGTTTTCTGGCCGAGCACAAGTTCTCTTGGCCCTTTGAGCCTCAGTTTCTGCATCTGTGGCATAGGCCAAGCTCTGCCTGCTGTACAGGTTATTGAGGATCAACTGGGATGGCATATATTACACAATTGTGTGTCCCCCAGATGGAAGGACTGGCTGTTTCCCATTAACAAATAATTGGGAGGTAACCTGATTCAGCTTGGACAGAAAAATCTACCCCTGAGCAGAGGCATTTTGCTCCTTCCTTTTTGAGATGGAGAAGAACAAAGAAGAAAACAGAAGGTGAGACAGAGAGAAAATCTATTGCTCTGTAGTCCCAGCATCCCCAAGCAAAGGCACAGACACAGGTGACAAAAGTACTGGGCACTTCTGGGGGATCAAGAAGCTTGTTCCAGCCAGAAGGATCTCAACAGGAAACTCATGATCACATAAGAGGAGCCCTGAAGGCTTTTGATGCCAAACCCACCTGAAGTCACAGAACTGGAGTGTAGGCTGTGTTCAAGCTAGAAGAGACATCCCTGCCCTCAAACCCAGAGAGGCCAGGCAAGCAGCTTCCGCTGCTGTCTGCTACCAGATGGGTCACCCTCTATCTCTTAGACTTGAGATGACCCCTCCCTGGCACATCACCTCTCCACCCAGAGCTGTTCCCGATATTTATTAGGCAGGATGGAATTTCATTTTATACATAACAAATAAATAAGGTGTTCTTCTAAGTTCTTTATAAACGTCAACTCATTTAATCCATAACAGTCCAATGAATCCCATTTTACAGGTGAGAAAACTGAGGCCCAGGGAGTTTACACAGCTGGTGAATGGTGGAGCTGGGATTCTAGCCCAGGCAATCTGGCTCCTGAATGAAGGCTAGGCAATGATTCTCCAAACACTGGAGGAATGGCCAGGTCAGGCTGTAGATCCAACCTGTGGTAGGAGGGACAGAAGCTGTCCTCTGGAGGCCCTCAGCAAGCCTGGGGTAGGTGCAGGACTCAGGGGAGTGTGGAGCCTGTGTTGACCTTGATTTCCCGGCTAGCATGGGGGAGCCCCTGAGAAGGCGATGGGGGGCCTGTGGTCTGATGAGCCTGGGCCCACCTGGAGCAGTGAAGAGGTAGAGGGCCCCATGGGAAGCTTCCATTGCCTGGGCCTTTGCCTGAGACCACTGGACATCTGGATGAGAGAAAACAAAGGCTTGATGTGTCAAGCATTCCCTCTGTCCTCTCGGGCTTCTCGAAGCCCCTCTGGTCCACCATGCTGCCTCCCCACTCCTCAGAAGCCTGACATACTTAGTTTCCTCGGCCAGGATTTTTCTTTTCTCCCCCAGTATCCTCCTCCCTCATCCCCCTGCCCCCCCATTTCCAACCCATCTTTCCCATCTCAACTTGAACATCACTTTCTGGGATGTGGCTCTCAGTCCACAGGCAATGTTGGCTTCTCCAGTTGTAGATTCTCACAGTGTCCAGAACACTCACTTTGTAGCTCTTTAGTCTCACCTGTAATTAAACAATTCATTGTGCAGTTGTAATTTCAAAAATAGCATTATTGACCTGTACATATTTAGGGTTTAAAATGTGATAAGTTTTGACATATATTAAAAGAAATGGCAAAAACCACAATTACTTTTGCACCAATCAAATATACTCACTCATTAAAACATCACCACAGTCAAGATAATGAACATATTTATCTTCCCTAAAAGGTTAGCTCATGACTCCTTGTAATCCCTCCCTTCCTCCCGCCAACCCTCTCCACCCTAGATCTAGTCAACTGATCTAATTTCTGATTGGCATTTTGTAGAATTTTATACAAAAATATTCTATGATGTATACACTTTTTGGCTTCTTTCACTCAACATAATTATTTTGAGATTCATTCATACTGTTGTGTGTGTCAGTAGTTCCTTTTCATTGCAGAGTAGTATTTCATTCTCTGGATAAAGCAAAATTTTTTTAACTATTCACTATTGATGGATATTTGGGGTGAGTCCAGCTTTTGGTGATTGCAAATAAAGCTGCAATAATTATCTGTATATAAATCTTTGTATGGTTATATGTTCTGATTTTTCTTGAGTAAATAACTTAAGAGTAGAATGGCTGGGTCATATGTGGTTGCTGTATGTTGATGTTTTAAAAAACTGATAAACAGTTTTCCAAAGTGGTTGTACCATTTTACACTCCCTCCAGCAATGTATGAGAGTCCCACTTCAGCCACTTCCTTGCCAACGCTTGGCATGTTCAGTCTTTTTAATTGCAGCTGTTACAACGGATGTGCTGCATTAACTCACTGTGGTTTTAATGTGTATTTCCCTGATGATTACTGATGGTGAGTATCTTTGCATTTTTCTGTTTGCCATCCATATGTTTGCTTGGTGAAATACGGGTTCAAATGCTTTACCCATTATTATTTTTGCAATTGGGGCTGGGCCCAGTGGCTCACGCCTATAATACCAGCACACTGGGATGCCAAGAAGGGAGGATAGCTTGAGCCCAGGAGGTCAAGGCTGCAGTGAACCATGATCATGCCACTGCATTCCAGCCTGGGCAGCAGAATGAGACACTGTCTAAAGAAATAAAGAAATAAATAAAAATAAATTGGGTTGTTTATGATTGTAAGGTCTTTATAATTAGACCAAAAGCTCTGTGAGGATAGAGACATCTTCTCTGTTCATTGTTGCAGGTGAGGCTCCAGGGCCCAGCACAGTGCTAGGTATACAGTTGGCATTCAATAAATGTTTGTTAAATGAATGAATGAATGAATGAATGAATGAAGGGCATATCTCTGTGTGGCTCAAGTTGGCCAAATATGCCTGTGGTAGGGTCAGGAGAGAGTCAGCAGATATGCCTGTGGTAGGGTCAGGAGAGAGGAGAGCAGTTAGACTCGACGATAGCGGGAGAAGTGGAAGGTGAAAGAAGAAAGCAGGGCCTACAGAGGCTATATCCGGGTCCCTGGGAGGATCCCTCACCCTGGCTCAGGACCCAAAGCTTTTTCAGTGAGCGAATTCTACCCAAAATTTCAAGGACTTCTGGGGTCCATTGTGGATCCCAGCTTATTCCTCTCTATTATCAGGTCCCCCAGAGACCTCATGCCAAAGGCTTGCTGATGGGGAAATGGCAAGCCTGGGAAGAGGCTTGTGGGGAGATTTTAGGGCTTCAGTCACAGCTGCATGCCCTGCCCAGAGTGAACAGTCTCAGACTTTGAACACAAAATGGCACTGCCTTGAAAGCTGAACTGACCCTATAACCACAAGACTTGAGCTGCTGATCCCTGCAAGACAAGGCTGGAGCTCACGGGGGAATCCTTCCAAAAAGTCTGAAAGCTGGAGCTCCCTTTTCCACCTCCTCATTCTCCCTTTGTCCCAGAGACAGCTCTCATGCTCATGGTGGGCATGGCATTTAGACTTTCAGAGTTATTTCCAAATGAGGTTTCATATCAGCCACTGGATTGTGCATAGGCGGTGGTGAAAGCCTCAGGTAGTTACAAGCAAACACTTAATGTAGGCCACAAGGCTCTGTACCGTGGCTTTGCCTTTCTCCAGTCTGCACAAGTGTGCCTCCACTCGTCAACCTGGGTTGTCTCCACATGCAGGAAGGGCTCCCTTCTTTAATTGTTGGATGGGCACCCATTAATTTGAAAGGAGAAACAAGGTGTGTAGGCTAAGATCATCCATGCAAGTACTAACCCGGCTTTGCTATCGTCTTCATTTTTAATATCTGGTGAGCCTCAGAACCTGGAGGCCTTAAAGTTTCCAGCTCAACCTCTGTGGGGCTGAAACAAACAAACAACAAGTGGACCAGGTGGTGGGGGCTTTGGGGCTGAGGGGCACTGGGCCATGTAACCTCCTCCCTTATGTCCCAAGACAAGGGAAGAAGGAAGCCCAGGATGTGAACCCCAGGAGGGTCTTTAGGTCTAACGAGGTACAGTCATAGATGGACATCACAAATCCTTCTTGATCTACAAATGGATGAGAACCAGGGAGAGGTGACCATGAGGATATTGAAACAGCACTGGTTTCAGTCTCAACTCTGCCGCTTATGAGTACCAGATCCATCACTTACCCTCTCTGAGCCTCAGCTTCCTCATCTGCAACATAGGAATAATAATGTTCACCTCATGGGGCTGATGAGAGGTGTGATGGTTAATTTTACATTTCAACTTGGCTAGGCCACGGTACCCAGATATTTGGTCAAACACTAGCCTGGATGCTGCTGTAAAGGTATTTTTTAAGGTGAGATTAACATCCAAATCAGTAGGCTTTGAGGAAAACTCCTTCATAATGTGAGTGGGCTGCATCCAATAAATTGAAGGCCTTAATAGAAAAAATGACTGATCTCCCCCAAGGAAGAAGGAATTTGGCTAGCAGACTGCCTTTGAACTTGAGCTATAATATCGACTCTTCCCTGTCTAGCCTGCCAGCCCACCCTACAGATTTTGGACTTGTGTGAGCCCATTTCTTAAAATAAATCTCCTTCTGTCACACACACACACACACACACACACACACACACACACACACACACACGCCCTGTTTGTTCTGGCTCTGTTTCTTTAGAGAACTCTAATACAGGAGGATTAAATGATAAAAAAATATAATGACAGATGCAAGACAGAGTACAAACTGTGTGATTCCATTTATATGAACTTCCAGAAAAGGCAAATCTAATCTATAGTGAACAAAAGTAGGCTATGGTAGCCCAGGGCTGGGGTTGGAAGATGGACTGCAAATTGGCACAGGAGACTTTTTGGGATGAGGAAATGAGATGTGGTTTTGTGGGTATACACATTTGTTAAAACTCATCAAATTGTAATCTTAAAAATTGGCCAGGTGAGGTGGCTTACACCTGTAATCCCAGCACTTTGAGAGGCCGAGGCAGGCAGATCACCTGAGGTCAGGAGTTTGAGACCAGCCTGGTCAAAGGGTGTAACTCCGTCTGTAATAAAAATACAAAGAATTAGCTGGGCGTGATGGCATGTGTCTGTAGTCCCAGCTACTTGGGAGGCTGAGGCACAAGAATCGCTTGAACCCGGGTGGCAGAGATTGCAGTGAGTTGAGATTGTGCCACTGCATTTCAACTGGGGTGACAAAGCAAGACTCCATCTCAACAACAACAACAAAAAAGTGTTGGGACAACTAGATACCCCCATTTGAAAGAATGAAGTTGGATTTCTGTCTTACATTTTACACAAAAATTAACTCAAAATGAATCATACCTAAATGTAAGAGCTAAAACTGTAAAGCTCTTAGAAGAAAATATAGGAGTAAAATATAGGCTTTGCCTACCCCAGTATCTTAGGTATGAAACCAAGAATGCAAATGACAAAAAAATAGGTAAACTGGATTTTATGAAAACTAAAAACTTCAAAGATGTTATCAAGAAAGTGAAAGGACAACTGACAAAATGGGGAAAAATATCTGCAAATCATGTACCTGATAAAGGACTTGTACCTAGAATATATAAAGAACCATTAAACTTAGTAATGATAAAACAAATAACCCAATTTTAACATGAGCAAAGTATCTCAATAGTTCTCCAAAGAAGATATATAAATGGTCAATAAGCACATGGTAAGATGCTCAATATCATCAGCCATTAGGGAAACGCAAATCAAAATCACAATGAAATATCACTTCACGTCTATTAGGGTGAGAATAATTAAAAAGACTGATAATAACAAGTGTTGGTGAGGATGTGGAGAAATTGGAACCCTCATACATTTTTGGTGGGAATGGAAAATGACACAGCTGCTTTGGAAAACTGTTAGACAGTTCCTCAAAAGGTCCCACATGCACGTGACCCAGTAATTCTACTCCTAGGTATTATAACCAAGATAAAAGAAAACGTATGTTCATACAAAAACTTGCACATGTATGTTCCTAGTAGCATTGTTTATGGTAGCAAAAACATGGAAACAACTCAAAGAATGAATGGCTAAATAAAATGTGCTATATTCATACAATGGAATATTGTCTAGCGGTAAAAAGGAATGAAGTACTGATGTGTGCTAGAACACCAATGAACCTTGAAAGCATTATGTTAAGTGAAAGAAGCCAGACACAAAAAATCATATTGCCCATAATTAGCAAATCTTATGGGGGTAGAAAGTAGATTAGTGGTTGACTAGGGCTGGCGGGGTGATGGTTGGAAGACATAGGGAGAGACTGCTAATAGATCTGAATTTTTGGTGGGGAGGGATAATGAAATAGATTGGGTGATAGTTGCACAACTATGTCAGTATACAAAAAACCACAGAGTTGTACATGTCATGTGGGTGAATTATATGGTATATAAATTATATCTCAATAAAGCTATTAAAAATGAGTGCATTTGGTTGTGTACAAATTATATCTCAATGAAGTTGAACAAAGATTGCGTGTTTGTGCGTGCATGTGCACATGCACATATAGATGTATATAGCAGGCACTGTTGCTATTCTCATTTTCAGTTGAAGAAATTGAGACCCGGAGGCACAGAGAGGTCAAGTGACTTGCCCTAAGGGAGGGAGTCAGGGCCCCACATCTGTTGTTAGGGTCAGGGGAGACTCAGGAGTCACTCGGCCAGCCAGGAAAGGTGTGAAGAAAGTAGCTGTCTGGGTGCTTCTAGGAGCTCCATGAGCCACAGAGAGTTTCCATATGAACCAGTGCCCGCAGGGACGCAGTACTTGTGAGCAGGGGCTGTGTGTTTATGCTATGTATCGAGGCCGTGCCAGGTGCCAGGACCTGGCTAGAAAGTTTTCATTAATTACCTCATTGAGTACTGTGTTCACAGCCACCCCAAAAGGGGGATGCCAGCCCTCCTCCATATCACAGAAAAGGCAACCAAGGGACTGGGTGACTCATTCAGTAGCTTCCCTGCCAGCCCTTCCTGTCCACGGCAGGAGCCGGGGCCTAGATAGTCCTGGTGTCCAGAGGCCTCCTATCCCCCTGGGCCTCCATCTGTGTTGGGCCACTCTTCTCAGATCCCATGGGCCCTTTTCTAGGCCCTGGGGTGGCAGTCCACCCCCACCCCCAGATTTACTGCAGAGAGGCCATGCTCCTGGAGTCTCCAGGGCACCGAGGAGTTGAGGTGCTTCTCTTAGTAAGATGACCTGTGTCTTAGACTGGCGCGGTGGTCGTCCCACAGGCCAGGGACCCAGGTCTGTTGCTCAGACCTAGCTTGAGTCCTGGCTCTGTTCTGAGATGCTGTGTGACCCCTGGTCATTGCTGTCCCTCTCTCAGCCTTGGGTTCCTGTTTATAAAACAAGGAGGTTGGGCCGCATGAACTTGTGACACTCTGTGGTCCCAGAGGTTGTTTAGCCTGGGGGAAGGGGCTTAGGGAGGGAAGGTCAGTGCCTGCAGCCCATCAGGAGGGCAAAGTCTGGGCACAGACAGTGTTCTGTGTCATTCAGCCTCAGCTGGCCTTGTTAGTCCCCTGGCCTTGTTGACAGTGCAGGGTTTAGCTTTACAAGCTTGAGTTTCCCTTCACTGAGCCCCTTTGGGAGCAGCCTCTGAAGCCATCGGGCAGAGCTGGGGCCGGTCGAAGGGGTGGCTCATGCTGGCTCTCTTTCAGCCCAGGGAAGGCTAGCCCGGCAGAACCCTCCTGCTATGAGAGCTATTTTTAAAGAGCTTCTCTCTCCCTGAGGGTCTCCCAGTTTTCTGATGTCAGCTGTTTCCTCCCTCTGTCTGGACAAAGGGAGTGGGATTTCAGAGACTTAAGCAGGGATGTGGCTGTGTGACCCTTCATTAATGTCATCAGCACAGCATGGGGCTCAGAGGCCACAATGGGATTTGTTCCTATGTTTAATTCATGTTGCAGGGGCTTTAGTTCAATAATACATTTATTTCAAGAATGAGAGGAGAGACGGGGCCACAGAGGGGTGGTGAGGGATCCAGGCAGGGGAGAAAGAGAGACAGAAAGACTTTCTGAGAGTTCTTTAAACTCTGAAGCAACCAGAAAAAAGAGATTTAGAGGAAGGAGACAGAGTGACCGAGTGGGATAGGGTTGTACCTGTCGGTAGAGGCTGAGCCAGATACAGACCTGAATGTGAATCTTGGCTTTCCCTTTGACAAGTTATGTGACCTTGGATGAGCTATGGGTAAAGCTCCATGATGCAAATAGTACAAATAACTAAATCACGGGTTTTTGTGTGTGTGTGTGTGAAAATTAAAATTTAAGGTATATAGTTCCTAGAACAGTGTCTTGCTTATAGTCAGCACTTAATAAATGTTCCTTCTAGACTCCTTTTACCATTATTTCTCTAGACAGACTGCTTGCCATTTGGGGCAGGGACCAAGTCTTATTCATCTCTGGGTCTTGCCACCTGCACAGAGACTGGGGTATATTCCAGGGGCTTTGTAAATGTCAGTGATGGAAGGAGCTCAATGGTGGACGAGTCTTTCCAGGAGTGCCAACCTGTGGATGCACCAGGCAGCCACCCAGAAGTGCAGAGCTGGCAGGGGAAGTCCTGGCTGGTGGAGGGACCCTTGTGGTTACTCCCATATCCCTTTCCTATCTGTGGCCTAGGCTTCTGTTGGTCCCCAGAGGTGCACTAAAGACCTCCGTCCGTTCATTTGGCTCCTTCATCTGGCAGTCTGGTTGCCATGGAAACCGATGGTTTCACAGGACAAAGCACAGGGAGACTGAGCGATGGACAGAAACTTGCAAACACATTATGTAGTATAAAAAACGGTCTGGGAGGCTGTGAGGTGCAATAAAGGTTTCACTGCCACTTGCCTAGGAAAAAAACCACCATAAAACCTCTATAAGCCCCAGCTGAAAAAAGGTTTTGTTACCATGTTTATATATTTTCTTTTATTCTTTTCTTCCTGTCTTGTTGGTGGTTTTGTTTTTTTTCTTGGCGTCAGATCTTAGCAAATCACAGCCCAGGAATGCTGTTGAATACATTGTTAGCCCTGTGGTCCTGCTGTCTTCTTCAAATGTCCTGACATTCAAACCTCCTCCTGCTTAGAGCCCCTGAAACTTTCTGGGCACCCCTAATTTCACATGTCTAACCAGCTCTGTTTTTGCTTCCCAGTGTCAGGCCTAGAAAGGGCCAGAGGGAAGCAGGGGACACCATCTTCTCTACATCCCCAACAACTATAGTCTTCATGCTGATGACAGCCTCCTCTTAGGTTGATTTGGTTTCTTATGTTAAAATCCCAGTGTGTAGGGAAATCTCTCTCTAACCATGTTTTTCCTATACTTTCACATCACAGTAACAATCATCAACACAGAAGACTTCTGTGACCAAATGTGTGAAGGTTTTTCCCCATGTACCAAGCAGCAGACACTAGCTGGGTATGCTGTAATCCAGTTCTGACTTGGAGACACTGTCAGATCCCACAGGTGGAGGACTCAGTCCCCAATACTGCTCCTCCCCACATCAGTTGAAAGTCTGGACTTCCAAAACTTCTGACTGACCTGCTTCACATTGGAGTTCCCATGATGGCCTCTTTGGGTTCAATTCATTTGCTGGAGCAGCTCACAGAACTTAGGGAAACACTTATGCTTACTGGTTTATTATAAAGGATATTGCAAAGGATACAGGTGAAGAGATGTGTAGGGTGAGGTATGGGGGAAGGAGGGCAGAACTTCTATGCCCTCCCTGGGTGCACCACCCTCCAGGAACCTCCAGGGTTCAGCTATACTGAAGCTCCCCAAACTCTGTCATCTTGGGTTTTTATGAAGGCTTCATGATATCAGTATTCCTTCCCTGAGTGTATAGGGTGGGACCCTCTCTGGGAGGGTCTTCAGACCCACCATCAGAAAGGCATGGGAAGATTAGAGTCCTGCCTTGGGGCAGGCGAATGGAGCGCAGGACAGAGATTCTGTTTTCTGAGGCCTAACATACGCAACATGATAACAAAAGACCATCACAAGGGATATGGGAGTTATGAACCAGGAACTATGAACAAAAACCAATAGATACCATAACACCATACCTGGGATGGTGGGGGAACTTCCACTTCTAGCTGAGGGAGTAAGAGAGTGCAGAATTATGCTCAGGCTAAAAACATCAAAAAGCCACAATAAAATATATGAAACAACTTTGTTTCATATATTTACAAATTTGGTTACCAGGCAATGCAAGACTGTGAGCTCGAGAAGGGAAAAAATGAGGTGAGCCCTGTGATACTTGGCAAAAAGGGGAAATCTAACAGAGCACAGCAGTCTAATTGACTTGAGGAGGCAGAGGCTGGAATTTGTGGAAGCTGAGGGCAGCTGGAACTTGTAGGACATAACAGAGAGGAGAGAGGTGTGTGTCTGTGTGTGTGTGTGTGTGAGACAGAGATAGAGAGAGAGAGAGAGAGAGAGAGAGAGAGAGAGAGAGATTGAGAGCAAGAGCTAGAGCCAGCTTTCTGCAGAGGGAGGCTCTCAAATATTTGGCTGAATAGCTGAATACTGGTTTAAGAATGCGTGGGGTGAAACTTCATGAGGCTGGGATAAGCACCTAAGTACCACTGGAAACCAGTAGGCTGAGTAATTCCCAGAGCTCAGAGGGGTCTGGGAATGGTTTATGTTCCCCCTATCCAGATTGGCTAGACCTCAAAATATGTGAGGCATAAGAAAGAGTCCTTCAGAGTCCTTAGTAATGGAGCTAAATAGCCTCAGACTAAATGCTGCTTTGGATTTGCCCTAATAAAGCTTATATAGCAACATTCAGAGAATCAAATTGATCTCAAATGACTTAACTGCATGCCAATACATTCTTTAAAGGAATACAACAAAATTCAGCACCTAGAACATAAAATTCGCTGTGTTCAACATCCAATATGATCCACAGCCCAAGAGAAAAACCAATCCATTGAAACAAGACCCCTAAAAGACAGATATTATGAAACTAGCAGATGATGGTGTTAAAACAGTTATCACAAATATCCTTCATATGTTCAAGGAGGTAGAGAAAAACACAATTATGATAAGGAGATACATGAAAAATACAAAAAGACTGAAATAAAATTTTCAAAAATGTATATAATTTGAAAAATACATTGGGGGTATTAAAAGGAGATTAGCGACTGTAGAAGAAAAGATTAGTGAACTTGAAGACAAGCCAATACAAACCATCCAAAATATAGCATAGATTTTTAAAGGACAGCGAGAGAAAAAGAGAGAGTGGGAGAGAGAGGGAGGATGAAAAAAGTAGTGACCTATGGGACAATATTAAGTGGTCTAGCAAGATGGTAGATTTAAATCCAAACATACTGATAATTGCATTAAATGTAAATGAGCTAAATACCCCAATTAAGTGAACAGATGATCATTTTGACTAAAAAAATCAAGACTTAGTTGTATGCTGTCTACAAAAATCTCACTTTGAGCATAAACACTCAGATTAAAAGTAAAATAATGAAAAAAGATATACTATGCAAACACATCAAAAAAAGCTGGGGCAAATATATTAATATTAGACAAAATAGACTTCAGAACAAGGAACATTAACAGATCAATTCATTAAGACGACATAATGATCCTGTGTATGTATGTAATAAGAGAGCCTCAAAATACATGAATGAAAACTGGTAGAATTGAAAGAGGAAAAAATAAAGTATTCACTTACACCTGGAAATTTCAATACTTGTCTCTCAGTAATTGATAGAACAAGTAAATAGTAAGGATATAGAAGACCTGAATCACACTTATTAACTAACTTGAATTAATTGACATTCCTAGAATACTCTACTCAACAACAGCAGAGTACACATTTCTTTGAAGTGTCCATGGAACATTCACCAAGAATGACTATATTTTGGGCCATAAAACAAGCTCAATAAAATTAAGAGTATTTAGATTGTACAAAGTATTCTCCCTGAGCACAACTACAACAGATTTAAATTAGAAATCAATAACAGAAAGATATAAGAAAGAATCCTCAAGTGTTTAGGAATTTATAAAGCATACTTCAAAATACTTCATAGATCAAAGAATAAATCAGAAGCAAAGCTTAAAAATATTTAAAATTGAATGAAAATGAAAACATTATGTCAATAATTGTGGAATTTGGCTAAAGCAGTGCTTAGAGTAAAATTTGTAGTAATAAATCCTTCTATTACAAAATAAGAAAGGTCTTAAATGAAAGATATAAGCTTCCAATTGAAAAAATAGAAAAAGAAGAACAAACTAAGCCTAAGTAGGTAGATGCTATAAAATAATGAAGATATGAACAGAAATCAATGAGATTGAAGACGACAACAGAGAAAATCATTGAGGCTGGATGATCAATAAAATTAACAAACTTTTAGCTAGCCAGACCAAGAAAAAAAAATGTACCAACATTAGGAATTTTTTTTAGGGTATTACTACAGGTCACATAGGCATTAGAAAGATAATAAAGGATATTATGAACAATATTTGACAACCTAGATGAAATGGACAAATTCCTTGAAAGGCATAAACTACCAAAGTTCACTCAAGAATAAGTAAATAACTGGAACAGCCCTAAATCTATTAGAGAAACTGAATTTGTTGTTAAAGACTTTCTCACAAAGAAATCAAGGCTTAGATGCCTTCATTGGTAAATTGTACCATACATTTAAGGAAGAGATAATATCAGTTCTATAGAAACTCTCCCAGAAAATTAAGTAAGAGGGAAGCCTTCCCAGTCATTTTATGAAGTCGACATTATCCTGATGCTAAAACCGGATGAAGATGTTATAAAAAATGAAAAGTACAAACTAATATGTCTCATGAAATTAGATGCAAAAATATGTAATATGTAATTCTATCATATTGTGGCCAGAAATACATTAAAAAGATAATATATCATTAAGAAACCACAACAATCCCCCAAAATTGCATATTGTATGTTCCATTTATATAGCATTCTTGAAATAACAAAATTATATAATTGGAAAATAGCTTATTGGTTGCCAGGGTTAAGGAGAGGGCAAGAATGGGAGGGATATAGATATGGCTATAAATGGGCAACATGAGGGATCTCCATGGTGATGAAAATGTTGTGTATCTTGAATGTATCAATGCTAATATCCTGGTTGTGAAATTGTACTATAGATGTTATCACTGGGAAAAACTAGGTAGAAGGTACACGGGGTCTCCTGTATTATGTCTTACAACTGCATGTGCATCTACAATTATCACAAAATAAAAAATTTAATTTAAAAAAAGTTTTGAAAAAAAATAATGAGGATACCTAATGTTGGCAAGAT
Source organism: Homo sapiens (assembly GCF_000001405.40). Classification (NCBI taxonomy): domain Eukaryota; kingdom Metazoa; phylum Chordata; class Mammalia; order Primates; family Hominidae; genus Homo; species Homo sapiens. The sequence continues at coordinate 45,496,046 of NC_000011.10, read as the reverse complement.
GTGGAACAATGAGAGTACCCATTCATTGCTGGTGGGAATAAAAAATGGTACAGCCACTTTAGAATAGGCTGGCAGTTTTTTTCATAAAGTTAAATAGATACTTACCATATGATCCAGTTATCTCACTCCTAGGTATTTACCAGAGAAAAATGAAAACATATGTTCCTAAAAACACTTGTATGCAAATGTAACAGCATTTGCATATTGTCCCTAAACTGGGAACAATCCAGATATCCATCAATAGTTGTTAATTGATAAATAAATTGTGGTATATCCATAAAATGAGGTACCACTCCACAATATAAAGGAATGAATTATTGATACACACAACTTAAACAAATCTCAAAAGCATTATGCTAAATGAAATAAGCCATCACAAAAGGGTATAGACTGTGTGATTCCATTTATATGATATTCAGAAAAAGGCAAAACTGTTGAGCTAGATCAGTGATTGCTATGGTTAGAGTGGGGATAGGGGATGACCTGCGGAGGAGTAAGAGGTGACATTGGAGGAGATAGAAATGTTCTGTATCTCTGCTGTGGTGCTAATAGTTATGTGACTCTCCACATTTGTGAAAATTCATTGAATTGGACACAACATTGATGAATTTCATTATTTACTCACTATACCTCAACAAAACTGATTTTGAAAAATCCCATGATGATGACTCTGGCAGAGATCTTGGAAGTTATATAGTCTGACACCCTCATTTTGGAGGAAATGAAAGTAGCCAGGGATATGAATGGGGCAGGAAGAGTGTCAGGGATGCTGGCATGTAGGGAGGACAACAAGTGGGTCTGTGTGGCTGTGGCACTGGGGGGTGAGATGTGAAGGGGACTGGGAGACCAGGTAGGTCCCACAGGGAGGAGAAAGAGGTCCAAGACACTGGGTGCTGTAAGCACTTCAGGCACCTTTGTGTAGATTAGAAAAAGTCATCTCCTCTGGGTTGACCAGCTGGAAAATAGGCCCCCTGTGTGTGAGCCAATCAGTAAAAGGTGCCAGAATGCACAGACTGGGGAGCAGATTTTACCCCCATTCATAACCTCTCTGCCAAATGTCCCCCTGCAGTGCACAGCTATGAGGCAGGCCTGCCTGAACCCCAGGTGGTGTTATCTGGGCGAGCATCATTCATTGGTGAAAGCGGGTTTCCATTGCCCTCCATCTCCATATACCCAGCTGCTATCCATCCCCTGGGGTGTGGGTTAGCTGAGCCCCTGGGTTGTTCCCAGCTCTTCAGCTGTTCCCATCCCAAGCAGTCTTCCCTAGTGCACATGAAGGTAAGGTTACAGTATTTCTGGCAAATATACAGCATTGTATGAACTCTACAGAGCCCTCCCCTGCAAGAGTCTCTTGTAGGCTCCTCCAGCACAGCACTTAGCTACTATCCATCCCTCTGTGTACACAGCAACATTCCTAGACATGTACCCTAGCCTCTTCCCCCACATGTTCATCAGAGCGTTCATCCTATTATATACATCCACCTCCCCATGGACATACATAGGCTATAGTTTTCCCTACAAACTCCCTTCATGGCAGACATTGTCTTTTGAAAAGCCAGTGTGTACAATCAATTAGTTTCCCATTTCAATCAGAGGCTATTTATTCTTTTGAAAAAGGAACCAGCGCCTTGGCTTGCACTTGAACAAATGTCCTAGGAGTCCCTTTCTATCCCCTTCTCTCATATCTGCCCACAGATGTCAGCTTCTGTTCTTGGAGCTTAATCTTGGGGCTGTGGGAGGCCCCAGGAGCACTCACTCTCACCCTGATTCTGAATTCAAGATCCTGGGGCTTGGGAGGGATGGAAGCCCAGCTCTTGGAATTCCCACACTACATGAGCTGCAGTGAAGAGATAAAGCACATGACTGCAAGCCTCTGGGCAGATGCTCATTGGAACCATGAAAACCGATTTTCCAGAATTTCCCCAGGTGGGCATTCTAATGACTCACAACAGGCAAGCCGGCCTCACCACAGTCCCAGGCATCAAACAGCCCCTTACCCCTCCCTATGTGTTAGCTGCCTGGAGAGAGGGTGGCCTTCTTAATGACAGGTGGGCCAGGTCTCTGAGGACTGAAGACCAGATCAAGGATGAATTGTCTCCCGGAGTTGTCATATGCCTGCCCAATGGGGCTGTCCTGTGGGAATCCATTTATTAAATCATCAGAGATTTACTGAGTGCCTACTATGTGCCAGGCAGCATTCAAGATGCTGTGTAGACAGCAGTGAGCAGAACAGACAAAAATCCCTGCATGCATGGAGCTTCCATTGCAGTGGGAGAAAATAATTCATAAGCAAATCTGCATCTGTCAGTTGGCAATAAAAGCCATGGAAAAAATAGATCAGAATAAGGGAGATTATTCTTGCTGTAAATAGGACAATCCAACATGGTCTCACTCAGGAACTGATATTTGAGCAGGGCCTGAATTTATTGAGGAAGTGGACCAAGCCAGTGTCTAAGGGAACAGCATTCTGACAGAGGGAACAGCAATTGCAAAGACCCTGAAATCACAGCGTGACTCGAATGTTTGAGGAGTAGCAAGAAGGCCAGTGAGGCTGGAATGAAGTGAGTAAAGGGAATGTAATAGTAATTACGCCCTGTCTAATACATCATCAGTTCCTCTGTGGTGTGCTTCTAAAACACACCTAGAATCTGTCCATTTCACTCTACCCATAGTGCTATCAACTGAATTCCAATCACCGTCCTTGCTGACCTGAACCAGTCTCTTCTCCACTCTCACCTCTTCCCTCCCATTCATCCTCCACACAACAGCCAGAGTGATTTTACTGTGGCAAATTGGATTATTATTCCTAATCTTTCATTTCCTCCCTGTAATAATTGTATGCCCTTTGCAATATGAATTTTCAGTGCCTCCCACCAGTGCAGACAGTGTATTCTCCAGTCTTGTTGATCGGGGTCTTGGTCATGTGCCTTGCTTTGGTCAAGAGCATTTTAATGGACTCGATGCAAGCAGTGGCATTAAATGAATTTGTGTGGTTTAGCTTGGTCTTTTACATATCTATCATGTTCCATGAAGAGAGCATGCCTTGATAAACACTGGTTCCAGAATGAGAAACATATGGAGAAGATCTAAGATCAACTATTAGTGTGATTCGTAGCCACCCCAGCTGGCCTGCAACTGGCGAGACAGAAAATTAACTGCTATTGGGAGCCACTGAGATTTGGGAGTTGTTTGTTATGGAGCATTATCATAGCGATAGCTGACTAATACACTTGCTGTGGTATTTAAAATAAAATCCAAACTCTATACTGTGGACTATAAGACCCTACCTTATCTGGCTCTACCTTGCTCATCTCTCCTTTGATCTCAACTCGTGTCACTGTCTCCTTCTTACACATGATGTTTCAGCCACTGCAGTGTTCTGTTTCGCTCTTCACATACTATTGGATACTACCCCCACCTCATGCCTTTGTACATGCTATTCTCTCTGCCTAGAGATCTCTTTCGTGTGACTTCTGCATGGGTAACTCTTGCCTTACAAGTCTCTGTTTAAATATTACCACTTTAGAGAAAGCAGACAATTCAAAGTGGCTCCCACTCACTCTGTCTATTTTCTTCATGGAACTTATTGTTTGTTGAAATTATTTACCAAATATTATATTGGCTGGTTTATTGCCTCTCTTCCTCCTCTAAAATGTAAAATCTCTGGAAACAGTGACACCAAATGTTATTCAACTTTTATCCCCAGTGCCTAACACAATGTCCAACAAAAGTTAGTTCTTTGAAAAGATTATTGAAATTGATAAGCCCCTAGCAACACTGAATAACAGTAAGAAAGAAGGCACAAATTAGCACTATCTAAAATGAAAAAGGGACAGCACTACGCATCTCACAGACTTAAAAATAAATAATAAGAGGATATTATGAGCAATTTTATGTCAATAAATGTAAAAGCTTCAAAGAAATGAACAATTCCATAAAAATATAACTTAACAAAATGGGCACAAGAAGAAACAGAAATTCTGAATAGTAGCATATCTATTAAAAATTGAATCCATAATTTTAAAGCTTTTCATCAAGAAAACTACAGGCCCAGATGGCTTTGCTGGTAAATTCTTCCAAACATTTAAGCAAGAAGTGACACCAGTCTTTCATAAACTCTTCCAGCGAATAGAAAAAAAGAGAGCACTTCTCAGCTTGTGTTATGATGCCAGCATAACTTTGATACCCAAACCCAAAAGAACATTGAAAATTGAATCCAGCGATACATAAAATGGATAATATATCACAACCACATGGGTTTATTCCTGGAATGCATCTTTAAAATGATCATGTAGTTTTCTTCTTTTCCTGTTAATGTTACACACCATAAAGAGCAAATGTGAAACCAAACTTGCATTCCTAGAATCAACCCGAACTTAGAGAAAGGCCAATTCTACACAGCCCACAGGTTCTCTTATCACATCTCTGACCCCAAGTCCTACCACTCCCCACTGGTTCGCCCTACTGCAGCCACAAGGCCTCCTGCTGTTCTGCAAACACCCCAGGTGAGATCCTGCCTCAGAGCCATCACACTTGCTATTCCTCTGCCTGGATCACCTTTCTCCTAGACAACTACATATTTAGCACCTTCACTTCCTTTTCTCAAATCCACCTTCTCAATGCAGCTTTCCTACTTACTCTGCCTAAAATTCCTATCCCTCTCCCACTCCTGATACTTTCTAGCCCCTTTTACTCATTCATTTTTTATCCTTAGCCTTTACTACCACCTAATATACTATACATTTAATGTATTTCTTTTGCTTATTGCATGTCTTCTCTAATGAGAGCAAAAGAACCATGGGGGCAGGGGTTTTTGTCTGTTTTTGCCCTTTCTGCCCTCTGTAGCTCCTGGATCTGGAACAGTGCCTGGCATTGATACTAAATATTAGCTGAATGAAGGAATGTCTCAATGTCCTTCATAGGAAGGAAGATATTCAGCAAACGCTAAGAACTTGCTATATTCCTAGGGGTGCTGGAAATGCACAAATGAGTCAGGCTCCATCTCTGCCCTGCAGCACATTAGGGGAAGGAGGTGAGGGGGAGACTCAGATACAGAAACAATTCAACTCAGTGGGTCAGACTTAGCCGATTTTCATTATTTGAGGTATTATATTCTGTAAGGTCACTGCAAACACTGAATTAACAAATATTGAACCATTGCTCCTACTGAAAATACAAGGTTAGGTTCCTGCAGCTCTTTGGTCATAGTATTTTCATCAGCCAATCAATATGTGACCTTGTTTTATGGGTGTTTCTGTTTAAAAACAACATACTTGACATATATCGTTGATTTACTAACATTGAACTCACAGCCAACAGCACTGTATTATAATTCATGTCTGAATGAAACTTACCCAACACATGTTATTTTTCTCCATAGGGCGCCTCTTCTTATGCTTGGGGATACTGGTCGGCACTTCACTGTGCTTGGGGGTCATTTTAAGCAGCAAAATCAACAAAATGCACAAAAATGTGAAAAACCATGGCACTAAGTGGACCATGGAAGGATAATTGTTTGCAGTATGAGGCAGAAGCAAGAAGACAGAGCGCCTTGTGGAACCTCAGCTGATAAAGTGTGCATGGAATGACTCAAATTTTTTGCACGTTTGTGAATGACCTGAGTATTGATGTGGGGGTTACAAATAAGTTTTAGTGAGCAGATGAATTCATAAATGTGGAATTGCTAATACAGGTTGAGTATCCCTAATCCAAATATCTGAAATCCAAAATGCTCCAAAATTGGAAAGTTTTTGAGTGCCAACATGATGCTTGAAGGAAATGCTGATTGGAGCATTTCCGATTTCAGATTTTTGGATTTGGGATGCTCAAACAGTAAATGTAATGCAAATACTCCCAAATCTTAAAAAATTTGAAATCCGAGACACGTCTGGTCCCAAGCATTTTGGATAAGGAATATTCAACCTACTGTAATGAGGATCAACTCTATTTAATGGGGCATCTGCAATTTACTGGGCATGATCCCAGAGCAGCATAAAAGTTGAAAGAGAGATGCAATAGACAGGGTGGGGTGGGGCTGCGGCTGGAAACCTCATCTCTAAAGGAGGCAAGGTCAGACCTCAGGCCCAGAGGAAGACCTGGCCAAGTGGAATGCTTTCCCAAATCTCCTTTCTGAGACAATGTCCCCTCCACCATCCCTGCCACCTGCTTTTGACAAACACATTTGCAATCCGCTAACCATGCCTGGTTTGAATGACTTGAGTTGTCAGGTCTGATTTTGTTCTCTGAAAGTCGATTTTTATTTTTAATTCTTCCAGTTGCTCCACAGAGCTGACAGCTTCCCACAGTGTGTGAGATGTGCCACAGCCAGGGGAGATCTCAGGAAAAAGAGGCCCTCTTCAGGAGTGAAGCTGCTTATGTGGATTTCCTGACAGTGTGGACTAATTGTCTTATCTTCCACTCTCTACACTAAGAGTATTTACACAGGAATGACGCAGAGGCTTTTACCTCTGCAAGCCAATTCCCAGGGCTGAAAGCCCACCTGAAATTCCCATCCCCCATCAATGATGCCACGATGGTTTCCAGAGCAACCACGAGGGATGGCATGGTATGGGGGAGGGAACAGTGGAGATCAGGAGGACAGGAGCCCTCCTCAGTGTGAGCCCTTCCCCAGCTCCCCCTGCATCGGGAGCCAGGTGGGAGGGAGGCAGGAAGGGTGTGTGCCTTGATGTTCTGGGCAACAACCCCACTGTTTCTCCCCTTTTCTCAGTATCGGGATTGAATGTTTTTGTGATGCAGTCTGCACAATGGCCAGGCACTTATAACACTCAGAGAACATGGGTGGTTTCTGCATCATTTATTCTTTTCTTTTTTATCTCCAATGTCCCATACCATTCAAGTATTTGTGCACCCAGTCTTTTCCGTATGCTAGGCACTGGGGACTCAGAGGTGAAGAGATCAGAGGTGGCTCCTGCTCCCGCTGAGTTTACAGTTAGAAGTGGAGATGAAACAAATACCCTGACATGTGCCGTCCTACCTTCACTCAAGACAAGGGCAAGGGAAGAGAAATTAGGGAGCAGAGGGAAGATTTTATAAGAGAACCTAATCTAGTCTGGGGATTTTGAGAAAGCTTCCTGATGGAGGTGACATTTACATTGAGACTGGAAATGTGAGCAGGAACTGGCCAGATGAGATGTGAGATGGGGAGGTGAGGGTTCCAGGCTGAAAGGACTGTGCAGAGGCCCAGTGGCAGGAAGGCAAACCTGGGGAGATCTCAAAGATTGTCTTGACCTACTGTCTTTCCTACTTTTTTTTTTTTTTGAGACGAGTCTCGCTCTTTCGCCTAGGCTGGAGTGCAGTGGCGTGATCTCAGCTCACTGCAAGCTCTGCCTCCCAGGTTCACACCATTCTCCTGCCTCAGCCTCCCAAGTAGCTGGGACTACAGGCACCCACCACTGCGCCCGGCTAATTTTTTGTATTTTTAGCAGAGACAGGGTTTCACCATGTTAGCCAGGATGGTCTCGATCTCCTGACCTCGTGATCCACCCACCTCGGCCTCCCAAAGTGCTGGGATTACAGGCATGAGCCACCGTGCCCGGCCTCCTACTTTATAGATGAAAAATCTGAGGACAGTGACTTGTTCAAGGTCACACAGAGAATGAGGAACTGGACTGGGATTGATCCTGGGGGCCATTCCCTGTCTTCTAGCTCTTTCTCTGGTTCCATCAGGCCTACCAGTTCCAAACTTCTCCCAATTTCTTTCTTGGATCACAAGTGATATATCTGACTTCTCTCCCTCAACCCTCAGCACTGAAGGCACTGACTTGGATGTGGGTCACTGGGGAATGTTCTTCAGGTGGGAGGCAAGAGAGGAGAAGCCTTTATGTTTGAATGGGTGCTGCCATGACCAGGCACATCCCCCAGGCTGATGGTGGCATGCGAAGCGGAGCAGGGCATGGGTGAGTCACCTCCTCACCAGCATCTGAGCCAATACCTCCTTGTCCATGGCTCTGCTGTGGCCCTGGTGTGGCCCAGGGACTCCAATGTCCATTTCCTTCAGAGAGGCGAGTGGAACCTTCTGGTTGGAGGCCTTGTCAGAGCAGCCCTGATAGACTTGGGGATCCCAGAGGCTAAAGGGAGCCCTGGCAAACAACAGACCCAGCTTGGAGTCATGGAGCCTCTCCAAAGGTTCTGCTGGATCTTAGGCATCTTCTGGTCCTCCCTTCCTGCTCTAATGATGAGGAACTTGAGTCCAGAGAAGGGAAGGGATGTTATTCAAGTCCACACAGGGACTCAGAGGCAGAGCTGGTGTCCTGCACCTTACTCCAAGGCTCTCAGCAGCTTTGAAGCAGAGGACTATGGGAGGCCTTGAAGACTCCATTATGCGTGGTGCTGACAGCAATGTCACCTTCCCTCAACACCTGCAGTACCAGGCAGGCTAGCAGCCATTCGGTCAGATTCTGATCTGCCCTGGAAGTACATAAGATACTACCAAAAATAAGAGTTAGAACCTAGGGGATAGGCCCGTGGGCAGCATCCTCACCCTTTCTCCACCGATGCAAATCTTACCCAGGGACAAGATGGCATGGGGTCACCAGCTGTGGGTCCCCCCTGGGTAAATCACTTAGCCTCAGTTTCCCCAACTCTAAAATGGGGATACTGACCCATATTTCATGGTGTGGCTCTGAAATGAAATGAAACGTGAGCTTCCTTCTCTCCCCAGCCACCATTTGGTCTATAGCTAGCAATGCCTTTCTCTTTCTCTTTCTCTTCCTCTCCCTCTGCCTCTCTCTTTCTCTCCTCGTGATGGTTAATTTTATGTGTCAACTTGACTGGACCACAGGGTGCCCAGGCATTTGGTCAGACATTATTCTGGATACGTCTGCGAGGGTGGTTCAGGAGGAGATTAATATTTGAATGGGTAGACTGAATAGAGAAGATTGTCCTCCCCAATGCGAATGGGCCTCATCCAATCAATTGAAGACCTGAGTAGAACAAAAGGGCTGAATAAGAGGGAACTCCTGCTGCCTGATGGCCTTGAATGGGGACATCTGTCTTTTCTTGCCTTTGGACTTGAACAGAAACATCAGCTCTTCTTTGGTCTTCAGCCTACTGGCTTTGAACTACACCATCGGCTCTATTAGGTCTTCAGCTTGCTGACTGCGGCGAATCTTGGGACTTCTCAGCCTCCATAATTGTGTGAGCTGATTCCTTATAATAAAATTTTCTCTCTCTCTCCAAATGTGTGTATATGTGTGTTGGCTCTTCATTCAGTTTCTCTGGAGAACCCTGACTAATACATCCCCTACCCCCAGTTCATCATTCGGAGGATTTGGGCCTCCAGGTCTGATATCTGCAAGCAGTCTATTCCCAGCTGTTTTTCTCAGGACCCCGGCCCCACCCAATCCTTTCTGGCCTCGACTTCTGCCTTGGCAAGTATGCTCGCATCCCATCCACAAAGGAAGAAAGATCGCGATGAAGCAGAGCTAGCCCAGAATTCTGAGTTCAAACCCTTGCAGTCCTCATCTGCTAATGGGGCTGAGGGCCATTCCTTGTCCACCTCACAGGATTTAATGAGGATGAAAATGGGATCCTGAATTTGCTCCCTCTCCACTCCCTTCTAGGATATAAGGTGTGTGCCTTCAGGGCCTGCATCTTGGCTACCTTTTAATTCCCATCCCAAGCTCCTGGCACAGGACCTTACTATCCTACTGCTCCCGTGAATTTTTTTTCTTTTTTTTGAGACAGATTCTCAGTCTGTCATCCAGGCTAGAGTGCAGTGGCACGATCTTGGCTCACTGTGACCTCTGCCTCCCAGGATCAAGTGATTCTCCTGCCTCAGCCTCCCAAGTAGCTGAGGTTACAGGCACATGCCACCACACCCAGCTAATTTGTGTATTTTTATTACAGACAGGGTTTCACCATGTTGGCCAAGCTGGTCTCAAACTCCTGACCTCCAGGGATCCACCCACCTTGGCCTCCCAAAGTGCTGGGATTACAGGCTTGAGCCACCATGCCAAGCCTCCCATGAATGTTTGATGACTGACTAAAGGAGTATAAAAGGAACCTCTATGTAATTACAGGAGACACCTGTCAGAGGCTCCAGGACCCAGAGATATGCAAAAGACATCCTATTAAATGAGATGGAAATTAAATGACAAGCCAGGCCCAGGCTGCTGGAGGTGGAGGAGGGGAACACTCCAGAATCCAGAGTCATCAGCGGCTCTATTCCAAATGGTGTTTTCAAGCAAACGGTGGAGCCCAGTGAACCTTGGACTTGAAACTCTTTCTAAATGAGTCTTTAATAATTTAGTTATACAAATTGAGCCTAATTAAATTGTACCCATTGAAAACGCACTGCTGTACATCTGAATGATGAAATCGGGATCAAAAGGCAATACAGAATAGATGCTAAGGTAATTTTCCACTTGTGCTAAGCAAGCTGGGATCTTCAAACTGCAATTGCGCTGAGTGCCCACCTGGGATTATTAAAGGGCCAGTCCTCCAAGTTTATGGGAGAACTCAAGGCTGGCACCATCTCTCTCTTCCTTGGGCTGCCTGCCCCTTGGCCTCCAGAGCAGGGGGCAGGGGAGGACAGGAAGGGTTCACAGACTCCTAACATTGCATCAGCTTCTCTCCCGTCCTTGAAAACACTGAGCTTGCCCCTGCTGTTCCCCTGTCTGGAATGATTCCCTTGATTCCAGTCTGTAAGAGGCTGAGTCATCCTCACCATCCACATAGGGGTTTAACTGCCCCCTTCCGAACACGCTTCCTATGACCCCCCAATCTAAAGTTGCCTGCTCTGCCATGCCCACCTCCCATCACTCCGATACCACCCTGCTTTGTTTGCTTCAAAACACATCACTGCCTGGGAAGCATCCTTCATCTTTGCACTTGTCTCCTCACCCCTGCATCGAGACCCAGAATGTAAACTCCAAGAGCTCAGGGACCTCGTCTGTCTGTCTGTCTTGTTTTCTGCTGTCTCTCTCTCCAAGGCCTTAATGCAGAGAAAGTGATAAATGAGTATGTGTTGAGTAAGATCCTCAGAGCTGGAGGATTCCAGAGGTTGAACAGCCACCTCCATTTTGAAGCCTAGAGAGCGGAAAGGGCTGTTCAAGGCCACCCAGCAGGTTCCTAGGCAGCCGTGGTTCCTGGTCCAAAGCTCCTTCTCATTTCTCCTCTAGCCTCTCAGTGTATTGGTTGAAGGTGTGGGCCCTGGAGCCAGAGTGCCTGGGTTGAAGTCTCACCTCTGCCTTTACTGACTGTATTGACCCTGAGCAAGTTCCGGAATCCAGCCCCCTCCTGTATAGAGTGGAAATAATGGTAGTACCCAGCCCTAGGTGATTGTGTAACCAGCCATGCGAGGTGGTTTTATTATCCTTGCATTTCGATGGAAGCAGCAGAGGTTCAGAGGGTTAAGTGACTTACTCAGAGTGACACAGCCAGCAGTGGCCAGAAAAGTGACTACGATCTCAGGTCTCTGCCCTTGACACCACCTCGGGGCTGCTGAATCCTGCCTCCTGGAATCTTCCTCTTTCCCTCCACTTCCTCCCGCCGCTGGCACCTGATTGATAAAGGCAGGACCGAAGCCTTCTGCTCGCCATCCTCTCTCCTGACAAGGCTGCCTCTTGTCAGGTCTGAAAGGCAAGTTTACAAGGTATATCTAAAAGCCTCCTGGACAGGGGAGCTGGTTTACATGCCTTCAGGGCCGGTTCAGTGTTCTGCTTCTAATGAAAACAGACTCCCGGTTCCTGAGTGAGCTCAGAAGAGACTGTGGGCTGAGAGCAGGCAGAGACGGTTGCTGCAAGGAGGCACCAGCCTGTCCTTAATCTTGGGTGCCCACGACTCCCCTGCAAGAGCCCCCTCCTCTTTATCTGCTGTCTCACCTTTCCAGAAACGTTACAACACAGGGTCTCAAACTGGTAGGCTGTGAGTAGCCCCCGGCCAGTAGATGAGTCTGGGATGACCCAAGTGGTGACTTTTTTCTTTTAAAGAATTGAGCTAATGTTTAAAAGTCAGATATGTCTTAAGGAAAAAAATTGACTTTTCAGCTTCTCTTTAAAAATATTTGAAGAATTGTCAGCAACTCTAATACTCATCCTACCCTGCTCCACGGCAATAGCCCCCTCTTTGGAGTTTTCTCCAGGGACCCACACCTCCCACCTTTCCCAATGCCTCTCTTTTCTTAGTTACATTTCCTGCTGGTTCCCTGGGGGCCATCTGAATTTGAGAGCCCCATGCTGCTGCAGGAACTGGCAGCATGGACTTAGTCCAGTGTGCTCATTATACAGATGAGGGTGCGTGGAGACCCAGAGAGGGAAAGTGACTTGCCCAAGGTCACCCAGAAAGTTAACTGCACATAAGGGACTAGCACCAGGATGTCAACTCTCAGGGAAGCATCTGCTCCTCACCAAGGCCTGAACACTGGGGTTTCCGGGTTTCCCTTCTTTGTGGTCCCAAGGCAGCCCCAGCCTCCTTCCCGCAGCCCCAGCCTCCTCCCGGCAGCTTCATTCCCACCCCCAAGTCATTTGCCAAAGAGAGCCTTGCAAATTTACATCTGATCTCATTATGTCACTCACTTCCCAGCTTTGAGAGGAAAGAACATTATTCCTAGTCTAAGCATAAAGTCAGCCTCCTTAGGATGACACTCTGGGCTGGCGCTATGTGGTCCCCACCTACCTATCCCACCTCATCCTGTCCCTCTGTCCTACCCTGCCTGCCAGCCTGTCTTGTCCATTCTGTGGGACCATTTGCTCTTCCCCAAACACAAAGCTGTGCCTGTTCCTCTGGCTGGCCCATACTGCTACCTTCTGCAAATGAAATTCTGCTCAGCCTTCAAGGCCTACTCCACATTACTTCCTCCAAGAAGCCTCCCTTAACTCCCAACTCCCACTCTGGGGTCTTCAGGTTAGCTAGGGGCTACTGGTCTCCTACACCACTCTGTTCATCCCGCCCATCCAGGCACATATTGCTTTGCGTTCTTGCCTGAGGGGCCGTAGTTACCTTATTCACCTGCCAGCCTAATGGTAGTAGCATTTGCTAAGCCCTTTGCCTGAATTTGCTCATGGATTCAATAGTCCCCTGAAGTAGAGAGATGCCCCTATGTGTTCATATGGAGAAACTGAGGCACGGCATGGTCCAGTGGCATGTCCAAGGTCACTCAGCCTGTATGCAGCCATGGCAGGACCCAGCTTGGATCTGCAGTCCCAGGACCAACCAGTGATGCTATGGGTGAGAGGCTCAGAGCAGGAGTGATCCAGCCTTCTTCACCCTGGTCCAATGAGCCCCAAGTGTATTCTTAGGGTCAGGGCCAGGTGGCAGCTTCTGGGGCAGTTTCCTCCTTGGTTCTCAGTAGCTTGGGCTCATTGCCCGACCTCTAGCTCCAGCCACCCTGCCAATACTTCCCCCTTTCTCCCCACCTTTCTCTCACTCCTCCTCCCTCTGCTGCCGCCGTCATCTAATGGAAAGACCCAGAAAGCAGCTTTTCTTGGTGGCACCACCCCAGAGCAGAATGAGTGACTGGAGTTTCTCCTTACAGGCCCCACGCCTCGAGGCCTTCACATGCGCTGTTCCCTCTGTCTGTGTGTAAGGCCTCCCACAGCCCACTCTGGAACTCTGCCCTGTCCTTCTAGAGAGGAAGCTCAAGGGCAGAATGTTTCTCTGCTCACCAGGCTAGGTGTGGAGCCCTCACCTGGGCTTTCCAGAGAGAAATCCAGCCTTAGCCCCAACGTGGTTTCCAGTTTCCCAAAGTGCCAGGGTGGGGGCACTTCGTAGGGTCTCAGATGATGACACTTGGGAGAAAGGAGAAAGGACAAGGAGGGCAGCATAGATGTCATCTGACTTGTTGTGAACTCTGACCTCCTTCTTCTCTGTCTCCTGCCCACTACTCTGACTTCTGCTCAGGTCACCTTCCCCCTTGCCCACTCTGCCTGAGCTGCACTGACTTCCCTCTACTCCTCACACAAGCCAAGTCCTGTCCTGGCTTAGAGCTCCTGCACCGGCCACTCCTCTGCCTAGAATCCCTCCCTCTGCTCTTGAGCCTTTCTGTCCTTCAGGTCATGGCTCAAATGTCACTATTTCAGGGGTAACAAGTCCCCCATTGGCACCTTCATGGAGGTGAGGGCTGGTTCACAAGTTTGTTGCCCATCTCTCCTGCGTTCCAGCTGTAGGAGGGCAGAGGCCTTGCTAGTCTTGCTTGTGGGATCCCCAGCACCTGACACAAGGACCAGCACAAAGTAGACGCTCAGTAAATATTTGGGTAAATACAAGGAAGTGGGGTAGAAAAAGAGAGCCAGAGAAAGGAAGGAATGAAGGAAGAGAGGAAGAGAGGAAAGAGGAAGGGAGGAAGGAAGGAAGAGAGAGGAGGGGAGGAAGGAAGGAGGGAGGAAGGAAGGAAGGGAGGAGAGGGAGGGAAGAAAGGAAAAACAAGAGAGTGCCTAGTTCTTGGCACAAGAAAGGTCTTGATGGTGCCAGACTGCCCTTGACAATGGGCAAGCATCTTGTCCCTAGCACAAGGTGTGTACGAGAGGAGACGGGGAGGACCGTGAGGGATAGATATCTTTCTTTACTCTCCAAATGCGGCATCTGGGGGAGGCCCTTCGTTAGCAGTTGTTCTCCAACTGAGAGCCTCTCTCTGCTCCCTGCCCTGAGAACAAGGGTGACAAATGAGGACAGTACCCCCTGGAGGTAAAGGGCACTGGGAAGGGCCAGATAATACAAATGAGCATCAGACGTTGTCCTGACCAGAGGTGGAATGGAGAACAAGAAAGATTAGAGTCAGGGAAGAGAGGAGGCCTAGTGAGCCAGGGACAGAGCCGCCTCCAGTAAGGACATGCCTGTTGGGGCAGAGAATGGCTGCCCACAACCATGAAGTCATGTGTGAGCAGCCTTTCCGCTGTCTGATAAAATGCAACTGTGACCCAGATCATAAATTAGAGTCAGGGTTGGAGATTAGCACTAGAATTAAGTACCATGGGAATTCAAGGAGAGAAAAAAATCACATAAAATTCAATTTAAGGATTAAACAGTCATACTTCCTGGTGAAACCATCTTCCTGTGATTATTAAATTGCCCTGCATTGGGGCAGGCTGTCTCACCTGCACACCCCCAAGCTGGCAGCTGGTAGCATAGTGGGCTGACACATGGTGCTGTTGGTCTTAAAGCCCATTCTCTGAGGGCCTTGGGGAAGGAGTGGCTATACCTGCTTCCCCTCCCCAAACCAGTCAAGGCACCCTCCAATCATCCTGTGTTACTGGGTCACAAAGAGAAAGAGCAAGGAGGTGTGGAGGGTGTCAGGTAAGCCCACCACCTTCCCATCATCCTGTGTTACTGGGTCACAAAGAGAAAGAGCAAGGAGGTGTGGAGGGTGCCAGGTAAGCCCACCACCTTCCCTGGGGACAGCTGTGGGTTTTCAGATGCTTATGCAGACACCATCATGCCCCACAGACAGCAGTTGGAGCTGGCAGGCTCCAGGCAGACTGGAAGGTTAGACCCAGAAAGAGCCTTAGAGATCCTCAAGTCTACCTGTCCCCAGAAGAGGAGAGCGAGACCCACAGAGTAGAAGAACTCACCCAAGGCCACTCAGTTGTGTCAGGGGTAGACCAGGACCCCAGGGTCTCTGGACATCTGGAGTTTGTTCCTCAGTGGCAGTATAAGCCACTTAGGTAGGCAGTTAGATCTAAGTGACATCTGCCCCAGGGCTTTAGTTGGAACTACCAAGAACAATGCACTTTCTTTCTCTGGGATTGCCCAGTTGGTTGGATGTAACCCTAGAGCTGCTGGAGCTCATCTTTGTCACCACTTGAAAGAGACTGCCTGAGGATTAAGCCAGAGGAACCATAGTTAAGGGATAAAGGGAGATAGACTTCGGATGATATCATTTGAACACCTGGAGCCAGCCACGCCTGAATGCAGTTCACATTGATGGTTTTAGTTACATGAGTCAAAACTTTTCAAGACCAAGACCATTTGAATTGGATTTCTGTTATTGGTAACTATAAGAGTCCTGACTGATACAGTATTCCTCCCCTGGGAGACAGAGTCCCAATGTCTTTGAATGGTCTGCAAAACTCTGCGGGTTTCAGGACAACTTCTTGGTACACCCCTTCTCCACCCCTGACAATTCACGCTTTGTGCTTCAGCCACACCAAACCTCTTGTGGGTCTACACTCATTCCACCTAGTTCTTGTGCCTCCATGAATACCTCTGGCTAGGATGCATTTTTCTCTTTGCCTGGAAAATTCCTCTTAGATTTTCCAAAATCCTTCCCAGAAATCACTTTTTTTCTCAGACTTCCCGAGACCAATCATTTCCTCCCCATACCATGTCAAACATGGGGTGTATTTCTACTGTGATTTTCTCCTGGTTTGGAATGGATCATTCATCTATCTCCCCTACGGGAAAGGGATAAGCTCTCAAATGCCCTTGGTGCCTAGGATGGGGCTGATCAAATGTAGAAATGAACAGAAAGGCATTAAGCAAATATAATTGAATGATATTTTTCAAAGCCAACCAGCTAGGGAGCCCTTGTCCCCAAATATCCCCTCAAGTCATCTGCCAAATCTGGCCAGAGAAGTCTTTCTGAAAGATGACCCTTCTGATATATTCTATACTGTTATCATCTGAGTTCAAAGCCTGGCTCTGTCACTTCCTACCTGTGTGACTATAGGAAGGACCCTTTACCTCTCTGGGCCCCAGTCTTCATTGTGTGGTTGGGCTGGGCTTAATGACATGATGTCTGTAAAGAGCTTGGAGCAGTGCCTGGCACATGGTGAGCACGCAATAAATGTTAGGTGTTATTAGTCACTGCAGAGAAAATGAGGCGAAAATTAACAAGAACTTTGATGAGGACCTTTTTGTACTCTGTTTCATATTAAACAGTATTTTATGTGAGTGCTTACTAACGTCGCCCTGTTCAATTGATTTAGAAGCACTTCTGAAAGCTTGCTGCTGCCCAAAGCACAGGTATGCCGTTTAAAGGTGATTAACAAAGATGTTTGTGGTCATTTTATAAAATGTTGAGCATCAGGTCTTTAGTGAGGAACATCATTACATCGTTTCCTTGGGAGAATTAGATTAGATTTAGATCATTTCGACTAATAAGTGCATTTTACAAGCCCAAGCTTTCCCAGGCTGGGTGAAAAAATAGTTAAGAAATGGAGGAGCTCATTGCAAAATCAAGCTTCCAAACCTTGCCCACTTCCTGGCCTCAGATCTCCAGAACAAGGTGTGGAAGCTTCATCTCACACTCTTGTATAGACACATAACAACCTCAGCTCCCAGAAGAGTAGCACGTTCCTGCAGGACTCCTTTTAATGATTTAAGGGCTCTGGGCTCCCCTTATCACAAAGGGTTCAAGGGCAGGGGAGGGAGGGCAGGGGAGGGACCAGTTACTGATGCCTCATGGGTGCCAGGCATGGTGCCTTAGTGCGTTATGTGACGAAAGCTCACAACATTCCTGAGAAAGGTACTGTGATTAGACCCATTTTACAGATGAGAGGTGGGTTGACTTGCCCAATGTCACACAGCATTGTCACATGAAGTAGAAGCCAGAGATGTCTCGCCCCAAGGCTTGTGTTCCTCCCATACCAGAGATACTGTGTTCTGAGATGTCTCATCCAGGAACTCTTCCCAGGCTGACTCTGAGCCTTTACTCTCTGCCCCACTGAGTCCCACTGCCAGCCCTGGTGGAAAATTCCAGCAAAGGTTCTCTCTTGAGTTATATACAAATGTCCATTTCTTGCTGCTTTTAAGCTACTGGAATCAACTTCCAACAGGGTCTTTTCCATTAATACACGTGTTTTGAAGTAGGAGAACAGCCCATCCTGGGGAAGAACAACTCATAATTCATATCCGACTGTGATTTGTCCCGAGGCTATGATGGATGACAAGTGATCTGCAAGACCAGTGAAGCGCTCCTCCAAGGGTATAATTAGATGAGCTTGGGATGTGGGGTTCAGACACTGGAGGAGCCCAGAGGGGCCTGGACACCCTGGGTTGAATGCATGTTTGGGATTTGAGACAGCTCATGTCAAAGCTTATGTGCTGGAGTCAAGATGTCTGAAGAGCTCCTGGGGACATAGAAGCACAAAGCTGTGAACTGGCTCAGGCCCCTTCTCCACCACCCAACAGCAAGAAAGGAAGTCAGCCTCCTCTTCCCTGACCCCTTAACACTCACATGTAGACCAAGGGTGTTCATAACAGAGGTGCTCCCTGGGTTGGCCTGCTGGAACATCAGTGTTCTCTCTTGCCCCACATTTTCTCTGGATGAAGCAGGCCTAAAGGGACCCAGAGGGGAGCAGAACCATGAGATGGAAGGAGCCTGGGTCCCCTGAGTGACTGCGTGGAGCAGCACTGCCCTCTCCCACTGACCTGCCTTGGACTTATGATATGAACAAGAAAGACTTTCCTTGTATTCAGTGCCTGAGGTTTGGGGGTTGTTTGTTACAGCACTTATCCTACCCTGAATGATACACTCACCATTCACAGATGCAGTCCTGAGCCTCTTTCCCAATCTGTTCTCACTGAGTCTTGGGTTTTACCATCTCTTTTCTGGTTTCCAAACTCACCTCATCTTGGGTTAATTCTCCGGTTACTCTGATGCCTACCTAGTGGTCGATGCTCTTTCCTGGTTCTTCTAGGCATCCTGGGAAGTGTCCACTCACCTCCAAACAACAAGGTAAGGAGGAAGAAACAGAATCATAGCTCTGGGCTGAAAATTGAGCCTTTGGTTTCAGTCTGGGCTCTACCACTAACATGCTTGTGGCTGTGGATAAGTCAATGAAAACCTCTCTGGGTTTTCATTGCTCACCTATAAAACATGGAAGATAGATGCTTAACTTTAATAGTAGTGGTTGAGATAGACTCAATCACTAAAGAAAATTCACTGGACCCAAAATGACAATGCTTACACATCTAGAGTTGATTACAGGAAAAGGATACAGGTAGCAGCAGTGTTGGGGTAAGGATACACCTTGCAGCCAGGAGGCTGGAGAAGACAGGTACAAGCTCCTGTCATCAAATGGAACACCTCGGAACTAGGGTAGACTCTCAGCTTCAGCATATTCATATTTTGCTGGTCACGTAGGAAGATACCTGCTACATAACCAGCTTAAACAATGCCTTTCAAGGGTCTCACCAAGACCAAGTGCAAACCATCAATCTCACTGTTATCCAAAAACAATGCTGACAAGCTGGTCCAAGCTGCCCCAAAACTTCTCCGACCCCTGATTACAGAGCAACACTATGATCCAGTATGTTTCTTGACCTGACCAGGGGTCAGTGCTGAGTAGGGAAATGCTTACGTGTCTGTGCCATGTTAGCAAGGCAGCTCAAGGCATCATCCACATCCCATGTCCCATGGGCAAGGCCTTTTTATAACAAAACCATCATGCTTACTTGAACAGTACAGATACTCCTCAACTGACGACAGAGCTGCATCCCGATAAACCCTCCCTAAGTTGAAAATGCATTTATGTTGAAAGCGCATTTAATACACCTAACCTCCCAAATGTCATAGCTTAGCCTAGCCTACGTTAAACATGCTCAGAACACTTGCAGTAGCCTATAGTTGAATAATGTCATCTTACACAAAACCTATTGCATAATAAAGTGTTGAATATCTCATGGAGTTTATTGAATACTGTAGTGAAAGTGAAAAACAGAAAGGCTCACCGCTGCTGCCCAGCATTGGCAGAGAGTATCATACTGCATATCTCCACCCTGGCAAAAGATCAAACTT
Organism: Homo sapiens; assembly: GCF_000001405.40. Classification (NCBI taxonomy): domain Eukaryota; kingdom Metazoa; phylum Chordata; class Mammalia; order Primates; family Hominidae; genus Homo; species Homo sapiens. The sequence goes on along the minus strand of NC_000011.10, from coordinate 45,476,350 downwards.
CAAAATTTGAAGTACAGTTTTCACTGCATGCATATTGCTTTCACACCATCACAGAGTCAAAAAATCATAAGTTGAACCATCCTTAGTCAGGGACCATCTGTAATTAAGATGCTCACACAGATTCCACGCATTTTATAATAGCTTGGTCCTGATTTAAACAGACAGCTGAACCATCCAATAATACCAGCACAAACTTTCTCATATTTTTGTACTAACTGCACAATTCTTTTGCTACCTTGATCTATAGCTCTCTGCACTTAATTGTATACATTTGTTGAGTGATAGAACCATAATCAATCTATTATGAATCAAATCTAAATCTTCTTCAGGCCAATTCTCCTTCACAGGTAGAACATTCAAAAGGGGTATTGATTTGCTCTCCCAATACATTTGATCGTAAGTATCAGCATCATAATAAATTCTATTAGCTTCCACAGTATTAAATTTGCCTCTGAATCCTGGAGTATACCACCAGCAGCATCATGTGCAACTCTAGATCTGTGGTTACAGCATAAATGAAACATAATTATAGTGCAATTATTTTGTCCCTCTCAACAAAATCTACCTTTTCCCATAAGCCATATATTCTCTCATACGAGTCTAAGTTAGAGACCATGACTCTATTATTTCAGGATTCCAAACCTCTTGAGGATACAGCCAAATTCCTTTCCAGTTTATGTAATTTGACAGGTACTGATTCCCAATGAGAGGGACCCCACAGGACGACTCATCTATCCCTTGGGATAGGGGTATGAAAAGTCCTTTGATTATGATCCTGGGTTCTATAGCTCTTAGATACTCTGACTTGAAGAGAGAAAAGATTTGAGGTTAGAAAGGTGCCCAGTGAGTTAAATCAGGCTGGGCCTGCTGCTATTCAGACCTGGGAAGGGCAATTCTTCCCTCCTCCTGTTGTGCAAGTGGTCTTGGATCATAAATGCATTGATTACCTATCAGGTAGACAAGCTGGGCTGTGGCAGGAACAAGCCTCTCAGCACGAAGTGGGGGCCGGCTAAGCCCCCTGGTTTTGCAAGATGCTGAATCATCTTGCAAAATGCTAATGCTGGCCCAGCAAAGGCCATATTGAGCAGGGAGGCTGGACCTCCCTGCCTCTCTGTTGTTGGCTGTGCCACAATCCCAGGACATCCTTGTTTGGGTAACATGACACACTGGTACTCTTACCTACCGCTGTTCTTTTGGCTTAAATCATGCCTCAAGCAAGCATTTTTTCAGACACCTACTGTGTGCCTGGTATTTTGACCTCAGTTTAAGCCTTACGTCTCCCTTCAGCTGAGACAGGATTATTTATCTTCCTATGAAAGACACTGAAGCCACCAGAGGGGAAGTGACTTACCCAAGGCTATTGACCTTGCAAGTGCCGGAGCTGAGACTCAAACTCAGATGTTTTTCAGGCCTTCCAGGATGGGAATATTCATGAGATTAAGGCCTGACCTGGCACCAGCAGAACCTGAGCCAGAGTGAAAGCCCATATAGGTCCTGGGAGACCTCGGAGGTGTCAGCATGAGTTATTCTAATGAGGTTTCTCCACACTTCTGATATTAGACCACCCCTTCTGATACCTGACTTCTGTTTACAAAGCCCTTTCCTGAACCAAAACGCCCTCAACACCACACCCTCCTATTTTACAGAGGAGCAAATGGAGGTTGTGACTTTATAATGACCTAAGGTCAGGTCAGGCTCCTTAGGGTGACTTCAGTGCCTGGCCTAGCGTCTTCCATGTTAGCAGTTCTTTAAGACCTTTTGTCAAGGGAATAAATGAACGAGGATAGATTTTTCCATTCCTCTATTTAGTTTGGGTCTTCTGAAATGGTCAAGTCAAAGACGGTTAGATGATCAGGGCCAGAAGGGCCTGTCAGAGAGAAACCCAGCCCCTCATTCTACACATGAAGGGGATGGAGGGCCAGTGACCTGCCCGTGATCACACAGCCTAGACTCCTCATTCAGTGCTCAGAGTGACCTAATGGATCTCAAATGTTTCCCATGTAGGGAACAGAAATGTTGGGTCAAGAGAAATGCACTTTGCAAACAACCCCTCTGGGTAGGCAGGAGGCTGGTGGAAAGAGATGATGCCTTCTCAGAGCTGCCTGTATTGAAAGAAGGTAGGGGGTGGCAGGGGAGGCAGGCCTAGGATCCAACAAGCTTTTTCGTGGCTTAGAGGGAGGGGAAAGAGAAGGCCTCCCAGGGGCTTCACTAGGTACCTTGTAGAATCTCAGAGCTAAAAGGAGCCCAGGGCCAGAAATCAGCCTGCCCCGTTGATTGCTGCAGACACAAAAGGGGAAAAACCTAGAGACCTTGCACTCATGGAGCTTGTGGTCTGGCAGATGTGCTGCACAATCCCCACTAAAGATGTCAACTTGCAGGAGTACAGCCCCTCCGAGGAGAGGGGCGAGTTTCTCCTTACCCCAGTGTGTGCACTTGGCTTGTTGGCTCTCTGCTGCCTCTCTTGCCCCATCTTCCCAGGCTCTTCTGCTTGCCATTTCTCTGTTCTCTCTCTTCCACTCCCTGCCCCTTTCCTCCACTCCATCTCTGCATCTCTCTGGTTTCTATCCCTGTTGGCTGCACCTCCTGCCATCTGTGTGTCTCTCTGCCTTGGTCTCTGTCCCCAGCCCTCCTTCTGTCTCTCTCTCCTCCCCCGAACAGCAGGCTGTGCTCTCTCTGTTTCCCTTGGTTACTGTTTACACTGTCTCCGCTTGTTGCTGTTTCTCCCTGACCTCAGGCCTGACTGTCTCTGTCTCTTGTAGTCTCTCCCCATCTCCTCTCCCTTCTCTCTCAAGAGACTGGAGCCAGAACCCTCCATTCCCAGCGCCCATCATCTCTCCTCTGCAGGGCCCTCCCCATGGCCCACCAGCAGGCTATGAAAACACCTGGGCCTCATAACCTGAAGGGCAGAATTGATGAGAAAATAAATTCCTGATTAGTGTTTTAATTTTAAGGATCTTTAGAGGGGACTAAACAGTAAGTGAGGCTGGTGGAGAAAGACAGCATTATTAAAACCATAAATCCTCCAAGGGAGAGGGGAGAAAGGGGCCAAAAGGAACACAGACGGGGCAGACAGAGCTTCCTTTGAAGGGATGGGCTGGGGGGTGAGGCACAAAAGTGGGTGGAGAGGCCAAGGACATGGATCGTCCTCTCCCTCCCCTGCGCAGAGGCTTGCTTCCCTGGGGGCAACAGACCCCACTGGCCATGCCTTCCTGTTCCCAGAGTGTTAGGCTGGGCCACAGAGGGAGACCGTTGGTGGCCGGCACGGGTTGGGTGGAGGGGTGGAAGCCGCGTTAGTTCAACTGTCTCTCTCCACATTGGCCAGCGTAGTGCCTGGGAAGAGTGAGAGCCCATCAGCCTTGATCAGTGAGAGGCAAGAGTCAGAGGTATGTGTGGAGTGGAGAAAATTATTCCCCCACTACAGGTGTGTGTGACAATGAAATGAGAAATGAGATCATGCACATGCGGCGCTTACAAGGGGTGGCGCTAAGAAGGTGCCCGTTAAATGCAGCTTTTGTTCCTCCTGCCAGCACCGAACTCTTTCCTCTCAGCAATTTTTAGCCAGTCCCAACTTCCCCACCTCTTTTTGTTTTTTACAGCTTTATTGAGGGATAATTGATATACCACTAAACAGCACAGTTAATGTACACAATTTGATGAGTTTAGACATAGGCAGACATGCCAGAAATCACCACGATCAAGGTAACACACGTATCCATCATGTCTAGAAGTTTCCTTGTGCCCCCTGCTTTTGATTTGTTTTTGTGGTGAGAATACTTAACATGAGGTCTACCCTCTGAACAGGTTTTTAAGTACACACTATGGCACTGTTAACTCCAGGCACTAGAGCACAGATCTTTAGGAATGGTTCATCTTGCATCACTGACACTCAAGTTATACATTGAGTAACCCTCCATTTTCCCCTCTCCCAGCTTCTGGCAGCCATCATTCTACACCTCCTCTATGCGTCTGACTTCTGTATCCTTCACACAAATGGAACTGCTGTAGTTGTCCTTCTGGGACTGGCTGATTTCACTGAACATAATGTTCCTCGGGCTCATCCATGCTGTTGCATATGGCAGGATTCCCTTCTTTTTTAAGGCTGAATAATATTCTGTTGTGTATACATGTCACGTTATCTTTTTTTTTTTTTTTTTTTTTTTTTTTTGAGACAGAGTGTCACCCTGTTGACCAGGCTGGAGTGCAGTGGCGTGATATCAGCTCACTGCAACCTCCACCTCCTGGGTTCAAGCAATTCTCCTGCCTCAGCCTCCTGAGTAGCTGGGATTACAGGTGCCTGCCACCATGTCTGGCTAATTTTTGTATTTTTAGTAGAGACAGGGTTTCACCATGTTGGCCAGGCTTGTCTTGAACTCCTGACCTCAAGTGATCCACCCGTCTCAGCCTCCAAAAGTGCTAGGATTACAGGCATAAGCCACCGCGCCCGGCCCCAGCACATTATCTTTATCCATTCATCTGTCATAAGGCATTGAGGCTGTTTCAGTCTTGTCTACTGTGAATAGTGCTGCTGTGAACATGGGGTACAGGTATCTCTTAGAGATCCTGGTTTCAATTCTTCTGGATATATACCCAGACATGGGATTGCGGGATCATATGGTAGTTCTATTTTTAACATTTTGAAGAACCTCCATACTGTTTTCCATAGCAGCTGTGACCCCCATTTACAGATAGACAAACTGGAGCCAGAGGTCCAATCACCTTGCCTTAGGCCACAAGGCCTGTAAGGGCTGAAGTCGAGATGGGGCCCAGCTCTGAAGCAAAGTCCTCCCCAGGCATCCCTGGGGCTGCCTCTGAGGGATTCATGCTTGCCACCTGAGGGGCTCGATCCAGCCAAGCAGCCATGCCAGCAGACGGGGAAAGGGTTACCAGGAAGCAGGGCTGCTTGGTTCCCTTGGCAAAGCCTAGAACCCATGGACGCCAATGCCTGGTGGAGGGAAGAGGGGAAGGTGGTCACCCCCTGCCCTGCTCCAGCCCAAGAGAATGAAAGGCCTTCATCCAAGGGCTGCCTAAGTGTGTCTGGTGGCACCTGGAGCCATCCTTCCTGCCCCTGTTGACCTTTCCATTCTTCCCATGCTCTTTTGGACAATTCAGGCCTCTAGCTCTCAGGAGGCAGGACCACTGCCTTGCACAACTGCAGGGGACATCATTCCTATCCTGCAGAATGTGAATCAGACAATGTGTGCAGGGCTGGAGAGGGGGTAAGCGGCCTGCGTGATGCCACATGGTAGTGAGGAAGCCACCCCCATGAGATTGTCTCACCATGGGTCCTCAGGCTCACTTTGGAGGCAGCAGGGTTGTTCCTCTTGAGAAGGGAGCCTGGAGCTGGGGGCTTAATGAGTAATTCAAAGAGGAAGAGGCTTAGAAGCTACCCTAGGAGGAGGCATGGGAAGCCTCAAGGTCTCTTGTGAGGATGGCAGAGTGAGCAGAATTACCAAGACCAGCAGGGGGTGAGAGGAAGGCTGTGGTCTGTTGTGCAAAGAGTGGGAGGAGAAGGCATCCGGCCAGCCCCCAAGAAGTCTCTGGGGTCTGAGAGGCCTTTTGGTTCCTGTGCCCCCTCCTTTTCCCTTCTATGGCAGGGCTGCTCCCACCAGCCAGTGAAGGTCACTGTGTCCAGAGTCACTGTCCTGGGCAGGGCTCTGGGACCTCCTGCCGCATATTCTTGGCTGATGGTGCTGATTTGGCCCCAAATCTCTTTAGAGACCACCCAAGGCCCGCCACAGCACAGTCTATTTTTTCATAAGGGAGCTTGAGCACGGGGGCAGTTGGGGCCAGCAGCCAGCCCCACCTCCGCAAGTTCAAGGGAACACGGCCTCCTCCAGCTCTCATTAAATGGTTTCCTCTCATTTAATTTTTAACTGTTAAAAATTGTCTTTGGGGCCCAGACTTTTTTTCTGGTAGCGTTGGGTCAGGGGAAGAGGGAGGAAGAATTCGTCTGCCTGGGATGAAGCAAGCCTGGCTTGGCACTTGGCCTAGCTTTCCTGCCTCCCTTGGGAATCTGTCCACATTCTGGCTCTGCTGGGGTCCAAGGCAGGGCAAATGATGATGTGGCAGCATTTCAGTTCAAACCCATGGTGAGCTGGCATAGAGAATATTTGGTTAACAGGTCAGAATTTGGAGCCAGGCTGCATAGGTTCTAATCCTGGCTTGGTTACCGACTCTCTGGGTGATCTTGGGAAAGTTACTTACCCTGTCTGTGCCTTGCTTTCTTCATCTGTAAAGTAAGGATACAGATATGCTCCTCAGAGGGCTGTTCTGAGTCTTTTCCTCGAACTTCAGCTTGATGGCCAGGCCCGGCATGGTGCCCACTGCCTACCTGCCATGGGCCCCATACACCCGGAGCGGCACCTGGCCACTTCCTCTGGGACTCCTACTGCTGGCTGGAATGTCCTGCTGTTTGGTATCACTTAGACGTGGTCCTGGTCACCACAGGAGCCTCTCCCTAGCATTTAAGTCACAGCTTCCTGATTCTGCACTGCTCTGGCCCCATGCTCCCCTCTGTCTTATTAGCAATCAACCCCTGTTCCACCCATGCCACCCAAATCACCATCACACCGCAGTTTCCATCCCTGGGGCCTACTGCAGTGCAGGCACTAGACTGTTTGACCTACAAGAGCTCATCCAATCCTCCAAATAGCCCTCCAAAGCTGGTATTATCACTCCATTTGCAAAGGAGTAAGCATGGGTAACTTGCTCAAGGTCACACAGCCAATAGAGAATGTGGAAGAATTTGAACCTGTATCTACCTGCAAATAGGCAGGGTTCTGACACGTGGGAACAGGTGCAGCATCTGGCTCAGAGACACAGCAAGGGGATAGAGGGACCAGTGTGGCACCCATTAGAAACAGCAAGTGGGGAGAGGGAGAAAATGAGGAAGGGGTCTGGGCTTAATGGAGGGTGCCTTTCTCTCAGCATCACTGCCAGCTTGAAATGGTCGCAGACTCTTCTGGAAAAAGACAAGGTGAGGGGTGGAGGCTGGGAGAGAAAACCCAGATTGACAGGTTAAAAAGAAAATCCTGGCTGGGCACAAGGCTCACTCCTGTAATCCCAGCACTTTGGGAGGCCTAGGCGGGTGGATCACCTGAGGTCAGGAGTTCAAGACCAGCCTTGCCAACATGGTGAAACCTTGTCTTTACTAAAAACAAAAAAATTAGCTGGGTGTGGTGGCATGCACCTGTAATCTCAACTACTTGGGAGGCTGAGGCAGAAGAATCACTTGAACCCTGGAGTTGGAGGTTGCAGTGAGCCAAGATCACGCTACTGCACTCCAGCCTGGGCGACAGAATGAGACTCTGTCTGAAAAAAAAAAAAAAAAAAAGAAAAAAAGAAAATCCTGGCTCCTACCTGCCAGCTTTTCTGGGTGATGGCAGTGGTGAGAGGAATCCAGCCATTTTGGTGGGTAGGCCCTGCCTGGGCCCCCAACCTCAATATATAGTTACTAATGGTGTGAGAGTAAGAAAATAACATTGACTTAGTAGTCAAGACAGACCTTAGCTTAAAGCCCCTGACCATAGTTTTCTATGTGACCTTAAGTTAGCAACTTAACCTCTCTGTGGCTGTTTCCTCATCTATAAAATGGAACCATAACACCTACCTTGTGGGACTGGACTGAGTATTGGATGGAAGCCAAACTCTTTGCATGTCATAAGGCTCTTCCATGGTAGCTGTCCTGCCCCTCCTTTGAGCTCCTGTGTATTTGAGCAGAGCCCTGTCCCTGTCTGCACCTCCATTTCTGGGTCTGTGAAAAGGAGAAGGTGGGACAAGCTGATTCCAACAGCCCCTCCAGCCTGACCAGCCATGATAGATGACTTCAGGCCAGGCCAGTCCTCCTCTGGAGCCACAGGAATGTGAACAAGGGGCCACTTGGGGGCAAAAGAGTTTCCTGCAGCAGCGTGTTTCCGCTTCCGCCTGCAAGCAGAGCCGAGACAGCGATTTGTTCTTAGCTCGAGGAGAGACACAAAACTGGAACAACAGAAAGAAGGCGCTCTGGGGAAAAGGACTTGGCCATGGGGAAATCATGTTCACCTCCATGCTGGGAAGAAAGCTGAGGCAGGAGGCAGGAAGGCCTGGCTGCTCCTCCCTACGTGTTGCCAGCAGCCTGGGATGACCGCAATGTAAGAAGAGGCAGGGAATGCCATCGGCCACTCTGGAGTGCTCTGGAGCCCCACACTTAGTTAGGGACCCATTACAAATTGCCAGGGACATCTCAGCTTGGAGCATGAATCAGGACACAGCCCATGTTTTCCTGCTTTCAAATCCAGGGAGCTGGGGAGGGACCTCTAGGAGCAATTGACTCTGGTCATGCATGGGCCATGGGTTCTGTGGCCCTACCTGGGCTGATGGTGCTTATTTACCCCTACGTGACCTCACCCCGCTCCCTTGACCTCAGTGAGCCTTAGTTTCTCCTTCTGTAAAAGGGGACAATGACAGTACCTATTCCGCAGGGATGTTAGGAAGATTAGATGCGTGTGACATTTAGAGAAGAGTGGCTGACACTTGGCAAGGGCTTTATAAATGTGAGCTAAATGGTCTCATCTGCTCCTCACCACACCTGTGAAGTGGTGGTTGCTGCCCCCTTGCACAGATGGGAAAAGTGAGGCTACGGATGGGAGTGATTGCCCAAGGACCTGTAGCTTGTTAAGTAGAGGAGCCGAAGTGGAAGCCAGGGTGGGCGGATTCCCAGGTCTGCATCCTCCATCCTTACTCCTAGGACCATTCTGTGGGGCTCTGAGTGGGGGTGGGAAGAGAGAGGGCCCCCACTCCAATTACCTTCAGTGCAGTTGAAAGACGGTCCCAGGTCCCGGCTTCTGTGGGGCTGTCCTGGGGTTAGGACATCTGCTCAGTCCCCCTTTTTCCTTTTTATAACTTTTCCCATTTCCTGAGCCCCATCATATGCCAGAAACCATGCTGGGCATGCCACCCACATTATCTCAGGCCTTGTGGGCTAGGTGCTGTTTTCCCCATTTCAAAATTAATGAGAAACAGAGAGGTTAATGCCTAATCCTACATCACACAGCTGCTCAGAGCTAACAGAGCTGGGATTCGAGACCCCTGCAGCTCTGCTTTCTGCCCAGCTGTAGCACTAAAATCTGATGCCCACAACCAGCTATGCAACCTCTCCATGTTTCAGTTTTTCCTTCTATAAAATGGGAGTGGTAAAGTAGTGCTTACATATCTTCTAGGATTATTGTGAGGATTAACTTGGTAAATGTACACATATACCCACAAAACATTTGGAAGAGTGTCTGACATAGAGTGAGTTCTCTACGAATTAAAATTAGCTGTTTTCAGGTCACTGGATTAGCATGGGCCACAAGATCAATGGCATTGGGTTTCCTGAGTCTGATTCCTGAGCCTTGCCTTGGAGGCGTGCAGTGGGTGGGCCTACTTAGTGTTTATTCAGCAAACACTACTGGGGCATTGGTTGGACCCAGACACTCAACAATAGCTCATTTAATCCTCACAATCACCCTCTGAGATATGTAGGGACTATTCTAATCATTCCCAATTTACAGATGAGCAAACTGAGGCATAGAGAGGTGCAGAAACTTGCCCAAGCTCAAACAGACTTGGAACAGGGGCAGCTTGGCTTCAAAGTCTGTGGTCTTAGCCACCTCGCTTCATCAGCTGCCTCTCCTTTCCAGAATGTGAGAACCTGAGTGGAAGAGGTACGGCTTTTCTGTATGGGCTTGAAGCCAACAATCACCCCCAACTATTCACCATATAATTAATGATGATTATCTTATCTCTTGGGAGTGAAATAGACACACAGTGACTATGAAGCCTGTTATGCTAAGATCTGTGTGCTCTTTTCCCAGGAGATAAGGGCTAAATAGGCAGAAACCAAGGTGGTGATCTCTCAATATTGTTCAGGAAGGAGAATTATGGAGCAGGCGAAAAATTGTTTGGCCTAAGTTTGCTGGTATCCCAAATGATTTTTCTCATTGTTTGTTTTTAAAAAAACCTAAATTGGGGTCTCCTTGGAGAAAGGAAGGCCAGGCCTGGTCATGGTGGCTCCCTGCCATGCTTCATGGCCAGAGTGACCTCTGCAAGGATCTGCTGCATGAATAATCACATCCTGGGAGTGAACCCATGTGTGAGAGTCAATTCCTGGACCCACCAAAAGAAGAGGGGCCTGAGGGGTCATCTGGTCCAGTATCCCTCCCTTCAAATAGGAAGAAATCCAGGCCCAGAACAGGGGAGCGACTTATGCAAGGTTGCACAGCAGACTGATGGCTGTCATGGGTAGCAACTATATGGGGGTGGTGGCATGGGTGGTAAAGGAATTTATCAAGACAGTCATAGGTATAGAAAGGCAGATTTATTACAGAAGATATGAAAAGATGTAAGAAAGCAACGGGTAGATTAGCAGGAGAGGAGCTGACTGCAAGGAGACAAAAGCTTTCTGGGGAGTTCATAGGATGGTGCTTGTGCTGGAGAGGGCTATGTGTAGTATTGATAATGCCAAGGTTGCAGTGAGCTAACTTGCATTTTTTAATCAGCTGAGAGTCTGGTGGTAAGTTGGGTACAGGAAGACTGTGAGTTATTTGCACAGGAGGGCTATGTGTCCTGGATTGTGAAGAAAGGCAGGTGTGTAGCTTATTTTCTTTTTCTTTTTTCTTTTCCCTTGTTTTGCCAGCCTAACTCTGTTTCCTTAACATTGTGACCCCACAATGGTGACCAGAGCTTCAGGACCCCTGGTCACTCCTTATGACCTTAACATTGACAAGACGCCTCAGCTTTGCCTGGTCTGGACTACAGAGTAACAAGGAGAGAGTGCAGGTGATGGCTCAAGCAAACCTGCCTGTTCCTAGGATGGTAAACTCCATAATGGCAGGCGACCATGGTGTCTTCTTTGCTGCATCCCTAGGGCCCAGCACAGAACGTGGCATACAGTAGAGACTCAATAGATATCTTCAAAATGACTTACTGAATGAGAAGGCCAGTGTGCAGTGAAACTGGAAGGGCAGAGTAAGCAGTGGGACCCCTAAGGGAGTCTCAGAGGGAGGGAGGTAAGGAAGATTCGGAAGACGAGGCATCTTCTTAGGAGGCTTCCATCCTCTCCAAAGATCTGTTCCCAAGGGAGGTTCTCTTGGAGAATCATCCTCAAGAAGAAAGTGTATGTGCCTTGCAGGGAGGTGGGAGTAGAGCTGGGAAACTTCTCCAGGTCCCAGCAGGGCACTCCATTCCCAGCCACTCAACCTGCACTTCTCCAGGCTATATCTGGCCTCACTGAGGCCTGATCTTACTCAGACCATGAAGCCTGGCTGTGAACCACCAAGTGACAGCTCAAAGCCCTATCTTTAAACCGCTCACCATGGTGTTTTAGTAGAAGCCATCTGGGCCTTGTTTTCCTGGGACCCTCAAAGCTCTCATCTGGGGGCACAAAGTGAAGGGCAGCTCTCTATTGTGATAGGAAAACTCTTCTGACCTACTTCCTTTCCAAGCATGGATACTGGAAGAGCCAGATGTCTCCCAGTGGAGACCCTGGCTGCTGCAAACTGAAACCTGCGTTTGAAGCCATTCTGAGTCACCTCATCATAGTAAAACAGCAGCTGCTGCCAGGTATCGGGAGCCTGTTTTGTGCCAGGGTCTTCGTTCTGTGTTCCATGTATCTCACATTGTCCCCCACAGTGAACTGGGGCAGTGAGCCCCCTTGTGCCGATGATGGAATTAGGGCCCAAAGGCATACAGCACCCTGACCAAGGTCACACAGCCAGAAAGGTGCAGAGTGGGTTGCTGAATGCTGTTCTGTCAGACTCCAGAGCCCATGCCTGGAACACTGCCTGACATTGACTGCCAGGGAGAGGGGCTGTCGCATACCTGGCCCCATGACCCAAGATGATCCAGCCAGCCCAGCCAGACCTTTTGTCCTGAGTGGGGATGAGTGAAAGCTTTATTCCAGGTTGGCACAGGGGGCATCGCCTGGGATCCTGCAGATTCCCAGTGTGAACCTCATCTTCTTAGCTGGGCGGAAGCTCCTTGGGAGCAGAGACAGCTCTGACGCTTCCACAGCACTGTGCCTTGTCCTCTCTCTGGCTCCTGTGGCTGGGCCAGGCCATGGTTCCAATCCTCATTGGTCTCACTGTTCAACTGGCTCAGGGTTGGGCTACCTGGCGGATTGGAAACTGGAGCCAAGAGACCAAGTTCTAGTCTCAGCTTTGCCATCTTCTACCTCAGCAACCTTAGAGAGTTCTTGGAGAGCCTCAGTTCTTGGAGTTCCTCAGATGGAGATGATGATAACTCCCTTACAGACATGCAGTGAGGCACTGGGCCCTCCCCACACTTGTGTGGCCTCTTAGAGCTAACTGAGAACACCCACAGCATCTTCTCCATCTATCCTTCCCTTGCAGGGCTGTGGCAGTGGGAGGGATATGGAGAGCCTACTTCTTTCCAACACCAGCTCTTGGCCCCTTCCTCTGCTTCAGCTTTAGATCTGTGTATCAGTCAGCTATTGCCACAAAAATGAGAAACAAACCATCCAAAATCTCAGTGGCTTATATCAACAAGCACCTGTTTTCCCATCTGTGGGCCTGAAGATCGATCCAGATTCTCTTAGTCTCCGCTGGGCTCAGCTGGGCGGCTCTGCTGCAGGCTGCAGGTTGGGCTCACACTGTATAAGTTCATTGTACCACCCAGCTGAAGGGCAACAGCCATGCAGGGGAACCTCTTAGTGTTATCACCGGAGCACAAGGGATCAGTGGGTCCATCCACACAAACACAGCTCAATCCTCTGCCCTGTCTTGTCAGCTAATATTTCTTGCTCAAAGCAATGCACATGGTCAAGCCCATCTTCAACAGTGCAGGGAATGTACCCCGACCAGAGTGGGAAGAGGTGGGGAGTAAATGTTTGCTAAACCGTAATCCAATCTAGCATGGCTGGAAAACCCCAGATTGAATTTACAAATAAAGACAGGCTCATCTTGGCCACTGCTGGCTCAGTCCCCCTTTGCCCCATGAGGTTCAAATGCTGAGTGAAGGAGCAGTCTGCTCTGGGAAAAGGGGCCACTAAGAGGTCAAAGGATGGGGTGTCGTTTTACTGTGTGGCCCTGGGCAAGCCCCTTCCTCTTGGCACCTCCATTTACCCCCCTGAACATTCTCCAAGGCCCCTTCTGAAGGCCCTGAAAGCCCTGAGCCCCTTCCTCCTCCCTTTCTTCTACATGACTGGAGTTTGGGGAGCACACAGAGCCCCGTGCCACACCCAACTGGCTGGCATTTCGGCTCACAAAAACACCTTTCTTGGAGAAGCAGATCTAATTTCCTCCCTGTGAAAAAAACAGTTGTCTAGCACTCGGGCAGCCTCTGTCGTGGGGCAGTCAGCTGCTTCCACGGTGAGCACGAGGGTGGGTAAAATCTGGATCAGGACAAGCTGTGGGCACATGGACAGTGACTGGCATGAAATAATCATTCTTTTCCCAGGTGAGGGCTGTGGTAAGGGCAAGTGGCGGTGCTGTGTGATGCTCCAGGATGGTTTGTAAGGCTGAGAGTAACTCCCCCTCCCTAGGCCTCAGTTTCCCCATCTGTGAAATGAGGGGTGGGTTTCTGCAAGGTTTTTTCTAGCTCTCGAGTTCATGGCTCTCAATGGATCTACCTTTGTTCAAGTTTGCAGTATCAAGGTACAAATCAAATTCCTAGCCCCTTCCTTTCCTCCCCTTCTTTAATTTTTTTTTTCTTTCTGAGATGGAGTCTTGCTCTGTCACCCAGGCTGGAGCGAAGTGGCATGATCTCGGCTCACTGCAACTTCCACCTCCCAGGTTCAAGCAACTCTCCTGCCTCAGCCTTCCTAGTAGCTGGGATTACAGGTGCCCGCCACCGTGCCCGGCTAATTTTTGTATTTTTAGTAGAGATGAGGTTTCACCATGTTGGCCAGGCTGGTCTCGAACCCCTGACCTCGTGATCCGCTTGCCTCGACCTCCCAAAGTGCTGGGATTACAGATGTGAGCCACCGCACCTGGCCATCCCCTTCTTTAATTCTAAACATACGCAATTAGAACCATCACCCCTCTCTCCCCTGCTGCTGAGGTGTGTCCTCTCTGCAGCTAGGTGGCCGCTGGGGCTAGACAAGACAAGCCACAGGCGGGGGCAGTTGAGGATCCCTGAGAGGTGCTGTTCATAAACCAGCATCCATCCTAGGGGCTGGCTCCTGAGTTCTCAGCCAACCAGGGCTCTGGGGATGGAAGAGGCTTTTCAAAAAGAAAGTCACTCAGTTTCCAGATGAGGCTCTCCTGATAACCCTTGAGAGAGTTCCACGTGCCTTCCTATGTCCCTGAGAGCACAAAGCCAGGGCTGCTGCATTCACAGCAGTAGAACCCCCAGGAGGCAGGAGGGATAACACAGAACTGCTGGTGAGTTCACCTCCCGAGAGAGCTGAGCGCTGTCTTTGGAGACCGGCAAACCTCCTCTTACTGTTCTCCACTCACCTTTTGACAAAGACAGAGAAGTCAGTGGGTAACAATTTCCAGGTGGGGATATGAGAAATGGAGGCTTCAGTCCCATCCAGCCTCAGCCCCTCGTTGCCTCCCCACCTGCTGGTGGTTCCTATATGTCAGACATTCCCCAAGCCCAGCCCCTGTGTACCATCCTCACCATGTTCCCTGGGCAAGCTCATCCACCCTCGTGACTGTAGATAGCTGTGGCATAAGCTGGCACCTGCTGCCAAATTGCCCTCTTTCAGCTCCAGACCCAGAGACAGTCCCATAGAAAAAAATAGGGTGCTATCACCATCACAGGCTTGAAAGGGCAAGAGAAGGGAGCCATTGCCAGCACCTGCCAGAGCTTACAGAGCTAGATAGAGAGAGCTGCCATGGAGGGGGCAAATGGAAGATGCTCAGCTCAGGAGCGCTGAGGAAGGAAGATGCCATCCAGATCTCTTAATCTTGCTGATCCTTCTCTTGTTCCCAGCACCCCTTCTGGGGCTTCTCTGCCTGTATACATCAGGGGCTGGGAAATTTCAGGGTTTTGAATTCAGATAGTCCAGGATCTGAATCCTAATTGGATTCACTGGCTATGTGACCTTGAGCAAGTTATTTAACCCCTTTGCACCTTGGTTTCCTCATCTGCAAAATGGGAACAAGGGCACCTAACACTGAGATGGAAAGTGTTGACACATAGTAAGTCCTCAATAAGTTTATCTAATTTTTATCTAGATTTATCTACCCTTTATCTCTCCGCTGGTCTGCAGAACCTCTGAGCTGGTCTCTGCCCCATTCTCAGCCCCTCGAATTCATCCTCCACACTGCCCCTGGAATGCTCTTCCTGAAACCCCAGGTAGATTATGCCACAGCCTTCCTCAAGAACTATGAATGGCTCCCCTATGCCTAGACAACGTAGCTAAATTCTTTAGTGTAACAACCAAAGCCAATCAGGGTCTGGTCTTAACCCCACCTTACCAGACCCTGCCAATCCTTCCTTTGGTCCTTTTGACCAAGTGACATTGATTTACTCACTATCCCCAAAGTGCCATTATGTCTCTGTATTATTCTTCCACTGCTGTAGAAAAAATACCCAAGACTGGGTAATTTATAAAGAAAAAAGGTTTAATTGGCTCATGGCTCTGCAGGCTGTACAGGAAGCATAGCGGTTTTTGCTTCTGGGGAGGCCTCAGGAAGCTTCCAATCATAGTGGAAGATGAAGGGGGAGCAGTACTTCACATGGCCAGAGGAGCAAGAGATAGAGTGGGGAGGTGCTACACACTTTTAAACAACCAGATCTTGAGAGAACTCACTCACTATCACGAGAACAGCACCAAAGGAATGGTGCTAAACCATTCATAAGAAACTGCCCCCATGATCCAATCACCTCTTACCAGGCCCCACTGCCAACACTGGGGATTACAATTCGACCTGAGATCTGTGTGGGGACACAGATCCAAACCATATCAGTCTCCAAGCCTTTGCTATTGTTGTCCTCTCCGTTTGATGTGCTTTCTTATATCCCACCAGTGGGGCTCAAAGACCCCATCTTCCAATAAAACTCCTCCTTCACCCCACCAGTATAATTGGCCACAGCTGTTATTATGCTTCTGCGTAGCACCTACTCCATTTTGCCTTGGAGGAGAAGCAGGCTGGTATAGCATGTCTTCCCCCATCAGTCTTTGAATGTACAAAAGGGAAGTCTTTGTGGCATCCATGTCTGGCACTCTGCAATCCCTAGGCTAGTGCTGGACGGAGGGGAGGGCTTGTTGTGTACAAGGTGTTCCATATGTATTTATGCCAATCCTAAGAGAAGACTTGGAAGGGATAGGTGTAATCCTTTGTTACTATAAGGGAACTAAGGCACAGGAATTTGCTCTGGTACACTTAGCTAGGAAGCAGGGGAGCTGACTTGGAACCAGGCTGTGTGGGCTCTAAAATCTGTGCTATTCCCACTCCCTGTGGGGCTCAAGAAGTACCTTAAAAATGAATCAATAAATAAATGAATGTAAAGAAAGTGGCAATAGCAACATACCATGGTGGTTAAAAGCAAGAAACACTTGGGTTCAAGTCCACTCCTTACAAACTTGGGGAAGTTGCCTTCTTCTCTGCCCTTCCCACCCTCCCCTAATGCTCTGTGACCCTGGCAGTTCTAGGTTCCCCTCCAGAACCCAGATAGGCAGTCAGGGCCTCCCAGGAGGGAGGAAATAACCACGTGGCTGAGATTGATGCAGTGTGGGGAGGCCCACCGCCTGCAGGAAGCCCAGGCAGCTGCTGAAACAACCCTTCAAGCCAGCATGATGAACATCTCAAGATGTCATCTCCCGCACCCAGCGCTGGAGAGGGGGCCTGTTAAAACTATTTATATTTTGCCTGCCAACTAACAGCTTAATCACACTGCTCCTTTTCTTTGACTTTCATTCGACAACCACATTTGCACACCCCAAAGAGCCTCAAAAAGTGGGTCCTGGTGGCTCGGCTAGGCAACCCGGCTCTTGCAGGAGACCCTGGGGATTCACAAAGAGCCCCAAAGGGACTGGCTGCTGCTGCTTCCTTACAACTCAGCTCCCAGCCCTAGTGGTCAAAGGAGCCTCAGGGAGGGGCTGGGCAGCCCAGTGGGGTCTGCAACTGGGGCTCTACCTGCAGCATCTGAGGCCTGGGCTTTGCCTGAGTGGCTAACGTCTGGGCAGCACCTCATGTATTGAGCAAGAATTCCCTTCACCCTCCCGTGCAAGAGGCACTATTGTTGGGGCCATAAATTAACTCCTTTGATTCTCATAAGGGACAAGTTTGGCAAGAAAATTGCTGGCTCTGGTGTGAGTGGGAAGAGCAGTCACTGAACAAAGATGATTAGAATGGCGTCTTTCCCTGAGGCCCACACGTGCCTGCTTGCAGGGCCCGGGTCAACGTGCAGAATGTTCCCGTAAATGAGAAGACATCATGATGGAAATGATTCTAATACATGGAACTCTTGCACTGATATCATTCAAGCCTCAAAATGCACTATGGCCAGCAGCAAAGAAGTGGGAAATCCAGACTGAAGGATGAATTTGTTCACTCATTCATTCGTTCATTCGATACATTAATCTGCTAGAATACTCTGCCCTGGAATTTTTGCATGGCTGAAATGTCTCCATATTTGGGTCTTGGTCTGTTTGTCACATCCTCAGAGAGGCTGCCCTGACCACCCTTTCTAGCAGCGTCCCATCCCCTCCATCCTACCCTGGTCCTATGATGTCTTTGTTATATGTTTGGTTTGTTGCTTTCACAGTATTTCCTGGTAATGAAGTTCTCTTGTGTATTTATTTGTCTGCTGGTTTGCTGTCTGATGTGCCCACTGGAAGTAAACTCCACAGGAATAGGGATCTTGTTCTGCCTGTCCACTGCTGTGTCCCCAAGTATTTGGCATCATGCCTGGTCTGCAGTGGACTCTCATCTACCCAACATTTACCAAGAACCTCCCCGTTGTCAGGCCAGTGCTAGGGCTCAGCTGTGGCCTGGTTGCTGCACTCAGCTCACCATCTGGCTGGAGAGTTTTGCAAATGGGGTAAGGGCCGCGTATGAACCACGTGTTTCTGATGCTTTGACATAGGCTTTGTTGACCCTGTAGAGAGTGCCCATCCCAGGGCTGGCCAATTCCCAGAGATACTAAACAATTTGCCTGTGCCTATGCAAAGCAACAAACCCAGGGCTCATACCCCAACCATCTCCCTTATCAGACTGTCAATGGGCTCTCACACTCTAGGCCACTATCCACCCACCTTTGTTACCCCAGGGCCAGGTACTAGACAACCAGGGACAGCCCCCATGCATCAGATTAAGCAGAAATTATTCAAACACAACCAATCCTAAGCCTGCCTGTGTCGCCCTGCCCTTCCTTCTCCCAGGAACCACAGTAAAGACTCTTGCCCACATTCATCCACTCCCTCTGCTTCCCAACCAACCCTGGTGTTTCCCCATGTGGCCCTGCGTGGTGTGGCATGCCCCACTCATGTTGGGAAGTGTGAGTAGCCAACCATCTTTTTCATCAGCGGCAGTCATCTCCTGATCTGTTGGCCTCACCATTCCTGACTGATAATAAAGCCAGCATTTAAAAACAGGCCATGAGTGTGAAGCAGGCCCGAGGCTGCAATGACTTAGGGGAGAGGCATGTAACTCACACCGGGGTATTGCAACAACAGCTTGGTGGTTGCTGGGGCTGCTGTTGGAGTTGCGTCAGCAGCATGGGGGAGGTAGTGGGTCTTCTAAGCAAAGGATACAGCCACGGCAAAGTTTTGGCAGCCAAGGAGATGGAGCTTTCTGGTAACTCAAATGGTCCCTGTGGCTGGAGCAGAGCTGAGAGGAGCCACAGCATGGAAGACTGGAGGAGGATAGGGACCAAATCCTGGAGGACTTGGGCTGAGGCTGGGTTTTGCTTTGGAGAAGGCAACAGGCACCTAGAAAGCTGTGGATGGAGACCATTGAATGCATGGTCCCTGGAAGTTTTTCCTCTGAGCCAGAGTCCACTTGGCTGCTGTCCTGTGTGTGGGATAAGGTAAGTCAATAGTCCCAAACTCCCACTTCATCAGCTCTGATCCCAGCCCACACCAGCCTCAGCACCCAACCCCCCTTACAGCTGCTGTTTCTCCTGGACCCCAGACTGAGGCACACCTGCCCATATTCTCCCATCTTGCACTTTCCTCATTCCCCAGCATCCAAGAGTAGGGGACACTGGGGATGATGGAATTTTTTGGTAGCTGGTGGAATCATTGCTGCATGCAGCACCCAGGAGCTCAAATCCCTTGGGATTCTAAGTTCAGCTGTAGCACAAACCAGAGTGTTCTTAGATAGGGCAAGGAGGAGCTACAGAGTACAGAGGTGCAGGGGCTCGCTACTAACTGGGGAGCTCAGGAAAGGCTGTGTGGACCAGGCTGCCTTACGGTTGGGCAGGACCAATGGGGAGTGATGGAGAGAGGGCATTCCAGCAGAGACATAGCCTGAGCAGAAGTACAGACTCTGGGAGGGTAAGACCTGGTGTCTGCGGGGTGGAGTGAGAGACACGCTTGTAGTGGAGATAAGCGTCATTCTGGGGTGACCTTGACCAAAGATCAACCAGAAAGCTTCAGCCCAGTCCACAATGAAGTGGTTTAAGCAGCGGAGTGACTCAAAGTGAGGGCAGGGGAATAAATTGGCAATGATGGGCAAAATCATGTCAGATCTGGCAGAACATGTGGTTAAAACTATGGCCCCTGGATGCACACTGCTTGGAATTGGTTCCAGCTCTACCCCTGCCCCCTTGGCCCTAACTTTTGATTGAACAGCCTGACTCCCAATTCCCAGAATAAGCATTGCTTTTCTTGAGGACTTTCTCAGGCTGCAAAAGCCCCTTCTGCCTGCACTGGGAATGCCAGGGACTCAAGATCCCTTGGAATAACTCTCATCTATGCACTAACAAGAGTTGATGTATCAATACCCCAGCTCCCTGAGCATTTCTGAGTATCAATACCTCAGCTTCTGAGTATTTCTGAGTATCAGTACCCCGGCTCCCTGCTTTTGAGTTCCTCAGAGGGATTACGCTCCAGTTCTCATCCTCTTACATGGCAGGAGCAGGACCATGGACACATTTTTAAACAACCAGATCTCGTGAGAACTCTATCACTAAAATAGCACCAAGGGGATGGTGTTAAACCATTCATGAAGGGTCCACCTCCATGATCCAATCACCTCCCATCAGGCCCCACCTCTAACACTGGGGATTACAATTGAACATGAGATTTGGGTAGGGACAGAGATGCAAACTATATCACCCACCTCCCTGTGTTTCCTGGAATCACTTCCCAAATATACTTTTTGCACTTGAATCCTTTCCTTGAGGTTGGTTTCTGGGGAACCTGGAATAAGACAACCAACCACTTTTAGCTAGATGGTCTTGGTTGAATTATTTCACCTCCCTAGACTTCAGTTTCCTCACCTATGAAATGAGGATGAGGATAGTAATTCCTCTCTCAAAGGGACATTATGATAAGTTATTGAGTTCACAAACACGAAGAACTTAGTGCCTTGCACGTAGTAAGTTCTCAGCAAGTGTCTGCCAAGATGGTTTCAGAACAGATGAGGTAAACGAGGGGAAGAGGCTGTGAGGAGAGAAGGACAGATGTGAGAGAGTTGGCACTGAGCAGGGAAGGAATTGAGGACAGAGCCAAGTCTGCAGATTGCAGAGCTGTAGAGAGGAATGCCGTTTACAGCAGCCGGCGGCCAGGAGGAGGAGCTGGGCTTGGGGAAAGAAGTTCAATTTTAGAGTCAGAGCATTTTCAGGTGCCAGACAGCCATGTGCAGACACCTAGCAGGCATCTGGGACAGTGAGGCTGAGCAGGGGAGGTGGCAAATGTGGCAGCCATGAGGATTTGGGAGTTACCTGGAGGGAAATGAGTTGCTGCTATGGGATTTGGGTGGCGGAAGGGGATTGAGGAGAGGAGATTAAGAAGAGGTGAAGGTGGCAGGGAGGGGCAGATTGGTGAGGCAGGGTACTCTAGGGAAGCAGGAATCAAGGGTGGGGAAGGGGAACTCCTCTTCCCAAGACTCTGAAGCAATAGGCATTTCTAAGACTAGAATCATGGCAGCCTTTTTCTTGGGTATGGGTCTCTGGATGCAGAGCCTGAGGCAGGGATTCAGTGCACATGATTGATTAAGAAATGAGAAGGGGAGTAAGGGAGGAGGGATAGGGCAGAGCAGATCTCAGCTGGAGACTCACTTCAGCCTAATCCCATGGGGAACTTGGCAGCACAGATTGAATTGAACCACAGAGTTGTCCCACCTCGAGGCAAGGGGAGGAGCCTCTTATATTCATATGTCCCTTGGACATTGGCTCCTGGAGGGTGATTCTCCAGATAAGGCAGCATCTGTAAGCCATTAGCAGCCAATACTTACTGTAACTGAGGAATGAGGACTGACTCAGAAAGGGGATCTGAGTGGGGTACCAACAACATCCACAGCAGCCTGGTGTGAGTGTAGCTCAACCAGGCCCACCCTGGCCTGACAGGATGACATTTATGAACTAACATATTGTTATCCTTCTCACTCAAAGCACTCATGTGATTTACCTTGGCAGAAGGTGCAAATGAGATCTGGAGAGTCAGTTTCCAGTCTACCTCCAGAGCATCTCCCTTAACGTCTAACAAGGGCGAATAGATGACATTTGGTCTTCACCCAGATAGTTTGGCTAAGTCAGAGGCATGGTGCACCCAGGAAACTATAACTAGTGTTCACAAGCTCTGGATGCACATACCAGGTACCGTGTGAAGGGCCTTGCTTGCACTGTCTAGTGATCTGTGACAAAGATGCCTTATTATCCCCTTTTACAAGGGAAAAAGCTGTGGTTTCCTTGGCCAAGATTAAGCACCTAAGAATTAGAATGGAATTGAACCTAAGTCTGTGTGACTTCAGAGCTCAGGATCTTCACTGCTTCCCTGTCTTGCAGCTCAGGATGTTAGGGGGTGTGGACATTGTAAGCTGCCTTTGGCTTGTCAGGACACAAAGGGGCCAGCTATCCCTGGCCCCCAGAAACCATCATTCAATCCCACCCATCCCACCTCACCCCAGTCCTGATAGTTTAAAAAGAAGGAAGCAAGAAAAGGAAGGAGGTGGGAAAACGTGACCAAGAACCCTTGAAGCTGAGGATCTACATGCCTAATCCATGTTGAATTGAGATGCCCCCATGGTACTGCACCCTGAGACAGGGGTGTTTGGGTTTCAGCCTGGGTCCTGGCAGCAGACCCTGGTCTGTGTGCAGGCCTCACTCAAGAGCTTCAGGATGCCAGGCATAGCCGTTGCCTGTCCCGGCTTCCCCCAACCCCACTGACCCCAGGTTTTGTTGAGGGACCCTGGAAATAGACGAGTTTTGGCTATAAGACTTTGGTCTGAAGAGGGGACATCCCCAAGCTCAGAGAACACTTCCAGGTCTCCTGGAAGAGCCAGCAGGCTGACCTGCTAGCAAGGCTTGGAAGCTATCCTTGTTTGAGCTTTACTGGGCACCAATCCACAATCAGTGAGGAGGCTGCTCTGAGCCACAAAAGAGCCTTGCGCTGGACACCTGGAGCCCTGGATTCTGGGCCCTGCTCTGCCGCAAACTCACTCTGTGCTTGTCACCAGCCACTTAACCCTTGAGGCCTTAGTGCCCTCATCTGGAAAAGGGGATCCATCTGGGGCCTTCCACCCAGGTGGCATGAGGATCTGGTGAGATCAGATGAGAAAGGATGCAGCGTGTGCACACTGGCCTCCCTGCTGCTCCTTGAACCCAACACCAAGCAGGAGCCCACCTCTGAGCATGTGTGCTTGCTGTTTCCTCAGCCTAGAATGTTCTTCCTCCAGTAAGCTGCAGCTTCACTCCTGCATATCTCAGGTCCCTGCTCAATGTCTCTTTCTCAGAGAGGCCTTCCCTGACCACTCATCTAAAAACAGTATCCCTAGCTCTTTCCCCATGCTCCTGTATAATCTTTCCCCTTGGCTCCTATCACCACTGGTATATTTTCTGTGTATATGTTTCTTTTCTTTTTGTCTCTCTCCCTTCATAGAATATAAACTCCATGTGGGGAGCAGCTTCATCACCTACTGTTCCTTGCCTCTGGGCTTTACAGTGCATTCTCCATCAATATCCAATGGTGTGTATTTCCCTTGAGCCCACTGCTCCCTTATTCCTCCAAGCGTTAGTTTCTGTTGTTTCCTTACTAGGGATACTACAGAATATCCTTCAAAAGCTTCACCTGGCATATCAGATGTCTCAGGGAGAAATGTTGCTCTCAGTGCTCAGGTAGCACTCCAGGCCACTTCAATAACTGCACCCTCCTGGCAGCACGGTAACTGGAAGTTTACCTTTGACTCCCATACGCTTGTCTTCTTATCTCTAAGCTGATGTCTGGGCTAGCACCAGAGTGTGGGCAATAACTGAGCAGCACAGACCTGTTCATGGCAGGATGAATAGTCACATAAAACAACACAAGGCCTCAGCTTGGGCCCACTTGGTGGTAACAGGTGGTCTGGGGGGCTCCAAGCCCTTGATTCCAGCTGATGGGGTACAGCTGGACCAGAGGATGAGGGCGTTTTTCTTGATGTTTCTTGCATACCATGCAAAGATGCTTCTCTTGGAGGTGACCCTATGCAGGTCAACCCCCAGGTGAAGTTCTCCCTGGAAAGAGGTCTCGTTAACAGCTTTGGTGAGTGGTGGGCATGGAGGAAGGGCAGTTCAAGTATGGACTGGTGAGTGAATGCTGGATCCTGGTCCGGAGAATTAGGTCAAAGATGACAACCAATGAATGGTCAAAGTCTGTGAAGCTGGCCAGGTGCAATGGCTCACGCCTATAATTCCAACACTTTGGGAGGCTGAGGCAGGTGGATCACTTGAGGTCAGGAGTTCAAGACCAGCCTGGCCAACATCGTGAAATCCCGACTCTACTAAAAATACAAAAAAAAATTAGCTGGGCATGGTGGTGTGTGCCTGTAGTCCCAACCACTTGGGAGGCTGAGGCAGGAGAATCGCTTGAACCCAGGAGGTAGAAGCTGCAGTGAGCCAAGATTACGCCACTGCACTCCAGCCTGGGAGACACAGTGAAGTGAGACCCTGTCTTAAAAGAAAATAAAACACCTGTGAAGCTCTGGCTCAGCAGAGACACCAGTGGCCTGTGAGCCAGGGAGCAGGCTTCCAGTTTCTGCCTCACTCCCAATCAGCCCTGTGACCTTGGGAAAGCCTCTTCATCTCTCTGGGACTCAGAGAGTTTGCTTTTCAGCTTCAGATAAAGGGTTTGTAAAATAGATTTTTGTCCCACTCCCCTCCCAAAAAAAAATGTCTGGAGTGCTGGGTTAGGAAAGATTCTGAAGTGGACGTTGAGCTTAATGGGACAGTACCATGATTGATTAGTAATGTCCGCCACGGATATTGTAAAGGAGACGTGTGTGACTCCTTGTCCGGTGTCTCTTGCATGCATCTCATGACTCAGTGACTCTGCAGAGCCAAAGATCAACAGCGTCTGTGTGTGCCAAGGAAGGAGGGGTCAAAAAGATAAGAAAAGTAGGTTAAGAAGCTTTGGTCAGACCCATGGAGAGCTCCAAAATAGATGGAGAATGGAAGTTGCTTCACTGCACACAAAAAGCACACTCTAGGATAGCAGTTTGTTTTTGCAAACTGAGTTGCTAACCATTAGTGGGTTGTGAAATAAATTTAGTTGCCCATACCAATATTTTAAGAACGCACAGAGTAGAACTGAATAAAATAGAATGAAATGGAATATTTTATATTGTCCATGCATATGGTAAGGTTAAATGTTGTTTTGTGAGCTTTTGTTTCAGTTACATGTGTGCATGTGAAGAGAGTCAGGATGGATTTTTAACTGTGGCTCAGGGTCCAAATGGTTTGGAGTTGGGTGATCAAATGTGATCTGTGCAGGACAGACCTGGTTCACCTCAGCATCCTGGGATAATTATCTACCATCTCCTTTCACTCCCTGTAGTGATTTTAAAATATGTACACACATTTTTTAGGTACTCTTTCTTTCAAAAGGTGAGACCTAATTTATCTTTTCTCAAATGTGGGTTGGGACTTGGTGACTTGCTGCTAATGAACAGAATATGGCGAAAGTGACAGTGTGTCTGTCTTGGGACTATATCGTAAAAGGCTCTGTAGCCTCCTCCTCACTGTCTTTCTTGGGTCACTCACGCTGGCGAGCTGCTGCCACATTGTGAGGAAATTCAAGCAGTCCTGCAGAGAGGCCCATGTAGCAAGAAATGAGGCCTCCTGCCAACAGCCAAGTAAGCCATTTTGGAAATGGATCCTCCAGCCCCAGGAAAGCTTTCAGATGCCTGCAGCCCTGGTCAACATCCTGCCCGCAACTTCATAAGAGACTCCAATCCAGAACCTCCCAGCCAAGACACTCCCAAACTCCTCACCCACAGAAATTGTGAGATAGTAAATGTTGTTTTTAGCTGCTAAATTTTAGGGGAATTTGTTACGAAGCAATTGACAACAAATACACTCTCAAAGTTATCTCTTTTGGTTGAAAAATTATATGGTTACCCAATATAAAAGGGACTTCCAGGATTCTGTGGGGTTTCCAAGAGTCACAGAGAAAGAGAAAATTACAAGGAGATGGAAGGGGGCAAAGCGGCCTTTGCCAAAAAGAAGGGAAGAGTGGAAGAGTGGATTCTGATCATGACAGGAACAGTCTAGACTGACTGACTGGACAGAAAATCCAGGAGCACCTGGGAAAGAACATGGCATGGTCCAAGGGCAAGCCCAGGCTCACCAAGGTCATGTTTCCCCTAATTAAATGTTTCCCCCTTTCCCACAGGAGGGCTGGATTAGCAGATCAGTGGATAAGAGGGCAGGTTCGTAGTGGTTTGAACAGCTTCTACTCAAGAAGTTTGGGTGGCAGGGAATGAATTGGGAGAGGGATTTCCAGTGCAAAACATTGCCCTGGCTCCAGCCTGTCCAGTAATTTCGACGACACTTGCATGAAGACACAAAAGATGTGTCCATCCAAACCTCAAAAGCACAAGTTACTTTGCTTTAGCTGACTCATGATCCAAACTCTTTTCCAAGGCAGAATTGCTGGGCCAAAATCAACATGAAGATATTTAACAGTAATCAATGTAAAGTCAGGCACTTTCAGATTAAAAAAAAAAAATCAGTGATTCTAGGAACAAGCCCAGGGTGGGTGGATGGAGCTGGCTTGGCAGGATTCCACCTGAAATGATCTGGTCATTTTTATTTGACCCCCAAGGTCAATGTAAGCACCAACAATGTGCTGTGGCTACTAAAACAGTGGACCCAGACATAGGTCCCTAACTTCACGGGGCCGTAGTGGTGGGAGGGACTGTTCCCCCATCTACTCTTGGCCCTGCTCAGCCGCATCTGGACCCCACAGAGTGTCTGGAGGGAGATCCAGAAGGGGGAGCAGGGCTCAGCATCCTCACATGGGGAATGATGAATGGCATTTCGAGAGGGGCTCGGCTGCCTTGGAATGTCTGGGGATTGGCCTGGGCATGAGAGAGGGGCCAAGATGGAGGGTGGAAGTAATAGGGCAACTGATTGGCAGTTTCTAAGGGGAAGGTGTCCTCATAGGTGGGCTTGGCTGTGGGTGCTTGGGCCCCCCATCACTGGTGTGAGTGAGAAGAGGCCAGTTGGAGGAAATAAAGGCTACTTTGTCCCCTTCCATCTCTTTGTAATTTTCTCATTCTCCATGACTCTACGATGCTAGGGTCCCTTTCTTCTGTCCAGACACAGCCTCTGGCTTCCATGGGGGCTTTCCCCAGGGTAAGAGGGTGGTCCTTGATTGAGCAAGGAGAATAAGTAGGTGAAGGGAGCAGTAAAGAGGGGGGCAGAGAGAGAGACAAGGGCAGAATCTGCCTGGGCTACCCTGCTGTGCACACACACACACACACACACACACTCCTGCTCACATATGCTCAAACATCAACCCTCACACAAATGTTCACACACCCACTTTCATACACAATCTCATGTAGTCCCACCGCATGCCCACCTGCCTACACACCCACCCACCCTCACCTGTGCTTACACACTCCCCTCATACACCCACATGCGTGCTCCCATCTCCCTTACAAAATGCACACGCATGCACACATAAGTGCCCACACAGAGGAAGGTCCAATCTTAGCTCAGATTCTCGGGAAACAGCCTCTGAGATGGCAACTTGCGTGTGGGAGGCTTACTGGGCAGAGCTCTCGGAAGCAGCACTGGCAAGCGAGTGAGGGAGGCAGGCTTAAGTCGGGGGAAGTGGAGCTACGATGCAGTCACAGCAGAGGACTCAGCCCATCCCCCAGGGAGCTCTGAAGCTGGCATGGCCCTTCAGAGAGGTCCAGAACTGATGTAAAGGGGCTTGGCCTTTGTATCTCTGTGTAGACTGGTCACTGGACACAGGGACAGTAAGTATATTTGGGCAAGTTGGCTCTTTCTAGTTGAGGGCATTGCCCAGAGTGGGCCTCAGCTGTGTGCCATCAGTAGGTGAAGCTCCTGGTACCTGGAGGCTGAGTGTTTTGGTCCTGGAAGAGCTGGTATGGGCAGCACCACTGCATTCACTCCGTGCCCATGGGAACATGCTTGCACACGCAAGCCTGGCTGCGATTCTCCTTTCCAGCTCAATGCATGTCTGCTGGGACAAGCCCACCCACTGAGTGAGGAGGCAAACAGAGGGGCCTTAAAGGGAAGGCTGCCTCCCTGACCAGTGATAGGAGGAAGCAGTCTACTGGCTGGGATGGGCTGCCCAGGGCGGGACTCAAAGGAGAGGTCAGTGGTGACCCAGGAAGAATGTGTGGGACCTTCTTCAACCATGTCATTGGGACCTGGCCTTTTGGGTCCCCGCATACCCTGCACCCAGAGTGGCCAGCATGACAAACGCCCTCTCCCAAGACATGTTCCCAGCTCGACTTTACTTTTCCTCCACCCTCCGTCTGGAATGTTCTCAGTGGATGGCACCATCCCCTGCACCGAAGTGGACACTCAGGCTGTTCCCGTGGCTTTCTGTTTACCCTTAGATAATCAGCAGTTAGGGTTACAGACCAGCTTGATTCAGACTGTGTCCAGTTTGTGATATAAATCTACACTCCAGTCTTTTTTCACTGGTAACTGCTCCCCTCTCCCTTTTCGGGGTCAGGGCTGACGGGAAAGCCATGGAGTTGCTATTTTCTCTCGTTCTGCTCACCAATCCTCACTCACGGGCTGTTGTTGTGGATGCACCAGGCCGAGGCTAAGCCAGGGTCCCCTGTGGGGTGCAGGTGTCAGTTCCTTGGGGACTCAGGGATGGGCATCTTCCACCTGCAGTCATCTTGGCCTGGGAGGTCAACCTTTCATTTCAAGCTGTGGCTCTGCCTCATGCCCAGGTCCCCAGGAGCCAGGAGCCTGCCTCCAGTGTCTTTCTGCTGAACCCCCCTGTCCCTGGGCAGTCCTGGTGGCAACCTTGCCTCACGTGGTGTTTGCATACACGTGGCACAGTCAGGACCTGAAGAGACGCATATACACCCCTTTGCATCCTCAGTCCTCTACCCCAGGCCACTGTGGCCATCTCAGCTAGGCAGGCCCTGGGCCTCTGAGTGTCCCAACTGTGGGGACCACCTGTCACATGGAAGCCGCTCATTCTCCTTAAGGAGTATCACAGCATAACACCAGCTCTCCAGAGAGATCTCCATGCACCTCCTGCCCTCCATTTCCTATTTCATATCCTTGATCTGGCAAAGGAGCCCAAGAATCAAGGAACCAGTTCTCAAAATTTTCCTTTGTAAAAATCTGCCCCAGGTGACTGGCTTCACCTCTCTGTTGTCTGAGATCTGAAATCTTGCAGTCTCCTAGACTTAATATTCTTTAATATTCTCTTGCTCCATGTGACACAGTGGTTTAGAGCACACCCACAAGCTAGGTCCCCTCAGTTTGAACGCAAGCTCTTCCCCTTGCTGTGGGTGGGACCCTAGGCAGGTTGTGTGACCTGTCTGTGCATCAATTGGCTCATCTGTAAAATGGGGTAATAACTCACAGAGTCTGTGCAGATAATGCATATATGACTCTCTGACCTGGCACAGAGTCAGTCTCTAAGAACCTCATGCTTCTAGCTCCTTCTTGATAGTGCTCAGGGCAGATCAGAGCTCATCCATTCCCCAGGTCTTTTTCCTTCCCGTTCCCACCCCCAGGCTCTTCTCCACTTCTGGAATGAATCTATTTGGCTGATCTTGGCAACCGTGGCCTTAATTGCGTGTGTTTGATAGATAGCTCTATTGGATCAGGACAGCAGCTGCTGTGGACCGGATCAGGATGGCAACAGCCATGAAAACACTGGGAGTGCAGAGCTGGGGCTGGGCCGAGGATGCACGGGCCCTGCCCTGCCCGCCTCACCTCCACCACACTGGGAACCGTGGCCCCCTCCTGCCCCTCTGCAGCCACTCTTAGGAGTGTTGGTGGGAGTGGAAATCTGAGAGCTTTAAAAGATCCTTGGAGATCTGTCTCCACATTCGGATTTTCGCAAATGAGGATGCTGAGGTCTAGAATGGTTGAGAGGCTTGCCTGGGGCACCTAGCTGGTAAAAGGCAGACTTGAGAGTCTAATCTGGCCTCCTGACTTCCAGGCCAATGCTCTGCCCACTGGACCACCCTGCCTCACCCCATAGTGTCCCAGCCAATACGCTTCCTCTTTCCTGCTAATTTAATTTGCCTACATTTTCTTGCCCTCTGCCACCCTTCTCCCGTCCAAAATATTCAGAACAGAAGACATTTCCTACAGCACCAGATTATGAGAGTTCAAGCCCCAAACCTTTCACTTGTTTGCTGTGTGTCTTTAGGGGATTTACTTTACCGCTTTGAGCCTCAGTTTCCTCATCTGTAAAATGGGACTGATGCAAATTGTAGCTGCTTCATGGGATTGATGTCAGGTGTTTAGTACAATGCCGGCACAGAGTAAACTAAATGTTGGCCATTACTATTACTAGTTGGGGTCCTCAGGGCTGCCTTGTATGGCGGGGCAGTTTATGCACCGCTCAGAAGTACCTGGCAGGTAAGGAAGTGACGCTGAAATCCAGCCTGCAATCAGGCTTGATGTGTGGACCCTTGGAGCTGCATCTGCCCCAAGGAGGTGCAGTTTTCTAATTCATCGACCCAGAGGGGCCATCTTTTTTAAATTTGCACAAAGGTGCCATAGAGTGCAGCCCTGTGTGCCCTGACTGTAATTTGAGGGGGACCAGGCAGGATTCCAAACTACATCTCTCATCCGGGGATCACAATGCCTGAATTTTACCATTGAAACTTCCCCTTGGGTCCCATGGTCATTTGCAATGTTCCTGAAATCCCATTCAAAAAGCAGCATCCTCAGGAACGATAATACCCTAAAAGTAATGGCACCTTATCATCATATTCATTATCATCATCGCCATTATTTTAAACCTTGAGTGGATTAGCCTTCATCCAGCAGAGGACAGGATACACAGGATGGCTCGGGGAAAGAGCCAGGAGGGGAGAAGGGCACTGCAGGGTGAGGCAGGGGATGCTGAAGGCTCAGTTTTCTGCCTTTGTGATTTTGCTCAGGGTCGCTCCAGTGGAATGGATCCAGGCGACTGTTGCAGCAATAGCAGCACCAGCTGCAAAATGCTTCTGATTTACTGAGAAACTGCACTCCAAGGAGCCATGTTAATACCAGTGATAAACTTGGTCCCCAAGGAGCACCTGCATTTTTTTTTTTTTTTGAGACGGAGTCTTGCTCTGTCACCCACGCTGGAATGCAGTGGCGCGATCTCAGCTCACTGCAAGCTCCGCCTCCCGGATTCACGTCCACGTCATTCTCCTGCCTCAGCCTCCCGAGTAGCTGGGACTACAGGCGCCCACCACCACGCCCGGCTAATTTTTTTTTTTTTTTTTTTGTATTTTTAGTAGAGACGGGGTTTCACTGTGTTAGCCAGGATGGTCTTGATCTCCTGACCTCAGAAGCACCTGCATTTTAAGAGAAGTGAGAGACACATTCCAAGGGAACGAATCTCAAAGGTGGGTTTTCAGGCACAGCAGCAGCAACCAGGAAGAGCTTATGGAGCCCTGGGTCTTTCAGATCACACACCAGAGGTGGCTTCCAGCATCACTGACACAAAAGGCTGCCTGGCAATGGGTGGATACAAACGACATTACTGTGGAAAGGGGGTGTCTCAGGCCAGCTCCCCTAGAAGCCGACCGACATGAGCATTCCCGTGCAAGTGATTTCTTAAGAAAGTGCTTCTGGGAGAACCCGGTGAGGGAGTTGGCGAAACAGGAAAAGATATCAAAGAAGCCAGGCCATGTTCCTCAGAGGGTAGCTTCAGCCAGGAGAGCTCTGAAGTGTTAACTTACACCTCAGAGCGTGTCTCCACCTGAGGGCAGGATGCTGGGCTTTCACAGCCTGGACCCATTAGTCACTGGCAAGTGCAGTCCAGGGCGGGGACAGAGGATGGAAATCCCCAGGCACTTCCTTCTCTCTGTCCTGGCAGCAAAGCAGCTCCAGAAGCCCGAAGGCAGTCCTCTGAAAAAATGTCACAAGCGCTGGTTATCAGAAGGTAAAGCACACTGCAGGCCAGCACTCCCTCCCAGCATCCCTCCCTCCACAGGAACAGGGTAGAAGGACCCCTGAGGATCTGGGCCAAGCGGGATGGGGGAGGTGGGCTCTTAAGGGCCTCTCGCCACCATGGCAGTGTCTCATCTCCTGCAGTGAAAAGATTTCTCACATTCTAGTCCCACCTTGCCACACTCCAGGTTCCAATGGAAACATCCATTTGTCCCAGTCACTCTTGGTTCAAAGCCCATGATCAGTGGGCAGATGGATGGGTGGGCTTGCCCCAAGGCTTTGATGCTCACACCCACTCCAAGTTGGGCATTTCTGCTGTCAACATGTGGGCTGGGTGGTAGGGCTGCCACAGCTTCCCCATTGTCTTTTTTTTTTGTTTTACTTTTTAAAGAGACAGGGTCTCACTCTGTTGTCCAGGCTGGAGTGCGGTGCTGTGATCATAGCTCACTGAAGCCTTGAACTCCTGGGCTCAAGTGATACTCCTGCCTCAGCCTCCCAAGTAGAACTACAGGGGTGCACTACCACACCTGGCTAATTAAAAAAAAATTCGTAGAGGCAGGGTCTTGCTATTTTGCCCAGACTGGTCTTGAACTCCTGGCATCAAGAGATCCTACCAACTTGGCCTCCCAAAGCACTGGGATTATAGGTCTGTGCTGCTGCACCTGGCCATCTTCTTTTTTTAAATGGCCATTTTTGCAAAAGTTATTGATTAGAGCTGGATTACGAATGTAACTTTTTAAAAATCTCAAGCATCATAAAATGGCAGTGTTGCACATATATGAGCTCCAATTATCAGCTTCCTCCGACCCTGCTGCATCTCGGGCTGTATTTTCAAACACCTGCAAGTCCCCAGGCCAGCCTGGGAAGGAGCAGGATACATGGAGCCACAGAAGGTGAAGGATTGTTCTCCATTTGGCCTGGGGCTAAATTGTCCCCACCTCCCAACACAAGTGTATTGGATTGAACAGTGCGCCCCCAAATTCATGTCAACCCAGAACCTCAGAATGTGATCTTATTTAGAAATAAAGTCTTTGCAGATGTAATGAGTTAAGATGAGGTCATACCAGCTTAAGGTGGACCCTAAACTCAACAGGAGAGGTGTCCTTACAAGAAAAGGCAAAGAGACATCCACAGATGTCAAAGAGAAGCCACGTGATAGGGGAGGCAGAGATTGGAATGACACACCTGCAAGTCAAGGTTTGCTGGCAAACACCAGAAGCCAGGAGAGAGGCATGGAACAGATTCTCCTGCAGAGCCTCTGGAAGAACCCGACTCTCCCAACAGCTGGATTTTGGACTTCCAGCATACAGAACTATGAGAGAATACATCTCTGTTGTTTTAAACCCCCCAGCTTGTGATAATTTGTCACACAGCCCTAGCAGATGAACACATCAGGAGTTGGGACAGAGGTCAGCCCAGACCTTCATGGTAGACCCTCACTCCTTTCTCCTGCTGGCAGCACGGGCAGCTCCTCCGGGCCCCCAGAGGTCTGAGCCTTGCCCCATTACTAGTACCCCTTTGCCTGAAGCTGGAGAGGACTTTACACCCTCTGCATTCTCCAGACCCTGAGACACAGGCGCCAGTGTAATGGCTCTGCTGGGACACCCAGAGCCATCAGTGCATGGAGGTGCTAAGTATCTTTCTGGATTCTCTGGGACCCTGGGGGTAAGGTGGGTACATTAATCAGGGTTTTCCAAATATATAGTACCAATAGCATATACATATATAGAAAGAGAGACTTACTTAAAGAATTGGCTCATGAAATTATGGAAGCTGGCACATTTGAAATCTGCGGGGTGGGCTGGCAGAGTGCAGACCCAGGGAAGAGCCAGTGTTGTTGTTCAAGTCCAGAGGTCATGTACTGGCCGAATTCCTTCCTGCTAAGGTGAGTCCAGTCTTTGGTTATATCAAGGCCTTCAACTGATTGGATAAGACCATTCACATTATGGAAGGCAATCTGCTTTATTCATAGTTAACCTATTTACATGTGCATCTCATTCAAAAACAGTCTCACAGAAACATTGGCTGGGCGTGCTGGCTCACACCAGTAATCCCAGCACCTTGGGAGGCCAAGGCAGGCAGATCATTTGAGTCCAGGAGTTCAAAACCAGCCTGGGCAACATGACGAAACCCCATCTCTACAAAAAAAAAAATACAAAAAAATTAGCTGGGCATGGTGGTGCATGCACCTGTAGTCCAAGCTACTCAGGAGGCTGAGGTGGGAAGATTGCTTAAACCTGGGAGGTGGAGGTTGCAGTGAGCCAAGATTGCACCACTGCACTCAGCCTGGGTGACAGAGTGAGACTCTATCTCAAAAAAAAAAAAAAAAAAAAAAAAAACAAAAAAAAACGAAAAGAAAGAAAAGAAAAGAAAAAAAAAGAAACACGTTTGACCACATATCTGGGCACTGTGGCCCAGCCAAGATGACACATACTGTGGGTATGGTTTCCATTCCAGAGAGGAAAACTAAGGCCCAGAGAGGTTGACTGATTTTCCGAAAGTCACGAAGCAAATTAGCTGCAATGAGGAGTTGTAAAAGGAGACTGGGCTAACAATGAGGAAAGCTTGGATTCAATTCATACCCCTTCTGAACTGGGTATTCAGCTGGGAGTCTTAAGCCTGGCCCTCCTACACAGAGGCACTGGATCAGGATAGAAAAAAACCAATTGGCATTTGCATTCATGTGGTGTTTGTTGCTTATATAAGGTCCTGTAAGGCAGGAAAAACACTGCTACCATTGAAGGAGAGTGTCATTTTGTGCTGGAAACCTTCCTTGTGACATCTATCATTGCAGTAACACCCAATGGCTATCATCGTCCTCATTTTATTGATGAGGAGACTAAGGCTCAGAGCACCGAGGAAGTTAGCTAAGGCCACACTGCTAACAGGTAAGGGAGCCAGGCTTGAACTCATGTCTGTGGGCCCCAGGGTCTGCCTCCTTGAGCTTGGTCCACACTCCTCCTCAGCCTGTGCTGACCAAGTGCAAGGGGGTTGAGCTGAGTCTTCCAGAGAATGTTCACCCACATCACATCATGGGGTCTTCACAGCAGCTGTATGACAGAGGGGAGTCAGTTTCATCTCTCAGGGCAGGGGCTGAGTTATAGAGAGGTTAACCAATGTCTTAGGATGTGACAGATACCTGGTCGTGCAAGGCCTTTGCCCCGGTGTTCTTGGGTGTTGACAGCCATTTCTCCCCTCTTTGTGGCTGGCAGAAGCCTGTTTTTGTTCAGGTGCCCCTTTCTCTTTTCTCAAAACTCAGGGGTTAAATCTGTTTAGTCTAAGCCAGAGGTCAGCAAACTTTTTCTATAAAAGACCAGACAGTAGATATTTTAGATTTTGCAAGCCATATGGTCTCTGGCGCAACAACTAAACTAAGCTCATGTCCACACTCTGTAGGTAGAAATCCTGCCTAAAGAAAAACATTCCACTATAGTGCTCTTTGCTTTCCAAAGCACACAAAAATAGATGAACTTAAAATGTCGGCACCCAAATGCCTGACATGCTGATACCCCTGGCTAGCATGACAGCAGCCATGGATGACGCATAAACAAATGGGTATAGTTGTGTCCCAGTAAGACTTCATTTACGCAAGTTTGCCAAGCGCCAATCTAGAGAAGAAGGAAGGGTGGATGATGCTGATGGGACAGTGGGTGCCTACAAGAGTGAGTCTTTGTGAAGGCACCCATCCATCCCCTCACCCAGACTGTCTCCCTCTGCTATCATGGTGTCAAGCTCCAGCTCCTCAAGCATCCTCGCCAAATATAGGGGTGGCAATGCCCTCCTCATCAGGAATGATATAAGTGACTGCAGGACACACACACTCAGCCCTCCTGAAAGAATAGTTACTAAATAGGCTGTGCCCACAGGGGTGGGGGCAGGGACTAAGCTGGGGCCCAGAGCCTACAGATTCCTTAAGATCCAGAGGCTTGTGCACTAGGACCATCCTCAGGGACCTGCCTGACTTCCTCCACTTTACCCACCTTTGGCCTCTCCCCTCTGACAAGTGAGAGGAAAGAAGAAAAGTGAGACAGAAGAAAAGAAGGAAGACCAGAAGGAAGAAAGAAGAGAAGGAAGAGAGCCCCTCTCCCACTCTGGCAGCTCCCCCAGTAAACCTTCTGCACATGACAGATGCTTATGGTTTTAGACAATGAAACGGATCATCGCCTTCTATCTTAAGCTGGGGTCATTACCCCTCAATTCTGCAAAGGCGCATTTATGGCTTAATTTTTTGTGTTTGCATATGAGATCATTTCAATTAGAGAGAACTGGAAACATTCCCCTCCATTTCTTTAGCAAATAGAGCCTTATTGCTTCCCACCCAAAAAAGAAACGAGGGGGAAAAAATAAAAACACCCATGTGTCAATTTTAAAAACAAACCAATTCTTAAGCAGTGATAGGTAGGTGGGCTCTGGGTAAAAGAAAATTTGTAACTATAGGAGTTTCATTTAGGAAAAACATATCTGTCACCTTCTGCTATAAGTCATTGAGCAGTGGAACTAATCGAAACAATCTAACACAGCAGGATCACCTTCTTTGTTCCTTTGTGTTACTCAGAACCTCTGCCAGCCTAACTAGATGCCAGACAGACTCTTCCATATTGTGGAGGGAAAGTGATTTGGGAGTGTACATAGCCCCCATTTGCTGAGTCATAAGAATCACTTGGAGAGGTTGCTAAAATATGGATTGCTAAGCCCTGTCCCATGGGGGAAAGAATCTCCAAGGAAAGGGGCCAGGGACTCGGTATCTTTAACATTTACCCCAGCCAAATGTGGGTAGCTTAATATATAATGTAAATGATGCATAGGAGGAGCAGGAGGTTGACTTGGGTTTTGAAAGGTCAGGGAGAACCAAAGGTATAAGACAGCAGAACCCATAAATAAGCAAATACCTTCAGATAGAAAAAAAATAGAGTGGGAGATGAAAGGAGGCACAAATCAACCCATAAAAAGAAGCAGAGAGTTAGAATAGCTGGGTCATGTGAATGGAGAAGCCTCAGAAGAAAAGTACCTGATACCAGTCAAATGCAAAAACAGAAACAAAAATTGAAGCAAGCAAGCAGGAGGGTAGATTGATGTGAATAGTATACAAAGTGGAACTGAGGACTAGAAGCACTCCACAGGAAAAAGGTACATCATATAATGATATAGGACGTATTTTACAGAGAGGATATAGTCATAAACATGTATGTGCCAAATAACATAGCAACTAAATACAAAGGGCAAAAAGTATTAGAGGTGGAAGGAAAATTGTCACAAAATACAATTTTAAGTTGAAGATTTTAATACACCTTTTCAGAATTGAACAGATCTAGCAGAAAGAACCAAAGACTTAGAGGTATGCCATACATTACAGTAATTACTGGGCACATGTGGCTATTGAGCACTTGAAATGCTGTGCTGTAAGAGTAAGATATAAATGCCAGATTCCAAAGACTCTGTACCAAAACAAAAGAACATAAAATGTCCCATTAATATGTTTTACATTGATTATTTGCTGAAATAATAATCTTTTGGATATATTGAGTTAAATAAAATGTTATCAAATTAGTTTTTCATGTTTGTTTCTGCTTTTTAAATGTGTCCAGAAAATGTCAAATTATACATTATAGTATGAATTATATTTCTATTGGCCATTGCTGACTTAGAGAAATCTAATAACAGCAGCAACAAGCTATGCTTTGAGGCCTTATCATTTTCTCATTCCTGTTCTTGGGTTGTAAAACCTCCCCCTTATTCCACATGCATCCTTATAACCATTGCCCCTTCCTGGGGCTTGGCAAGTGGGAAGTCTGGTGTGTTACAAGGAGAAGCTGTGGGTCCCAACCTATTTTGTGACTACCTGCTGGAGAGATTTGGGTTTTAGATTTGTTATTTATAAAATAAAAATAAATCCTACCAGCAGGTTTGTTGTGAGGACAAAATGAGATAATGTACTCTCACATTTTCTGAAAAAAAAAGAAAAAAATTAAAAACCAAAGAGAGATGAAAGGGGTCCCCAAATTTTGTTTCCTGTCCCTGTCCCTTTGCACATGAAGATAGTGAAAACTCAGAATCAGAGCTTCTCAGGAGATAATGCTGGAGGATCTGTGGGAGTCTGAATGGAAGCAGCATGCTGGAATTAATGATTCCAGACTCAGCCAGGCGCAGTGGCTCATGCCTATAATCCCAGCACTTTGGGAGGCTGAGATGGGCAGATCACCTGAGGTCAGGATTTCGAGACCATCCTGGCCAACATGGTGAAACCCCATCTCTACTAAAAATACAAAAATTAACTGGGCATGGTGGCACACACCTGTAGTCCCAGCTACTCAGGGGGCTGAAGCAGGAGAATCGCTGGAACCCAGGAGGTGAATGTTGCAGTGAGCCAAGATCGTGCCACTGCACTCCAGCCTGGGTGACAGAGCAAGACTCTGTCTCAAAAAAAAAAAAAAAAAAAAAAAAAAGATTTCAGACTCTGAGGATTTAATTTTGTGGCCTTTAGCCAGGGCATGAACCAAGAGGCCTCACACCACCTTGAATTAGGATAGCTTTTAATCTCATTTTAGCAACCTTAGAAACAAGATACTGCATTTTCAGCTGCTTTAAGGAGGAAAGGTTTCTCTTCTATGCTTGCTGTTGCAGAGTCATAGCAAGTTCATGCCAGGAGGCCCTGAATGAGCATGCAGTACAGTTAAGATTACCACCTCATCCCAGTTTGCTTAGAATTTCCCTAGTTTTAACACTGAAAGTCCCAACCCCTAGGAAACCACTCAGGCCTGAGCAAACCAGGACTGCCTATAGCAGTCCTCAAACTTAAGTTTTCTAGACCTGCCCTTGGGAGAGAAATCACCAGAGGATATGTGTTAGGATGCAGATTCCTGGGCCCCATCTTCTCACTCAGAATCACTAGGATAGCAGTCCCTAAATTGGGACCTCAGTTCCCAGCCTGGTTTGAGAACACAAATGAGCATCATTATTTTGTTTTTTGTGGATGGAGATACTGTGGTCCAGAGAGGGGCATTCTGAGGGGACAAATTGGTACCTTTAAAGGCCCTACACTGAGATGATTAAGATGCCTCCTTCCTTGTAATAATCCAAAATAACAACGGTATGAAATTGTCTGTAAAGTAGGTATAAGAAAGTTAAACAAAGTTCTGATTTTCGCTCTTGAGGTCTATTTTCATCCATTTTTTTTCTTTTTGGAAATATAAATAGCATCTTGTGGGTGTGTTTCTCCCTTACCGGTGGGCAAAGCCTGAACTTGGTCTCTCTGTGGGTGATTCAGCCCCAGGCAGTGACATGCCCAGGTAGAGAGCCTGGACCCCAGTGTCTTGCAGTGAGGGGTGATCCCTGCAGCCACAGCTCTTCAAAGAATGCTCAGATCTGGGAAGTGGGGGTTCTGCTCAGGACTGCTCAAGTGTGGAATGCCCCTCTGGCACACTCCTTCCAGGTCCTTTCTGCTGCAGGCAGTTACCAAGGACAGAGTGTGCAAAGAGCTTATGTAAGAGTAGGGGTTTTTGGTGAGCAGGGTGGAGACCCAGACTCCATTAAATTCTCTGTTGCAGCAGGACATCAGAGGGTAAAATTTAGGGCACTTTGACTGCCAATTCAGTAAAAAGAGAGTCATCTTTTGCAATACACAGACAACTTCTTGCATGTCCATCTCCTGCTCCTGTGAGCTTAGTCATGCTCAATGTATCCTAGGCAATATGTTCTCATCACCTGGACTCTTGGTTGCCAGATTTTTCTTTTCTTAGAAAGGAAACATTATGCAGCATGGAAACAGCTCCAGCTCTGGAGCTGGATGGCATGTGCCCAAAGTCCAGCTTTGCCACCTACTAACATGTCATTTAACCCCTCCGAGTCTCAGAATTCCCCTGTCTGAAATGGGGTAATAGCACCAATCCTACAGTAGAATTAAAGGTAAGGTATGCAAACACATCAAGTACACAGTAGGAATGCATAAATAATGTCTAATCATGATACTATGCTGCTATGGTTTGAATGTGTCCTCTGAAGTTTATGTGTTGGAAACTTAATCCCCAATGCAAGAGTGTTGGGAGGTGGCAC
Source organism: Homo sapiens (assembly GCF_000001405.40). Lineage (NCBI taxonomy): Eukaryota > Metazoa > Chordata > Mammalia > Primates > Hominidae > Homo > Homo sapiens. The sequence goes on along the minus strand of NC_000011.10, from coordinate 45,436,825 downwards.
CTGAGGGGAGGTGTTTAGGGCAAGAAGGCTCCACCCTCATGAATGGATTAATGCCAATTATTAAAGGGCTTGAACTGCAAGTTCGATCTCTTGCTCTCTCTTACCATGTAGTGCCTTCTGCCATGTTATGATGCAGCAAGAAGGTCCTCACCAGAGGTGGGCTCGACCTGGGACTTCCTAGCCTCCAGAACCATGAGCCAAATAAACTTCTATTGTTTATAACTCACCCAGTCAGTAGTATTTGGTCATAGCAGCACAAAATGGAATAAGACACATACATAAAGTGCTTGGTATGGATTAAGGGCTCAGTTGGTGTCTTTGAGACAGACTCTACTTCCTAGTGATCCTGGGTCCTTAATGGGAAGATGCTACATGAATAAAAAGAAAAGTATGTTGCACAGAAAGAAGCAAATAGAAGCAAAGACATTCAGGCAGTTGGTGTTTTCCGGCTGTGAGGGCTGCCCCAGTTTATTTTGGCAGCTGCCTCCACCATCAGTGATGAAAGGATAAAGGAAAGAAAAATGGCAGTAAAACAAATGGATCAACCAAGGAGGGGAGGCTGTTTGGTTCCAGCTTCCAAAGGAGAACCCAGCTGTCTCCGTGATTGCTATGCAATGGGTCCCAGGATTCTGGTCCAGCCTTTACATGCCTGCCCTCAACAGGGAGGGGGTTTGCAGAATAACTGAGCTGGGAGGAGTTTAGGTCATTTGAACTAAATTCAGTCTATAGACTACCTCCAAATGGCAACAATTTCAGTAACGATTGCTGCATGAAAAACCATCCCAAAACTTAGTGACTCAAAACAGTGACAACCATTTGCTTCCAATTCTGCAGTCTGGGCTGGGTGCAGTGGGTGGCTTGTCTCTGCTCCACAAAGGGTCATCTGCAGTCATTCTTGTGAGGCTGGATTCAGCTGGTGGTTGGACCAGGACCAGAAGATCCAAGGCAGCTCATGTGCCTGTCTGGTGCTTCATAGTGCTTCAGCTGAGTTGGTTGTGCAGCTAGGGTGGGGGTGCGGCATCTCTCTCTCCACGTGGACTCTCATCCTCAAAGAAGCTGGCTCAGCCTTCCTTGCATGGGGTTTCAGGGCAGCAGGAGGTTGAGATTGGAAGCCTCACACCTCTCAAGACCTGGGCTCTAGAATGCTCACAAGGTCCCTCCCGCTACATTCACAAAGCAGTCATAGATCAACTTGACTGAAGGGGTGGGGAAATAAACTCTACCTTTTGTAGGGAGAAGTGGCAATCCACACTGCAAAGGGTGTGGATACAGGGACTGGTGATCCATTGGGGGCCATTGTAATAACAATCTACCACAGCAACACAGAACATTTTCTGGGGTGTGATCTTCAGAACCTTTGTCTCTGGCCCCAATAGCTTTTCCTCTTAGGGGGCACTTCTTTACTGCAGCTTCCCTCTCTGAACAGCCCGGACCCTTTCCTTCCTCTGTCTTTGCTAGTGCACCTCCTTTGGCAGGGTTCAATGTGAACAGGAACACAAGCCGTGCCCTCAGCCAGCCCTGGGTGGCAATCTGGCCCCACCACTCCCAGCTGTGTGACCTTGGGGCAAGTCTCTTAGCCTCTCTGCGTCTCATTTCCTCCACCATTAATGAAAACACTGAAGCCTGCCCAATAGGACTTCTGTGAAGATGAAATGAGATACAGCAGGTGAAGTGCCTGGCACAGAACCTACCTGCTACTGGAAGGTAGATGCTAAGTCTTGGTTCTGGTCCCCCTCCATCCTTGATGGCTCCCACTCCTCTCTCTGGTGAACACCTACTTGTTTTCTTATGACACATCCTTTGACAAAGTCTTCCCTGGACACTCCCAACCCTCATGAGAACTAATCATTCCCTCCTTTTAGCTCCCGTAGCCCTTTGCAACACCTCAATTATGTGTCAGGTCACAGTGACACATACTTATGGTGTATATGTGTGTCTCCAGAGGTGAGAGTTCCTGTAACAGGGAGTCAGGTGCTATTCATCCTTCTATCTTCAGTGCCCAGTGGAGGCTCCATACGTGCTTTGGTGAATAAATAAGTGAACTAATGCTTGGGCTTCCCAGAACTTAGGGACATCTTTTATTATTTTAGGACCTTTCCATCTCACCCCTGATTGCTCTGGAAAGGGCTGGAAGAAAAACAGGGATCTGACTTCTGTCCCGTAATGTGGCCAGTGCCACGCTGGCTGCTCTGGGGTAAAATGCCCAGCATTTGCTATGGTCCCGTCTGCCATCCCTAACTTATGAAGGCTGCACAGTCTGAGAGAAAGTGGAGGCAACTCTCTTCCAACAGGGTGATTATGCATTAAAAATGAAGATTTAAGTTATCAAGCAGGAAGCTCAACTCAGCACCCTTCTGGCTCAGCAGGAAACAGTCGCTGCAACTGAGGTTTCTGGGCGTAGGACAAGCCTGGGTTCAAATCCTAGCTCTGTTGTTCGTTGCCTTTGCAAACCTGGGCTAAATGCCTTGCCTTTGAACCTTCATTTCTTCATCAGTAAAATGAGGAAAATGGTAACTCTGTGGAAAGACCGCTGCAAGAATCAAATAAATCACATAGGTGGCATATAGTGACCCAGTCCTTCTACTTCTCCAAAAAAATATCTCAGCATCTCAGATCTGTCTATAACCATTGCTCTGGGAGATAAGTTATTCAATAAATAAATAATGAAGTGCCTCCCTAGACCCTTTATGAAGATGATTGGAGTTTAGGAAATAAAGTATGAGCACTGGGAAGCTGCTAGATTCACTCACTAGGCAATGAGTATCAGTCCTAATAATATTGGAGCTAGCAGGTGAGCATTTAACATGTGCTAAGACTTGTTCGAAGCATTACATTAATTCATTTAATCTTCACAACCGCACTGTGCAATTGACAGTATTATTTTCTCTTTTTACAGAGTATGAAAGTGAGACCCAGAGAGGGGAGGAACAAACATGAAGTTATTTATCTGCTTGGTGGCAGAGCTGGGATTTAAACTCAGATTTTCTCACTCCACAGCCTGTGCTCTGAACCAGGATCCCACACTATCTAAAGGGGCTTATTCCTTTTTCTGAGACATAGTCTTGCTGTGTCACCCAGGCTGGAGTGCAGTGGCGTGATCACGGCTCACTGCAGCCTCAACCTCCTCTGCTCAAGCCATCCTCCTACTGCAGCCTCCCAAGTAACTGTGACTACAGGTGCAAGACATCATGCCTGGCTAATTTTTTTTTATTTTTTGTAGAGATGGGGTCTTGCCATGTTGCCCAGGCTGGTCTTGAACTCCTGGGCTCAAGTGATCCGCCTGCCTCGGCCTCCCAAAGTGAGAAGTGGCTTATTCTTGTTTACTAATCTGATGGCATCTATAAGGCTAGCCTATGTTTTAGCAAACAAAAATATCTAATGCCACAGAGCATTTACCACATGGATCACATCTTGCCGAGGCATTTCCTGGAATTGTTTCGCACACTTGTGAGATCAGGACAACATTTTCTATCTCGTAGATGAGGAAACTGAGATACAGTGAAGGTAGAGACCCTTTCAAGGCGATACAGAGTGGGTAGTAGAGTTGAGATAGAAATCTAGGCAGAGCCCACCCTTAACCATCATGCTGGTTGTTACAAGTCAAGGATGGGTGCAGTGCATGAATATTAGAAACTGCCCATGGTTGGTCCTGAATGTCAGTTATTCTCAACCAGTATAATTCATTCCAGGACACCTGTGCAAAGTGCTGACTCAGACCTCACAGCCTCTCCCTGAAGCCCCTTGAGGGGAGGGCTTTTCCTCCAGCCCCAGGCCGCGCCTCCTGCTTGACCCATCAGCATCATATACCTCCCCCCATTTGCCCCGGGACTTAATCATCAGGGTCCCCGGGCCTCCAGCAGGTCCTCTGGTAGAATTCGGGGGGTTGAAGAACTTGGAAGGGAAAAATGACATCTCTGTGCTCACCAATCTTAACTGAAATTGAGCATTTCTTGTAGTTGCATGTCACCAGTAGAAATGACAGATAAATTCCCAACATTACGCAGTTGCAGAGGCCTGGAAATACCATTTATGTCCATTACCACTTCTAAATTATGAAGCTGATTAGATGTGCGGCTGGATCTTATTATTTAAGGTCTTAATAAAGAAGCACATGCATTGCTAAATTATAAATTTATGTTTTTAATATTTTGATACTATTTTTAATATAATTAGTTATAAGTGTTTTGAAGTCCTATGTGTTTTTATGGTCTGCATTGAAAAACAGTATTCCCAGGAGGGAATACTGGAAATACAGTCTGTAAGCATCAACAGACTTCCAAAGGGTCCATGGCTCATGAAATATTTACAGCAACCCTTTGAGGTAGGAATCTTTGCTCATCTGTTATAATTTTCATTTTACAGAAGAGGAAACTCAGGCACAGAGAGGTCAAGAAAAATGCCCAAGGACACACAGCTAGTAAGTGAAGAGAAAGAGTTTGAACCCAAAGCAGTCTAGAGCAGGGCCTGTGCTCTGGGCCAGCACATGGGGTCAGGTCCCGTTAGCGCCCTTATTGGCTGCCAGACCATTCTTTCACCTGACACTTTCTTCACTGGAATGTGATTGCTGCTCTATGTCTCTGCCTCCCTGAGTGCCTTGAGGGCTGGAACTGGTTTTATTTATCTCCGAATCCCTAGAACCTAACTCAGTGCTGAGCCCAGAAAAGGTTCCAAATAAATGTTTCTCAGTGAATGTGTTTCTAACCCATAAGTGCCTCATACATACATTGCTAGTCTAAAGAGCTTTTCTTTTCTGATGGAATTTTACTGCATGAAAGAGAAAAAATAAAGGCCCCAAACCAAATCATTCATCTACATTTTATAACGGCATTAGTACAGGGTCTTGCATTTTTTTTTTTTTTAGCACTTTAGATGTTTCCGAGACTTTTTGTATCCCTTTGACTGAAACCTCAAAGCACAGTGGTGAAGGGTAGAGGCTGCTGAACCTGGCAGTGGCCTGGGTTCAAGCCCCGCTCTGTCATTCCCTGGCTGATTATCTGTCTGAGCACAGTGACCTCATCTATGAAATGGGGACAGTAACAGCTGCCTTGTAGAACTGCTGTTTGGATTAAATGAGATTAAAACACGCTTTTTGAACAAGTTTCTGGTACTCGCTAAGGCCACAGTAAACTGGGGTTATCCTCTGATAGCAGCAAAGGATGTGACGGTAGTGGTGTTACCACCCTTAGCTAATGCTAATTGACACAGTCTGCTGCAGCCGAGTTAGGATTGGATTCTGGTTCCAACTCAGCCACATGTCTGGGACAAGACCCTGTTCTTCTCTGGACTTTGGTTTCCTGATCTGCAAAACAAGGGGACCGAACAGGGTCAGCGTGCATGGGCTTCGCATTCCTTCTTCACATCAATGTGTGTGTGGAGTCAATCTGAAAAACAAAAGTAGGGCTGCCCAGTTTATAGATAGGGCGAGGACCCCTCACCCCTCACTCCTCACCCTAAGGAGCTCTGAGGCACCACAGGAAAACAGTTGGAAAGCTTGGTTGAGCCAGAGTTTAGCACCAGATTAGACCCGTAGATTTGTCTCCTTTGGTGTGAAGAGTTAAAAGGTGTGTAAGCAGGGAGGGGTGGGGGACTTGTGGATTTCAGTGTCTTTAGACAGGGTCTGGCCCCTGCAGGGAACTGAGTTTGATTCATGTTCAAGCTCTTTCCCTGGCCCCTGATCAACTCTTAGATGTATAATTCTTTTTTCTTTTTTTTAACTTTTATCTTAAGTTAAGGGGGTACGTGTGCAGGATTGTTATATGGTTAAACTTGTGTCTCAGGGGTTTGTTATACAGATTATTTCATCACCCAGGCATTAGGCCTAGCACCCATTAGTTATTTTCCCCGATTGCCTCCCTCCTCCCACCGCCCCCCGCCCAGCCCTCCAGTAGGCGCCAGTATCTGTTGTTCCCCTCTATGTGTCTATATGTCCTCATCATTTAGCTCCCACTTATAAGTGAGAACATGCAGTGTTCGGTTTTCTGTTCCTGCATTAGTTTTCTAAGAATAATGGCCTCCAGCTCCATCCTGAGTGTATAATTCTATAAGGTCAGGCAGGATCTACCCCACTTCCCCCACCCCCTCCCACATCATCCCTCCCCTCCCCTCCCTCTCCTTCTGCTCTGAACTATTCTGTCTTTCCTCTAATTGTTGAATCTTTTATAATTACGAGCCTTTAAAATTTCCTGGTATCATTACATTGGTGCATGTGAGGCACACAGGGCCTCTTTCTGCCAAGGGGCTCACTTGGGAGCTGGCTGAGCTATGATCAGAGCTGGTGGGAAGCCCCTCCTACAGATGCATCCAGGAGTCCCCCATGAGAATGGCCACTTGTACTTGATGTTGTTAAACTCTGCCAGGGGAGACTAGAACTGTGGGATAGAAAATGTGGGAAGTGAGGGGTATGGGTGAGGTGGTCAGCCCAGCCCATAATCAGGCTAGGAAAAACCTATTGAGCAGATCTTCTTCCCTAAATGACTTTCCTCATGTAAAATTGTCTTCTATGATTGTCAGAAAATGCATTTTTAAAAGAGGTTAACATGGGATTTAATGAATATAGAGTAATAATGGTCCTTGTATCAAATTAAAATTCTAAGGCTGCCAGATGAAACAAGTACATTATGAGTATCCAACATTATGTATTATTATTATTGGACTGCTTGATTGCCCTACATACTTAGGAATAAAAGAAACAGCTCCAAGTCCTGCATTTAAATTGGCACACATCTCCCTTGGAATAAGAGTCTGGGAGGACAAAGAGCATGCCCACTGTGCAAAGGCAGATCCTGGGATCTTAGGAAATATCCTCATGATAAAGCAGAAGGACACAGAACAGATAGATGGCAGAGTTTTGTGAAAGCAGCACGAAGGAAGGGTATGTCTGAATCTGTATGCTGTGTGACTTTGGGCAAGGCACTTCACCTCTCTGAGCCTCCATGTCTCCACACTTAGTCTGGGTAAAGGACAGTGGTGAAGATAAGTTGAAATTACAGGCATGAGAGCACTTTGTAAACTCTGGCCGGGTGCAGTGGCTCACGCCTGTAATCCTAGCACTTTGGGAGGCTGAGACAGGCGGATCACTTGAGGTCAGGAGTTCAAGACCATCCTGGCCAACATGGCAAAAACCCATCTCTACTAAAAATACAAAAATTAGCCAGGTATGGCGGCGAGCATCTGTACGTGGGAGGCTGAGGCTGGAGAATAGCTTGAACCCAGGAGGCGGAGGTTGCACTCCAGAGATGGCACCACTGCAGCCTGGGTGACAGAGCGAGACTCTGTCTCAAAAAACAAGCAAACAAACAAACAAAAACAAAAACAAAAAGCACTTTGTAAACTCTAACAGGCTGTTGAGTTCTGAGGATTGAAGATAATTCTAAAAACCTCGCTTTGTTGATGTCTTCCCTCTTCCTACCCTTTCTTGACCACTGAAGCCTGGATGCCATCTATAACATTTAATAACAGCAACCTGCGTTTACTGAGCACTTACTAAGAGCCAGGTATCATTTCACCCAGTTCCACCATAGCTTTATGTGGTAAGTATTATTATTAACTCCATTTTATAGACTGGGAGATGGAGGCTCAAGATGACACCTAAGTTGCTCAAGGCTCAGGGAGTGGCAGGGATTTAAATTCAGGTCTTCCTGACAGAAAACCTCTTAGTTCTTATGCTATATTTGCTTCTACAATATGTCTGACAAGCTGCTTCCAAATTATGCTTGAACTCCTCCAGGGACAAGGGGCTCATTACCACCCCCTGTCCCTCTCCCCACAATAAGTGCTCTCCCCTGACACATAAAGCATGATTATGGTGATATTATTATCAGTAAAATGGAGTGATTGGAGTGGATACTCTCTTTAGGTCTATTTCAGAACGTCACTTTAAGAGCGTGAGCATTCACAGACAAATTCACACTGGCTACAGAAGAAAGGATTAAAAATCTCCGTACGAAAATGGAACACAGCAAGGAAGAGGTGTGTGTGAATGGAGGCAATTAATTCTCTTTTGCCAATCGCTGTTAAAAAATATATATATTTGCTGGAAAGGAGGCATTTATTCCCTGCAGACTCATGGTGTGATTTTGAAATATCTCCACAGAAGGAAAGATGACTGAGGAAATACAAATCTATTAAATGTGCAGGACAAAAGAAAAAGGGGCTTCCATAAAAGGATTTCTAAACCATATCAAAGGCTTCAGAGGTCAGGGAGGGTTGCCGGAACACTACCAATTAGAGCTAAATGGGAAACCAGCTTAAATCTCAAAATTAAAGATGAAGAGCCGCAATTAACCTGTCTCCTAACAGAAAACATAGCCCTTAATGCTCAATGTAATTTAATATTTTAAAATTACGACCACAAGCATCGAAGACTCCTGTTCAACAATATAAAGTGGACAATAAAAGTCTCAGTGGGGCTTTGGATATCGTGGGTGAGATGGCACAGGAATAATGCTGGTACCGATGGCTCTGAAGCCACAGAAACTGAACTGGCAGGGACACAGTTAGAACTCGCCTCAGGACGCAAGCACCAAGCCTCAGCTCTGTTTTCCAAAGACCCATTCTCTGGCCAGCAGGAATCATTTGATTTGTGTTCTGTGGGCTTTAATAGGATGGAACACGCTGATGTGAGTGGAAAGGAAACCCCCGGCAGTGCTTAGGGGGTCTGCAGCATATTCCAAGGGATTTCTTTAAAGCGGTGCTTCTTTTTGGGGAATTTTTATGCCTGGTGGGGCAAGGTGGCTTATGTCTATAATCCCAGCACTTTGGAAGACCAAGGTGGGCTGATCACCTGAGTTCAGGAGTTCGAGACCAGCCTGAGCAACATGGCAAGACCCTGTCTCTACGAAATACAAACAAATTAGCCAGGCATGACAGTGTGTGCCTATGGTCCCAGCTACTCGGGAGGCTGAATTGGGAGAATTCCCTGAGCCCGGGAGATCGAACTGCAGTGAATCATGATTGTGCTACTGCACTCCGGCCTGGGTGACAGAGAGAGACACTGTCTTAAAAGAAAAAATAAATAAAATGCTTAGTGCCTGGGCCTTCATGCAGACTAGAAGGCCTGGGCATGAGTATTTGTTAAAGCTCCTATGTTAATTTTCATTGGTGCCCAGGGTTGGGAACTGCTGCTCTAAAAGATTAGGGGCCCAACAAGGAAAAGAAGATTGGCATTTGGAACGTGGCAAGCCTTGATGATACCAGAATCAATAGCATGGTACCTGATGTGCGAGAGCAAGTGTGCAGGTAAGAAAGTGGGTCCAGGGACAATTTTTCTCCTAGCAGGCAGGAGAATAGGGAGATGAGCAGGACAACCATATAGAAGTCAGCCCCTTCTCCGTAGATATAAAACCAGTGGCTGACAGCCCGGATTTCCAGGTTGCCAATTAATATCTGTGGACACTTCAAATGTGTGAGACCCCATTTGGTGGCTGGCCTGCCCTAAGAAGGCTAAAGTTGAAATGCCCCTCTTGAGTTCTCCAAGTCCTTGGGGCTTGGGCCAAATTAGCTTCCCCTTCATTCTCTATGACTCTTTTCGCATTACCTGGGTGATAGTGTGGAGTACTGGGAAGGTGAGTGGCCCTGTGGACAGACTGACTGACAGACAGACTTGATGCCTGTACCCACCACTTACTGAGGGATCTTGGGCAAGGAATTAGCCTCTTGGAGGCTGTTTTGCTCTACAAAATGCAGATCGTGATAGGCCTCATGGAGTTAGCATGAGGAGTCCGTGAAATGATCCTGGCAAGCTGCTAACATGGTGCCTGGCCCACAAAACCACCTCTGTGCTGGGCACTACCTAACGCCCCTCCGTGGACCCGCTGTCAGCCTCAACCACAGAGGTGCTCCTCCTTGGATTCCCCCCAGGGTTTCCAGCCTCCATGCTTCTGCCCCAGCAGGTCTCGCCTCCTGGAGTACCTTCCTCATCATTCCTTCCTGTCCAATCCTCCACCATCTAACCTGATGCTGGGTTAGGCTCTAGACCAAGCTTGTCCAACCCACGGCCCATGGGTCGCATGCGGCCCAGGACAACTTTGAATGCGGCCCATCAAGAATTTGTAATTTTCTTAAAATATTATCAGATGTTTTTTGTGATTTCTTTTCTTTTTTAGTGCATCAGCTGTCGTGAGAGTTAGTATATTTTATGTGTGGCCCAAGACAATTATTCTTCTTCCAATGTAGCCCAGGGAAACCAAAAGATTGGACACCCCTGCTCTAGACCTACCATATTTTTGCTCTACTTGGCATTTTGTAAACCTGGAATTTAGATTTAAAACTCTCCCATGGTACTGCTATCTTCCCTGGCCATTTACTCACTTCCATTCTGGGCCTTTGCTTTGCACTGACCCTCCTCTGCCCAGTTCACTTTATCACTCCCACCTACACTGAGAATCCACTGGGGGTAACATCTGTGAGTTTTCATCGCCTGGAGGACAGTGTGAAGTCCCAGAAGAAGCAAGTGTTTTGGCACTTAATCCTCATAGCTAAGTCTACGTGGTAGATCCTATTATGATCTCCACTTTACAGAGGAAGAAACTGAGGCAGAGAGATGAAGTCACTTGCCTAAAGTCAAGCAGCCTGTATCAGAGGTGAGACTCGAACCCAGCAGCTAGCGCCAGGGTTCAGGCTCTTAACCACTTTGGGGTGCACCTTTGCAGAGTGAGGTTCTTACTACAGATGAGAATAAACAGGAAGAAAAAAGGGGAGGGTCAGGGAGATTAGGAAGCACCATGAAACCCAGCTGGAACTGGGAAGCCTGTCACAGCATCAAGGAAGCTACATGAGTGCTGAGGTTCCCTTCCCATTATTGTCCGTATGGACCACCTGGGGATGGGGTCATCAGGTCCCTGGCCAAACATCCAGTCTGAGGTGATGCCCATTGGTGCCTGGAAACTGCTCAGCCCTCCTCCAACCCACCCCTGAAGGGGCAACTCAGAGTCCAACAGTCCAGGATGCTTTTAAACTCTTCCCCCAACCAGAAGGAGGGGCTCTGGACTTCTAGAGTGATGGTGATAGTAGCACAGAAGAGAGGACCGTATCCCTGACCAAGATCAGACCTGCAAGAACCAACCTGAACCCTCTCATTCAGTAGAACAGCCGTGGGACATAAGCAATAACATTGTGTGGTCAGTGACTCCACAGGCTGCAGCGTTGCTAAATATCCTGGGCCCACCTCCTCCCCTCATTTCTCCCAGCTGGGCTCAAACAGCCTCCTCAGATTCCTCAGCAGAGTTCCTCTTACCCACCAACATGCACTCAGTAATCCTCAAAAAACCATCATTGTCAGCATGGATGATGCCCCCTACTAATCAGCCCAGCCAACTGCTTCAGATCACCTTGACCTGTGGGCACATGAATTCCAAGACCTGGTCTGGCTCCTGGGAAGCCCCCCTTCCCAATGTCTCCCCCATCTCACTGAGTGATAGTCTCTTCTTGGCTTCTGTCCATCCTGGCTCGACCACATTTATTAGCTGTGGGGTCCTAGGTAAGTCATTAACTCCTCTGAACCTCTATTTCCCCATCCCCAGAAGGGGACAATTCTGCTTGCCTTACAGAGTCACTTGAGGATGTAATGAGCTGCCATTTAGAAGGCTCCCAGAACAGAGCATGGCAACAGGAGACTCTTGGCAGTCACTGGTTCCCTATAGTGTCTTCCCTTCCAAATTGCCAAAAGCAAGTGGCTTCCACTTGGCCCTGCTGGTGTCCCTCTTCTGGTTTCTAGGCAGGGCAATCCTGAAGGCCCCTCCACCCCACACATAGGCCCCTTCACTGTAAGTGGGATGAGAACTGAGCCAGACCCCACACAAGTGTCACCAGGACCTGTGCAGAGAAACTCATCAATTCCTACCTCTTTGCACAGTGAGGGACCTCAATCTCGTCCCTGCTGCCTCCCCCCGGGAAGAAAGACTGGGTCATGGAAGAATACCCAGGGGAGAGCGATGTTTGGGCAGCACCTAAAACCATCTTGCTCTGAGCCCCAGAAAAAGCCCCGGAGAGGCCTCCAACTACCGCTCCAGTGGCTGAAATTTCTCCTCTGCAGAAATAGGAATCACAAACAAAACCAGAACAGGAATACTTTCAAAACTCAGAGAACGAAATGTTCAGAACAGAGCGCAAAGCAGGTCCTGCTCCATGGAATGGGAAAGGAAAGTGCTATTCCTTTTTTAAAATTTTCTCCAAGCAAAACATAAGCAGTTTGGATTTCCCAGGCTTGGCATCCTGAACAGTCAGTGGAGTGTCTGCCTCTGCCACCTGCCACCTTAAAGGGTCCAAAAGACACAAAACTCAACAGGGTGATTTCCCAGTTCCCAGGACAGCCCCTCAGACTTTGTTCTCACACTGACAGATCCATTCTGTCCCGGTGGCAGTGCAGTGAGAAAGGGTAACGAGATTCTTTTTCTCATTTTGAACAGTTGACCAATAGAGGCTCAGGGAGGCAAAGTGACTTGCTCCTGGTGATCTGGCTAGTGAGTGCTGGGCTGGGATTTGAACCCATCACCACCAACTGGTAACTTTCAAATTGCATCCTTGGAGTTTTGGGGTCTAGGGGGAGGGAGAGGAGAAGGAGTTGCAGGGAAGAAGAGCAACCAGGTGTCAGGCTTCTTCTACTTCTCTTTCCTCTCGCTCGCTATAGTGATCACATACACAAAGAAGAACCCTTGAGGCCTGTCTGGAAAGCAAGAGGGATGGGCTGGGAGAAAGCTGGAGATATTCACACACGGGTTAATTTCTGTTCCTGTCACACATTAGGGCTATTTGTAACTGTTGGATATAAATTGGCCTCCACATAAGATTTCACTTGAAGAAGGGGATAAACAGCTTAAAAATAATTGAAAATCAGTGCACCCAGCCAAGTCTGTGGCTTGTGCCTACTGGGTGGGTTTGTGATGATGTGTGTTTTCTCTGCCATGGTGTACAGTGAAAACTCTCAAGTCTCCAAGAGGCTGCACAGTGTCAAATGCCAGGCATAATTGGGGTAGGGTGGGGGTGGGGAGGGAAAGGGAATGCCTCTGCTGAATTTGAATTAGAAACTTTAGCTATTATAAAATGGCAACAGTCCCGTTGGTACTGGCAACACTCAAGTGGCCACCTCCCACGACAGAGCTCTGGGGAAGGTTTTGGTCCTTGTAAAGTTTGCCCCTTGGTCTGAGAGGCGTGACTCTTCAGGCAGGGTAGCTGTTGATCCCATGCCAGAGTGTCTGACCTCCCGGCTGGGCTAAGAGGAGGAGACTGGTGCCAGCTAGCACTGAGCCTTCAAGCCCCGACCCTCAGGCATTCAATAACGGGAATAACGGGGTTTTCCCCCATCTAAGCAGAAAACGTCAGACTCCTTGGGCACATTGGGTCAGCCTTGGGCAGATGGTCTGGCTGGGCAACTTCAGAGGGAGGCGGAAGTTTAAGGAAGTCTCTGAAGTCGCTCACACATCTGCAGAGGCTAAAACAGCAATTTCCTTTTGGTGGCTGGACATGGTGTTCCCAGAGGAACACGTGGCCCCCAGGTTCTCGTGGGCAGCCCCTGTTGTCCCCGATCTTTTCTTCTGCTGTTTGGCCTGATCAGAGCCAGAACAAACCTGCCCAAGAGCTGACGGTTCACACAGCAACAGATGCTGCCCAGCCCCCACCAAGGGCCAGGGCCACCAAGATGAATAAGATATAGCTGTGCCCTTGAGGAGCAGGGAGCATGCCAAGAATCCTTGCTTCATCACCAAGTGGGTTCCGGAAGTAATGACCATAGTAGCCACTGTAATTTATTGAGAGCTTACTGTGTGCCAAGCACTCTACATACATTACTTCATTGTATTACCATTATGAGCCACTGGAAAGTGAATCCTGTTTCCAGATCCATTTAACAGATGAGAAGACTGAGGTTCAGAGAGGTTAAGCCAAACATTAAGTGCCATAGGAGAGACTTGAACCCAAGCCAGATGCCTAAGCCTTTATCCTTGACCAAGCTCTGCTGCCCATACCCAGTGTGTCTGGAGTAAGTGGGACCCCAGCCCCACCAAATCTATATTCCAGGGTCCTTGCCTTAGTTTCTCTACACCATACATTCTCAGTGGGGACGATATTGCCCCCTAACACAGCAACAATTTGTTTTCTGTGTCGGGGAACAGAACAAAAAATATTACTTGTTTTACATATAAAGCATACATACAGTATATAACAGATATAGAGCTTACCTGTAATATTAAAAGTTTATGGGGAGTGCAATTAGGAGCAAGTGTCTGGTGCATAGTAGGTGTTCAGGAAACAGCCATCCCCTGCTTCACTGCCTGCTGGAGCCACACATGAATTGGTCTCAATGGGAGCTTTTGTGTATAGGCCTCAGTCTGCCTGGGCCCAACTCCACCCTCAGGCTTTTGGCCCTGGCAGGCTCCATGCCCTAGTCAGCATCCGATAGCACCCAAGCTCACCCTGAACATCCCTGGTGCCTCCTTGGAGGCTCCCGCTCCCCAGAGTTGCCTCCTGGGACTTGTTATAGGTTAAACAGGTAAAGGCCTAGCTCGGCTCAAATGAAACTTGAACACTTCGGGTCGTTGTTGTCAATTTTCCCAACACAGGGAAAAAGGTAATTGTCAATTAACGAGCCCATCAACTGAGGCAGGAGGAAAATCAATAACATGGACCAATACAGAGCTTTCTAATGCCAGTCAGGAATCCAGGAGCGGGAGCCTTTCAAACAGGTACATGGAGTAATTGGCTTTTCCCTTGTGACCCATCCTGCGGACTCTACAACTCTCCAATTAACATGTACCGTTGACAGGCACACAATTATTTGGGTTCACTGTGCCCCAGCCAGTGTTTGTTCAATCAAAACTTGCAAACACGTGGAAAGTGCACAGAATAGCAAATGCAGGGTGTCTCTAGGGGAAGCCAAGTAGTGAATGGGTCTTAAAGGAACCTTGGATTTGACTTCTGTTTCAGAGATCTGCCCTGAGTCTCAGCTCAGATGCTGGCTCCACACCCCTGTTCTGGCCAGCCCCTGACTGGACCTGTCTCCATCCTCATGGGGGAACTCAGAGGAGTCTGCCCATGGCTTGGCCAGCACTCTCCTCCCACAGCCTATGAGAGAGGAAGGGACCAGCCCCCTCCCACCAGCTCCACCAGAGCTAGGAAACAGCTGGGTCTGTGCTTTTGCAGAGGAGGCTCCTACTGCCTAGAACACCATTTCTCACCTCCTCTACCTGGGTCATCTAGGTAAGCCTCCAAATCCTCAGAGATTCTTCCAGAGGTCAAGGGCCCTTCTACTGTGCACCCATGCCATCCTGGCACCACTTCTTCCTTAGCATGTATGCCATCTAATTACACCCATTGGATCACCTCCCTCTTTTCCTCACTAAAAAGTGAGCCTTTGATGTCAGGGACTAAATTTATTTCTCTTTAAACATCATTAGATTATAAGGTGCCAAGTAAATTGTTGTTAGATGGAAGTATGGATAGGTTTTGCCAAAAAGGGTGGGTACATGGATTGATGAACTTGTGGGTGCACAGAGGATCAGGAAGAGGAAGAGGAATGGATAACTAGCAGGGAATAAAGATGGCTGAGTGGTTAGAGGATAAGAAGGGAGAATGGGTGTTGGGTGAAAAGAATAGGAGGGTACATGGGTTTGAAAAGAGGAAGGGTAAGAGACATGGAGGCTAAGTGGTTGGTGGGTAGGTAAGTCCATGGAAGGCCATTCAATGCATTGGTTAGGAGTGTGTTCTCTGGAGCCAGATGTCTTCGGTTGAATCTCAGCTCTGGTATTTCCTGGCTGCGTAATCATGGGCAAATCAATCCTTTTCTCTGGACCTCAGTTTTCTTTCTTATCAGAATGGGAATAATAATAATACAACTTTCCTCTTAAGCTTATTGTGAGGACTAAATTATACCTAGGAAACACTTCCAACAGTGGCTGGCACAAAGAGGACTGAATAAACATTAGTCACTGTGATTTTTGTTATTACCACACTTCGTATTAATAAATGGAGACATGAATGGTTGGATGAATGTGTAGATGGTTAGGTAGATGGGTAGATAGGTGGATGACGGGAAAATGGATAGATGGGCGAGTTAATTCTTATGTAGGTGAGTGAATGGATGGATAGTGGGGAGGAAGAGCATGGGAGTGGGATGGACAGAGAAATGGCTGCTCTGTGCCTAGGGTAGCAGATGCATCTATCAAAATCCTGTTGGACTCCTCCCTTTTAAATTCCTGCTCCTGGCACAGTTCTTTTGTTCTTTCTTCTGGAACCAAGCAGCTGGTAACTCAGTCCCTGTACTCCTCTCATAGAGCTCTGCCCCCAGCCCAAACCAAGTCTCCTCCTAGAAGCTGACACCCCTAGGCCTCCTCTGAATCTGCTGGGAGCTTGGGCTTTCAGTGATCCGCTGGAAGGAGTAGGACACAACTTCCCTCTATCGCTCCTTATTACTGTTGAGGTCATGGAATTGCCCTTACTCCCCCCAGGACACTGAGGGAATTGACTGAGCACCTCCTACTTACCAGTCACCTGGCACCAGTTATTTTATTTCATCCTCATTACAACCCTAGAAGGTAGGGTATAACTATTCCCGTTTTACACGTTAAGAAGTCAAGGGCTTGGAGTCACAGAGAACAAGGAGAGGAGTAAGGATTTGAACCCCAGTCTCCTACTCCAATGCCAAAGCTCCTTCCACAATCCCAAACTTCTTGGGATCCTCAGAAAGTCCTGTCCCATTTCCAGGGTGCATACAAAATGCTGCTTGGGAACAAAAGCTGGAATGGTGCCATGATTCTGGACAGAAAAATGTCTTCTAGGGATAAAATTATATTTCTTATTGATTTTGTAGTAGAGCAGCTTGGCTAGAAACAAGTTCTGTTTATCAGTTTAAAGAGTTCAGCCACCCCTGGTCCACAGCCCTACTCCTATAATGGTGAAGAACATGGACATATTTTCCCCTTTGGATGCAAGGATACTGCTACCTGATGTGTCATCTCCCCATGGGAGTGGTCCTGGGACTGGCCAAGTGGGTGACCTGGGTCTTCTCTGCCCCATCTCTTGGGGTGGCAGCTAATCCTGAAATAGCTTCAGTAGAGACTCACTTTCAGGGTATCTTGGATCTTAAATGGGATTTTTGGGGACCAAAAACCTACCAGAATCATGAGTGGATCCTGAATTGTGGAATTTCAGGCACTGCATCAGCCAGGTGCCTCCCGCATCACCCCATGTGGGCAGTTGGACATGCCTCTTGGTCAGGCACAGTCTTCTCCCTGGGCCAGGCTCTTTGAGATAATTAATAAATATCTAAAAACTTAGTGTTATATGATGTTCAAAGCACCATTTCTTATTATTTAAGAATCTCACTTATGAACTTGAACAGTCAAATTCCAGATGCATATTAGGTAATAATTCAGTAATACATTTTGAAAATATGCTATGATTAAGTAATATTTAACCCAGGAATGCAGGGTTAGTTCAATATCAGAAAAATTATTATATAATACAGCATACTAGCAAATTAAATAGAAAAATCAGAGTATCACTTCAAAAGATGCAGAAAACATATTTAATAAACTCCAACATGTACTCATAATAAAAACAAACAAACTTTTGGCAAAGTAGGAAAATAAACAAACTTTCCTAATCTGTTCAATTTTATCTATCAAAAAATTAAAGCAAACATCACATTCAATGATGAAACTTTAGACATAGTTCTGCTAGTCAGGAACAAGATAAACAAAATTTCTGTCATTGATTTTGTTCAACACTGAACTGGGTATCCTAATCAATGCAATAAGAAGAGAAAAATACATAAATTGCATAAGAATTAGAAATCAACTGTATTAGTCCATTTTCACACTGCTGACAAAGACATACCCAAGATGGGACAAATTACAAAAGAAAGAGGTTTAATTGGGCTTACAGTTCCACATGGCTGGGGAAGCCTCACAATCATGGCAGAAGGCAAGGAGGAGTAAGTCACGTCTTACATGGATGGCAGCAAAGAGAGAGCTTGCGCAGGGTAACTCCTCTTTTAAAAACCATCAGATCTTGTGAGAGTTATTCACTATCACAGAACAGCATGGGAAAGACCTGCCCCTGTGATTCAATTACCTCCCACTGGGGCCCTCCCACAACATGTGGGAATTCAAGATGAGATTTGGGTGGCGACACAGCCAAACCATATCAGAAACAAATCTGTCTTCACTTGCATTCCTATATAGAAAATCCCAAAGAATCTCCAAGAATGAGTAAGAGCTCACCACAGTTGCGAGGTGAACTCAAGGTCAATATATAGACATAGATTGTGTTCCTGTTCATTAGCAATAACCAATTCAAAACTGTAATAAAAAAATACTATCAAAACAGCAAGACATCCTGAAAGGTACCTAGGAATAAATTGAGCAAAAGATGTGCCTGATTTTATGGAGAAATTTATACAGCATTACAGAAGGAAATAAAAAGACAAACTAGAAAGACTGAGGGGGTTATGGGAAATGAGAATGACGGAGAGAGGGCAGGTGAGAAGACTTCTCCAAGGCCCATGCCATGTGGACTTTGTACAGGTTGAGATAAAAGTTAATGGAAAAAGCAAAGAATGATTAGGATCCTGGACTATGGGCACTTGAGTAAACTTCTTTCTCGCAAGGGGCTGGCTGCACTTCCATGCTCATTTATTAAAGCATAGATCATGCACATGCTATTTCGTCACTAGCTTTTTCCCACTTAACAATATAGCATGGATATTTCCCAGATCATTAAATGGTGTTTGATTTTTAAAAATATATTGAGAACAGTTCTCCAAGTCGGACAAGCCTGGGCATTCCCCCTATTTCAGAGATGAGGACACCGAGGTGCTAGGGAAGGAGGAAGATTCACCCAGCACCTATTACATATCATCCAGTTTTCCCAGCCACCCTAGGATACAGAATATTTTTCCTCTATTTTACAAATGAGGGAATGGGGCAATGCAGGTTCCAGCTGCTGAATCACAGGGCTGGGACTCACACCTGTCTTTTTGTCTCTCTCAGAATGCTCAGCATAGTGCTGTGTGGAAAGAAATTTATTCAGTCATCCAACACGTGCTGTGTGC
Organism: Homo sapiens; assembly: GCF_000001405.40. Lineage (NCBI taxonomy): Eukaryota > Metazoa > Chordata > Mammalia > Primates > Hominidae > Homo > Homo sapiens. The sequence continues at coordinate 45,417,783 of NC_000011.10, read as the reverse complement.
CCACTCTGCCTGGCATTGTGGGACAACTTGAGAGGCAGCAGTGAACAAAATCAAGATCCTGACTAAGTTTCCTGGGAGTGATACAACAAGCTCCTTCTAAAGGTTCTTCCTCACCTCTTCCAGCTTCTGGCAGCTCCTTGCATTTTTTGGCAGCGTAATTCCAGTCTCTACCTCTTCCTGTGGCCTTCTTCCCTGAGCCTCTGTCTCAAATCTCTCTCTCTCCTTTCTCTTTTTTTTTCTTTTTTTTTTTTCTTGAGACGGAGTCTCGCTCTGTCGCCCAGGCCGGACTGCGGACTGCAGTGGCGCAATCTCGGCTCACTGCAAGCTCCGCTTCCCGGGTTCACGCCATTCTCCTGCCTCAGCCTCCCGAGTAGCTGGGACTACAGGCGCCCGCCACCGCGCCCGGCTAATTTTTTGTATTTTTAGTAGAGACAGGGTTTCACCTTGTTAGCCAGGATGGTCTCGATCTCCTGACCTCATGATCCACCCTCCTCGGCCTCCCAAAGTGCTGGGATTACAGGCGTGAGCCACCGCGCCTGGCCTCCTTTCTCTTATAAGGCTCCAGTCATTGGATTTAGGGCCCTCCTTAAATCCAGGATGAACCCATCTCAAGATCCTTAACTTAATTTGTAAAGAGCTTATTTCCAAATAAGACGAAATCATAGGTACCAGAGGCTAGGACTTGGACATAATTTTGGGCCAGAGTCCAATTCAACCCACTACATTCTAATGGAGGAAAATGGACACCAGCCTACTTTGTAATGGAGGAAAATGGACAACAAATAAATATATAGCATGTGAAATGGTAAAGAATGCTGTTCCAAAGAAGGGGAAAAGAGGGAAGAAAGAATCTATGGGGGCAAGCACTGCAGTTCTAAATGGGGCATTCAGGGAAGGCCTCACTGTGAAAGTAAACATTTGAGCAAAGACATGAAGGTGGCCACAGAAAAAGCCACATAAGTATCAGCATGAAAAGTGTCCCAGGGAGAGGAAAATAGCAAGTATAAAAGCCTACAGGAAGGAGCATGCCTGGAAAGAACTGAGCATGGGGAAGAGAGGGAGGAAGGCAGTGGTGGGACTTGGATCACAGAGGACCTCATGGGCACTGTTCCTCTGACCAAGATGAAAGCCATTGGAGGGATGGTTTTGAGCAGAGAGGTTGATGTAACAGAGAATGTTAGCTGCCTTATGGAGACCAGTGAGGAGGCAACTGCAGCAACCCAGATGGGAGATACTGGCTTGGACCAGGTAGCAGCAGCGGAGGTGAGGAGGATTGGTGGAATCCTGGGCGCATTTTGAAGATTGGGTCAGTAGCATTTCCTAATAGATGTGGAATGTGATAAAAAGAGAAGAGTCCCAGATAACAGTGAGGTGTGTTAGTCTAAGCAATTGCAAAGATGGAGTTGCCATTAACTGAGTTGGAGAAGGATGTAGGTGGAACAGAATTATAGGGGAAAGACAGGAATTGAGTTTTGGACATGTTGAGTTTGAGATATTGTATTAGTCTGTTTTCACACTGCTATGAAGATACTACCTGAGACTGCATAAATATACAGGAAAGAGGTTTAATTGACTCACAGTTCCACATGGCTGGGGAAGCCTCAGGAAACTTACAATAAATGGCAGAAGGGGAAGCAAACTCATCTTTCTTCACAAGGCAGCAGGAGAGAGAAGTACAGAGCGAAGGGGAGAAGAGCCCCTTATAAAACCATCAAATCTCGTGAGAACTCACTCTCATGAGAACAGCATGGAGGAACCATCCCCATGATCCAATCACCTCCCATGAGGTCCCTCCCCCAACACATGGGGATTACAATTTGGATTATAATTCAAGATGAGATTTAAATGGAGACACAGAGCCAGACAATATCAGATATCAACTAAGAAGAGATGATGTTTAAATAGTTGGATATTTGAGTCTGGAGTTTGTGGCGAGGTCTGAGCTGCAGATATGAATTTGGTTGTCAGCATAGAGACAATATTTAAAACTGTGAGAATGGATAAACAGGAACAAGGACTAACCTTCGCAAAGCACACCTCAACATTAAGAGATCGAGGCGGGGTGCGATGGCTCATGCCTGTAATCCCAGCACTTTGGGAGGCTGAGGAGGGTGGATCACAAGGTCAGGAGTTCGAGACGAGCCTGGCCAACATAGTGAAACCCCGTCTCTACTAAAAATACAAAAAATTAGACAGGCACAGTGGCAGGCACCTGTAATCCCAGCTACTCAGGAGGCTGAGGCAAGAGAATTGCTTGAACCCGGGAGGTGGAGGTTGCAGTGAGCCTAGATTGTGCCACTGCACTCCAGCCCAAGTGACAGTGTGAGACTCTGCCTCAAAAAAAAAAGTGAGAGATTGAAGAATGGGACCCAACAAAGGAGGCTGAAATGTGTGACCAGTGAGGTGGGAAGAAAACTAGGGGAGGGTGGTGTCTGGGAACCAAGGGAATAGTGGTTTAAAGAGGTGGTGATCAATCTGTGAAATGCTGCAGCTGGGTCAAGTAAGACGAGCACTGAGGAGTGGCTTTTGGTGCCTTAGAGGTCTTTGGTGTCCTTGGTAAGAGCAGGTCCAATGGAACTGTAGAGATGAAAGCTGGCTGGAGTGGAATTAAAACAGAGCAGAAGAGGAACTGGAGACACCCCGCAGAGACAACTACTTACAGGTGTTTTGCTGTAAAGAAGTAGAAGGAAATGGAGTAGTGCTGGCTGAGATGGTAGGGCCAAGAGATGTTTTATAACTTTCTAGAAAGGGAGAAACAGCAGCACGTTCATATGCTGAGGGGAATGACCAGATAAAGAGGGGAAATTGGCAATACAGGATAAAGCAGAGGAACTCTCTGGACACTGTGCTCCAGGAAGCTAAAGTGGATGGGACCTGGGGCTCAGGTCTAAGGAAGGGCTGCCTTAGGCGCATGGGCAATCCGTTTCATCAACGGGAGAGAAGGCAGAGGATGTTGCAGGCACAAGTGCTGGAAGTGGGTACCTGGGGAGCTGGTGGAAGATCTCTTCCAATTGCTTCTATTTTCCAAGTAAACTCGAGTAAGGCCTTCAGCTGAGGGGAGGAATGGAGGAGGAAGAACTGGAGGCAAGAGAAGGCAGATCTAGGAGAGGGGCAGGATGAATGCACTGGAGAAAATATTAATAAATAAAGCAATTGAAGGCAGCACAATGGACCCACTTGAGAGCTGTTTGCTGTGTGCTGGTTGAAAGAGGAAGTAAATGAATGATTTTGAACTCCATGAGGACGCCTCTATATTGTGCTGTTTCTAGTCCTCAGCACAGAGCCTGGCATTTGATATGGATTTGTTGATTGATAACCGAATGAATTAATGAGCACATGAGTAGCAAAAAGAAGGGCTGTCCTGCCTGTCTGAGGGTGTTTTTCATTCAGCCACCATGATCTCCTTCTCTTGGAAGGCAGAGTGAGACCCCAGGCAGCTGTAAGACCTGAGGCACCAGCCATATTGAAGGAAGTTAATTAACTCTGCGTGTTTTTCCCTTCTGTTCTCAACTGTGGAAAGCTTGCCTTTGTTCCTGACAACCTCAATTAGCTCCTGCTTCTCCTGAGCTCCCCCATCCCCACCAGAAGGCAGTTGCTGTGGTCACTGGCCTGTTTCTGGGCAAGCAAGGTAGCCTGGCTTCCCCTGCAGCCTCCTACCTCCTCAGACCCCACGGGCACTCCCTGCACTGGGTGTGCCCAGTGACAGGGCAAGATGGTGCCATGAGCCCTCCCAACCCACCCCTGCTGAACAGTGAGGCTGCCCTGGACTCACTCCAAAGCCCAGGCATCCCGCCCGGCCACTCCCATCTCTTGACCCCTGAAAAATGCCCTCTCCTGGGCTTTTTGTCCAAGGCAGCCAGGCCCTACCTGGGCCTCTGCTTCTTCAGTGCCTTGTACAGTGATTCCTGTCCTGTGCAGACAGAGATGCTGTGATCCCAGGAGAGATCTGGGCATTGGGACCCAGCACGTGTAGTTTATAAATCTCCACAGGTGATACGGTTTGGCTGTTCCCCCCACCCAAATCTCATCTTGAATTGTAGCTCCCATAATCCCCACGTCTCATGGGAGGGACCCAGTGGGAGGTAATTGAAAGACGGGGCAGGTTTTCCTGTGCTGTTCTCGTGACAGTGAGTAAATTTCACAAGGTCTGATGGTTTTATGACAGGCAGTTCCCCTGTACAAGCTCTCTTGCCTGCCACCATGTAAGATGAGCCTTTGCTCCTCCTTCCTCCATGATTGTGAGGCCTCCCAGCCATGTGGAACTGTGAGTCCATTATACCTCTTTTTCTTTATAAATTACCCAATCTCGGGTATTTCTTCATAGCAGTATGAGAATGGACTATTACACCAGGTGTTTTTAAAACATAGCCAAGGTTGAGAACCACCTCATCCTCCATAAAACCAGGCCAATCATTCCTTTGTCATTATGAGGAATTTTTTTTAAAAAGCAGAGCAGCTAGTATTTATTGAGCAATTACTATGTGCTCAGCACTTAGTCTTCCTTAACCGCCATAGCAGTCCTATGAGGTAGGTATCATTAGTCACATTTAACAGATAGGGAAGCAAGCTCAGAGATAGGAGTAAACTTGTTCTGGGGCGTTTAGCTGTAAGTGGGCAGAGTGAGGGTTTGAACCCAGGTCTGTGTGACTCCAAGGCAGGTTGACATTTGCACCTGGCACATGGTGGGCCTTTGTCCATATGGGCTATTTTCTTTCTTTTCTCAAATATACAAATAATGATAATCCCAAGCAGGACAAGTGAAGTGTTTTTTGTTTTTTGTTTTTATTTTTAATCTGGGCTACAGACCAGACCAGTGGTAGGCAGGGATGTCAGTGAGGTGGTGCAGTGCAGCCCACCTGGAAGGTGTTGGGAGGGCTGGGTGAAGGAGTGGAGGGGGCATTTGAACTGGGAATTTAAAAGCCACTGAAGGTCTCTGAGAAGGAAAGTGATCAGACCAGAGCAGGAAAGAATCAGCAGGGGAGGGGAGGTAAACAGGAGGTGGTAAGCCCAGTCGGGAGGTTACTGCAATAGTCCAGGCAGGGAGGAGGGGCAGGCAGGTGACAAGCTGCACACAGGGCCATACAGGCATCCAGGGCAGCCCCTGCACCCAGCTACCTTTCTGCTGGAAGGCCGTTTTCACAAGGCAGCCGGAAGCACTCCCGGGTAATCTCGTCTGGAGATGACTGCATTTCATTATAATTTAAGCCTTTCTTGGGCTTCATCAAAGGCTATGAGTGTCTTGAAAAAGAGAAGCATCTCTTTCCTCAGGTAAGGGGAAAACACGCCAGAGCTTTCTCTTCTAATATAAACTAGACAAGGAGATGCAGCTGAGCTTGGCAGAGCCTGCCGGAGAACGCTAATAGACTCGACGAGGGAAGAATTATAGAAAGAGACAGCTCCAGAGGGTGGTGGGGCAGGAAGAGAAAGAGGCCCCGAGACTGCCAGCCCCAGGTGGGCTAGTAAGGAGCTGGATCAGTGTCAGCAGATGTGGCCCGAGGGCCTGCATAGACTCAGCATCTCATCTGGCGAGAAGCTTCTCTGCCTGGAGACCAGAGAGATAAGACCCCTCGCCCCTAGCATCCTTCCGGCTGGTTTCCAGTGATCCCATTAATTATGGAGGCTCGGGGACTGGAGTGGAATCCTTAGCGTTTCCTGTATGGGAGCTCTCAGTGGGGGAGGATGGAAGTGACCTAGAAACATTTAGCCCGGGGAAAAAAATAACCCAAGCAGGTTTGACACTCCCACCTGAGGCTGGGAAGGGGTTGGGGGCTATCATGTGTATATGAGTGTTTTAAGATATTATCTCAGACAGTTTGATGTCCCATGAAACATTAAGAAGGTGTTTTGCTTTTTAAAAATCAGATTATTTTCCTTTTGCCTTTAATAAAAACCAGCACTGGTCTCTGACTCACAGGCTTAAAACAGCCTTCACTGGTTACCGAGGATGGGATTTCAGCAGTGGCACAGGCTGGAACGGTTCTCAAATAGGAAATCGAATACTGGGAAGACAAAGGAGGGGAGAGGGAAGAGGGGAGGGAGAGGCAGAGCAAGAAATAAATTTGGAGTTAATGCTGAGTGAGGGAGGGCTTCACTGCTGGCTCCCCGGGTGCTCCTGAAAGGCTGCTCAGCCCCAGGAGTGAGCAAAGCAGGAGTTCTTGGCTCCATCCTGGCAGCCCATTTGTCCCCTGCCAGCCAGCCCTCCGGACCACAGGGCTACTCTTCCCAGCTTGTGAGGGAAGCGTCCTCTGTATCAGAGGCCTTTGAATCTTAAGCAAATGCCCTGTCACACAGGAGAGAGGCTGTAACCTCCCCCAGGGAGGGCACGGTCACTCAGAGTTGATATGGTGGCTACAAGGCTGATGGTCACCAGTCATCAGGGCCTGGGAGGCAGGGTGGGAGGCAGGGTGGGAGGCAGGGCAGGAGGTCAGGTGAGAGGTGGGAGAATGGGGAAGGGGGAAGGTGAGGATTGTAAGAGAAGGTGGTCCCTGCTCTAGTCTCTCTCTCTTTCTCTCTGTGTTTGCCTTGCTTTGTCTTTCTCTTCTATCTTCCTCTCAGTCTCTGGATCATTTTATCTTATGGTCTCTCTCATTCTTTGTCTCCATCCCTCTTTCTCTGTCTGAATCTTTTCCTCATTTCAGAAAAATGGCTGAACTTGTTAAGCCAGAGATCAAACACCCCAGCGGGCTGAGTGCGGACAAGGGAACACGGCTTTAACATCTGCTGCTCTCTTTCTGTGCGACACAGAGGGCTCCCCACAGAGAGGAAGGGCAGGGAGGTGGAGGCGGGGTGTGGGTGAGAATTCCTGCAAACCTTGGCATTGTCCTGGTCGGGGGTCGGGTTGGGAGGGGTGATAAGGACAAGGGAAGGGAAATCGGACAAGAGACAGACCCACATGCTGACCAGGGTACTCACAGACAGACAGGGAAGGCCCCCACCTCGAGGGAGGAAGCAGATCCAGTGAGGGCCACCATGCCCCAGGGGAGTCAGGGGCTCTGAAGCTGCTGCCTGACAACCTCTGCACTTTGCACAGAGTGAAAGGAAATTTATAGGAGTGAAGGACGTGGACTAAAGCCCTCTGAACTAGCAGCATTAAGAATGTCATTTCAGCAAGTCCTCCTAACAGCCCTGCCAGGGTACTCTTCCTGCCCTAAAGATGCGTGAAGTCACCAGGCCAGGAATGTATGCAGTGCCCCTGGCCAGGGAGGTGCAGGGCTGACTCCTTGGCCTGCACTTTTTCCAGCCATACTTATTCCTGCAGAAGATGGAAGCTTGTCTTGCAGCAGGTTCAGAATAAAGGCAATTGGGTGAGGGCGCAGCCTTGGTCTGAACCTAAAGGGAGAAGATGGAGGGACAGAGGGTGTCCAAGCCTGCTGAGAGGACCTGCCCTCCAGGGTTGCCTTTCAGAGGCAGGTTGGGAATGTAGCTCCCTGGGCCCAGGCTCATTCTGAGAGACAGGTCATTCTGTTGCTCTGAGGAAAGGGAAGGGAAGGAGGAAATGAGAGAGGGAGAGAAAGACAGGGAGAGAGAGAGAAGCACAGTCTTCCCACTTCTTTCTGCCCTCTTCCTGGAATGCGGACCTGCCAGTCGCCAGAAAGAAAAGAGAATATTTGATCAATCTATTGAGCTTACTGTGTGCCTGTGCCAGGCATGGTCACAGACAAGCTCTTTTCTCACCATCACAACAATCCCATCCCTATTTTACGGAGCAGTAAACTGAGGCAAGAAGAGCTTAAGCAATTTGCTCAAGCTCCCAGAGCTGGTAAGCAGCAGAGCCATGGTCCTCATGCACAGCCCCCACTTGCATATTTTCCTGGGCCCCAGTTCATCTCTCTCTCTCTCTTCTCCAAACATAAAGCCTGGAGCAATGAGCAATGCAGGCAGGCCCTGCTAGGGCAGTGCCACAGGGAGAGGAGAAGATAGAGGACAGAGCTGGCCCACACACAGTATCACAGCAGCCTGCAGAGGTGTCATTTTTAACAGCAGCAGCCTGTCTATGCCTCTCCTCTGCCAGCTCTCGATGACATCAGGCCCCTTCTCCAGGGAGCATGACTCAGGTCGAGTGCGATTGTGGTCAGTGGGGCACACGGATAGGTGAGGTAGGGCTGGAGGAGGGGACCAGGGAGTCTGCTGTAGCGTCCGACAAAGGGGCCTCTTTATTCCCTGAGCTGGGATGTGCTTGGGGCTCCCAACCTTATGGGGCTGGAGATGAAAGGCAGGGGCTTCCGCTATGTCACCTGGACAGGCCCTGAGCAGGAGAGGCAGCCATTCCTGTGAGAGGGGAGTGGGGTGCTGGGAGGAGGGGCTGGGTACCAGACAGGTTGCCAGGCACGCTTTACATGAGCATGTGAACCGAGGCCCCACACCTGATACCGACATACACATGTAACACACAGCAGCACCTACCATATGGCTGATGTGCGTACCTCGTGCCTGCCTCCGACATGAGCAACCTGCACCCGATGCTGACATGATTGTAAAAATGAAACTCGGATATGGCTCCTGACATTCGACACTGTTTACTTAATCCATGACGGATACGCAGCTTTCACATACTCATCCACTCAACCGTGACTTTGAAATGCCCACCCCCATGTGCCAGATGAGCTGCATCTCACACAACACCTTGACCTGTGCACTTGGCTTGGTATGATGCTAACCTAACACAAAGGTCAAGCCGACAGCCACAGGACAGGTTGGACCAGCTGCCTGGTTTTCTTTACCTTTCAGGGTCAAAAAATGTCTTGAGCCGATTTTTCAATATCAGGAGATTGACATACAAATCAGAAGGTCTGGCTTTCCTGGGTGCTAACTCACCGGGCTTCACTGGCTGGTGCTGGACAGGGCTCTCCCAATTCAGCAGGAACCCTGCCCCTGCCATGTCTCATTCCCACAGCCCACCTGGCTCTGCAAGCCCAGGGCTTTGGGACCTGGGTCTGACACGTGCCTGTGGTCCCCAAAACAAGTTCTTTCTGGTTCTTAACAAATTCTTCACAACTTCCCAGCTCAAAAGGATGGAGGCAGCCAGCTACAAGTGAGAAGGCCTGATCCTAGGTCAGTGCCTGGCTGCCTGCCCTCAGATGGCAGATGATGTATTTCTTCAGGGGACACTCAGACTGGACACATTGAGTCAGTCAGGGTGGCAAGTGGAGTCCCTATGGCCTGCCCCTGAGCTTCCAGGGAATCCTGACATCCTGTCTGCATGATCAGTGAGTCAGGCCAGGCCACTCTGGGGCTGGGGAGCCAGGCTGACCCTCCACAGTGGTGACTGTGGGAACCAGAGCTGGGCTGTGTGGAAGAAGGTGGAGACTTTGCCTTTCACAGGTTGCATCTCCTTCTCCAGTTCTTGTTCAATGACTGTTCCAGGGCACCTGTAATGAGACAGGCCCTGTTTGAGATATGAAGAGGGAACTAAAATTTAATCCCTTTCCTTAAGACACCCAATGTTCAGGGAGAAGACAAAAGACCACGTGTGACCCCACATTCTGGCTGACTTTACAGTTCAAGTTCAGGGAGAGGCCCAATCTAATGCTGAGGTTGAGGAGAGCACTCTAGTTGGGGCGAAATCAGGAAGGTTTCATGGGGAATGAGGCTTTTGTGTTGGGCCTTAAAACATTTCAACAGGGAGAGATGGTCAGAGAGTTGAGGGTGGGGAGGCAAAATGAAGGGCAGGGAATGTGGTCCCATATGGAAACAGGGGCATTTTCAAAGTGGCTGCTGTGCACGATGTTAACATGGATTTCTGTGTCTTCTGTGGTCAAATAAACATGGAGACTATTAGGTTGAATAAAAGTTTAACACGTTGCTCTGCAGGGTTTCAGAGCCTTTACTAATATGCATGTATGGTCACTTTTCAAGAAGGCATGGAGAATACAGAATTTTCCGAATTTGTCTCCAGGCCCCACCACCACCTTCTCTCTTTTTATCTGTAGCTGGGGAGCACCCATTGGGCTGGCGGGAAGGGGGCAGATGAGGTAGTAGACAAAAACCAGGAACAGAGGCAAAGCCAGATCATGCTAGGTGACCTAGGTGCCAGGCAGCAGCTTTACTCTGCGGGTATTGGGAACATGAAAGGTTTCTAGGCAGAAGGTGACATTATCAGGTTCACTAGCAGTTTACAAAGATCAAGGTGCTGATTGAAGAGGGTGGAGGAAAGAGCAAGATAGGGGCCAGGATAAGGATAAAGGCTCAGCCCTGGACCAGCAAGGGGAGGGGAGGGTGGCAAGGGGAGGGTGGCAAGGCCTGGGGAGGAGTCAGAGGGAGGAGGGTCTGACAGCATCATCATGGGGCAGCAAGGTCCTGCTGGCTTCTCTCAGGAAGGAGAGTGGCCATCGGTTCCCTTCCAAGCAGTGTGGAAAGGTCCAAGGGTCTGAGGATGCTGCCCACCCACGTAGGAGAGCTGTCCCTCCAGGGCAGGGGTGACCCCTGCTTTATGCAGGGGCAGACGGCCAACAAGAATGGCTCCCTACTGTGTGTATTTGACCTCCTGCACCTCGTTTCCTCAGCTGAAATGGGAATAGAGGTAAACCAGGGGTGTTGCAAGGATTGAGAAGCTGTGGAGTGCCATGCAGCTTTCAGTGAAAGTCACTTTCATGTTGCTTAGGCTAGCAGCTTCATGGTGAACTAAGGCTCTGGAGTTAGGCAGAAATGGAGTCAAATCCTGGCTTTGCTCTTTTTATTTTTCTTTTATATGAGACAGGGTCTCACTCTGATGCCCAGGCTGGAGTGCAGTGGCACAATCATTGCTCACTGCAGCCTCGACCTCTGGGGCTCAGGTGATTCTCCCATCTCAGCTTCCCGAGTAGCTGGGACTACAGGTGTGTGCCACCATGCCCCGGCTAATTTTAAGTGTTTTTTTTTTGTTTTTTTTTTTTGTTTTTTTTTTTGTAGAGAGATGGGGTTTCACCATGTGGCCCAGGCTGGTCTTGAACTCCTGGGCTCAACTGATCCACCTAGTTCAGCCTCCTAAAATGCTAGGATTACAGGCATGAGCCATTGTGCCTGGCTATGGCTTTGCTCTATATTAACTGTGTGGCCTTTGTCAAGCCATCTAACCTCACTAAGCCTCAGTTTCTGCATTTGAAATGCGAACCCCCAGTGTTCCACACTAGGAGTAGTAAGAATTAAGTGAGAGATTGCTTCTGAGGTGCTATATAGTGCTTGACACAGTGAGTGCTCAATAAATATTAGCTATCGTTAATTTTAATATTAATGAGATTTTATACTATTTGTAATAAAAGTCCAATAAAAGTTGAATTTAGATTACAGGATTTTAAAATGCAGGTTTATTACTTTTAGGTACATACAGTGACCCCTATTGGGCTACTGCAATATTGGCAGATAGTCTTTGGGGAACTGTAAGAATCACAGGAAAATAATGATTTGCAATTAATGGCTTGTTTCTATATCATATAAGGTACTTCTCAAGCACTTAAAACGAGTTTCTGCAGTTCCACAGTCCCTGTGGGCCACTAGAATGTGGCCCCAGGTGTTTATTTGCTGACCAAGGCTCTTCTCAGAGCAGGAGGGCCAAGTCCAGGTCTGGACCAGGGTCATCACCAGTCAGGAATGAAAGACAGGAGAAAGGCTGAGGAGAGGCCCTACCACAGAGAGCCCTGTTAGAAGAACCAGGCAGACAGAGGTCAGAGGAACCCCAAGATCTTCTCCCTCATAGCTGGGGGCAGTGAACAGAGCTCAGGGCTCACTCCCTGGGGGATAGACGCATGGGGCACCTGGAGTCATGCAAAGGCCATGCACCTGGCCACCTGCTCCTCCATGATGGTGAACTGGAGGCTGCCACAGTGACTTCCTCTGGCTCACTGTCTACCAAATTCCATGCTTTCCTGCCTCCAGAGCAGTAAAATTATGGCACCTGGCTGGCCAGCTAGATTACACTTCACAGTCTCCTTTGCAGTTAGGTCAAGTTCTCGCCAATGGGATGTGAGCACAAGTGATGCATGCCCCATTCAAGCCGGAGCCTTTAAGACAATGGGCCCACCTCCATCTCAATCTCTTTCTCCTTCCTCCTGCCTACAACCAGGACATGGGTGAGACCCAGCTTCACCCACAGAGAGGTTCAAAATACCCTGGGGAATTGTGGAGAAACAGATGGAAGGAACCTGAGACCCTAAATCAGCTACCTGCCCAAAACTATTGTAAAAGAGAGAAATAATTATTTTTCTTTAAGATACTGGATTTTGCAAAGGGGGTCTCTGTTACTACAGCTTAGCTTCCCCTGACTAATACAGGGATTTCCAAAATATTTGACAGAAGAGGACGCAAGGAAAGTCACTTTTGAATCTAGAATTGTTGGTTTCCTCTTCATTAACAGCAGAAGGAACATCTAGTCTCATCGGGTTACATCTAGTATTTTTTGTTGAGCTTCTACTGTATGTCCAGTACTGAGGGAAAGTCTAGGGATACAAAGAAATAGAAAACAACAAAAATATTGCAACTCCTTGACCCATCACAGTAGGACTTCGGTGAAATTTCCCAGATCACTTCATCCCATCTTACTGCATACTCTGTGTTCCAGCTCCCTGGGTCTATACGAGCTCCCAAACATACCATAGGCTGGGTGTCTCCAGATCTTTGCTGATGCTGTACCCTCTGCCTGGAATGCCCATTCTCTTCTTCCTCACTGATTAAATGTCCCTTATCCTTCCAGACTTTCTCTGTGGTAGAGTTAACTCTTCTTTCTTGGGTCGTATTACCAGGAAGGTGCAAATCTCTGTTTTTTAGGTGGGCAGTCAGTGGGTCCTATTAAACTTTGGATGCCCAGTACTGAGCACAAGGGCTGGCAAAGAACAGGGGCCCACAAACACTCATTCATTTGACAAACACCAGTCAGGTCCCCTAAGAAGGACAAGGGACAGAGCAGTGAATAAGACACACATCTTTGCCCTCAGTTTATATTCTAGTAGGGGAGATGGATATTAAACAGACAAATAAACAACTATGTAATTACACATGATGATGTATGATGTAAGGAAATGGACAAGCCATGGGGATGAGAGCTTTGGATGGGCGAGCACTTTCAGACAGGAGGCAGGGATGGCCTGTGTGAGGAAGTGCTGTGTAAGCTGAGACTCAGGGAAGTGAGAGTCAGGGGGAGCAGGAGGGTGTCTGTGGTGGGGACGGTGCTCAAGCAGAAGACACAGTTTGTGCAACTGCTTGGAGACAGGACAGAGCTTGATAGGTCATCATAAGGAAATGAGCAGGGGGACAGCGATGGAGATGAGACAGGGTGGTGGTGAGGATTTGGGGGTTTTATCTCCTGAGCACTAGGCAGCCATCGATGGCTTCAGGTAGAGTAGTGACCCAGTCTGATTTCCATAACAGGAGAGGAGTTTACTGCAATGGTCCCAGCCCAATCTGATGGAGCCTTGGACTCAGGAGGATGGTGATGGGGAAGGAGTGAGCTGCATAGGGTTGTGCTGTGGAAGTAAAGTGGACGTACTGGGCGTGGGAGTGGAGGGAGATGGAGGAGTCAAGGTTGACTCCTGGAGATTTCTGGAATTGGGGATGGGAGGGTATTAGAAGAGGTGGAGGAAGGGAAGAGGATCTGTGTCTTCAAGAAGCATGGAGCTGTAGCGATGGAGCAGAGGTTGCAACTGAACAAGACCATTTGCCCCTTTAAACAAGTGCTGTCAAGAGTGAATGAGGAAGAAGAGGATTTATTTAAACTTAAAGATTTATGCTGATAAAGAGTGGAAACAACCTATATATCCAGCAATAGGGGACTGGCTAAATTAGAGGGTCTCTCTATAACAGATCACTCTGCAGCTCTATAAAAGAACAAAGAGTATTCCAGAAACAAACTGTTGTCCTCATTTTCCCCATATTAATGATACCTTTTAATCAACACAAGGTAAAGATAGTCTGCCTATTGTTTTTGGTGGCTCCCCTTATAGAGTTAAAACAGAGCAAAACTATATGGCAGGAGAAAGCATTTGAGGAAAAAGCAGTATTTGGTCTGGGTAATCTAGGAGGGGATGGCAGTTCCCCAATCCCTAATGTCTTCAGTGAGTCATTCCTCGAGGTGACTATACAGAAAGTGAATCTTGAGGGAAGAAATAAGACATTGACAATGGGAAGAAAGTATGTTCTGCAGCTGTGGCTTCTCTTAATGGACTTTGTACCAGTTTTGGGTTTGAATACAAAAGAAACACTTAAGAGTTTTTTAGTCCACTGAGAAAAGAAAAAGAAGACCTTCACTTTATCCTATTCCCAGTGAATTTGCCCATAGCTGATCTGGATCTTAGAAAAATGAGCAGACACCAAGGAGGCAAAAAAAAAAAAAAAAAAAAAAAAAAAAGAATCCAGACTACAGAACACACAGACTGATGTCCTAACTTGTTTCTCAAGCATGCCATTATACCGTTATACTGGTAGGAAGCACGAGTAATGAATGCAGCATCTTTCACAGAAAATAGAGAAAACAGATTCTTTTTAAATATAGAAAACTCCATTTTCCCACCTCAGCTCTGAACAAATGTTGTCCATTATTATGACAGCACTATTGAATTATAATTAGATCCCTTCCAATATTCACTCTTTTTTTTTTTTTTTTTTTTTTTTTTTTTTTTTTTTTGAGACGGAGTCTCGCTTTGTCGCCCAGGCTGGAGTGAGGTGGCGCGATCTCGGTTCGCTGCAAGCTCCGCCTCCCGGGTTCACGCCATTCTCCTGCCTCAGTCTCCCGAGTAACGGGGACTACAGGCGCCCGCCACCACGCCCGGCTATTTTTTTTGTATTTTTAGTAGAGACAGGGTTTCGCCTTGTTAGCCAGGATGGTCTCAAATGCCTGACCTGGTGATCCGCCCACCTCGGCCTCCCAAAGTGCTGGGATTACAGGCGTGAGCCACCGCGCCCGGCCCCAATATTCACTCTTGACTGAATGCTGAGAATAGAAGCCAGGACCTGGAAGCCCCTATATTTCTAGTACTGTTATTTTTTAATTCTCATCTAATTCTTCAATGTTATCAATAACAAAATAACCAAATATGCTAATGATTCAAAATTCTACACGCATAAAATTTCAAAACCTGAATTCATTTTCTGACTTATTAATTATCTAAATTCATAAGTGTTTATATGAGATTAAAATACAATGGATCTCCACACTGATTTAGATATAAAATAATCAAGAAACAAAGATAATAAGTAAAGCACATACAAAATTCTAAATTAGAATGTTCATGGCCAGGAGAACTTATCCTGGAAGAAAGAATCTCATAAATGAAATGACTTTACCAAGTTAATTCTCATTTTATAAAGGAAATCAGAAGAAGACTATATCCTTAATGAGCATGTCAGGTAGTGTGGCCCCAGAGTAGGGCAAACTATTCTGAGGAGTTTTTTGTTTATGCTACGTAAGTGGCCACTTATTTTCATTCATTTTTTCCTTTGACAAATATTAATTCACTACTTAACTGTCTATCAAGTACTTTTCTTGGCACTGGGGATAAATATTTCAGAAATGTTATGAAAGATAATTCAGGACTAGAGCTGGATAGTCCACTACACAAGTCACACACCCATGAAGCCAGCCCTGCAACCACCCTTCAGTGTAGGCAACCCAGATGAGGCCTCTGAGCTGCCATGAGGTTAAAGGAGATGCCTAAGGTTGCAGGGCAACTTAGTGGAGGGGTTGGGATTTGAATCCCAGTAAAGCCCATGCTTCTGGCCCACCACTGCACTCTTTTTTTTTTTTTTTTTTTTTTTTGAGATAGTCTCACTCTGTCACCCAGGCTGGAGTGCAGTGGCATGATCTTGGCTCACTGCAACCTCTACCTCCTCGGTTCAAGCGATTCTCGTGCCTCTGCCTCCCGAGTAGCTGGGATTACAGGTGCCCACCACCATGCCTGGCTAATTTTTGTATTTTTAGTAGAGACGAGATTTCACCATGTTGGCCAGGCTGGTCTTGAACTCCTGACCTCAAGCAATCTGCCCACTGCACTCTAATAATAATAATAGCCAACCTTGAGTGCTCACTCTAAGCCAGGCAGTGTTCTAAGCATTATTCATGTATTCACTTAATGCACACAACCACCTGCAAAGTACCATTATTATCCCTATTTTACAGATAAGGAAATAAGCACAGAGAAGTCCAGAATGTTCCCAAAGTCACACAGCTACTGAGTGGCAGAACTAGGGCTCAAACCCAGGCGATCTGACCCCCGAAGCCCACTCTCCCCCTGCATTCTCCTGGGAGGGCCAGGAGGGTTCCACATAGAAGGTGCAGCCTGTTAGGTGGGTTCAGGGGGCCAAGATCAACTCAGATGACCAGAGTGGGCATGTCAAACTTGAGAGCAGAGAGGTAAGGGCCAGATAGGGCTGGATGTGACTGATCTCCAGATTTGACAGGACAACTCAGGAAGTCCTGCATTGCCACCGCAGGTTGCCCCGGGGACACCCCCACTCTGTGTGCAGGTCCCACACATCCCAGCTGTTTATAGGAATGGCAGCAGCCACATCTTCATGGGCAACCCTCCCGTGATGGGACGGCAGCTCACGAAAAGAGGAGGGAAAAATAATAGAAAGTACTGGGAGAAGCCTGAATGTTTACACCTTGCCCTGGCTTTTTTTTTCTCATGACAGGCAGTGACTAATAACAGGAGTTAAAAAATAACCCAGCCCAGTGCAGCCCCCCAATGGCATCCACATGAAATGGATGGATACATGAGCCCCCCCAGTCCACAGCCGCCTGTGTGTCCTTGCCGGGGAAGTGGGGAGAGGGGTCAGGAGGAGAGGTGTGCACCCAGCAGTGTTGGGAAACCGCATGTCGTGCTTGTGGCTAATAGCAAAAGAGAGTGCTTTAGTGGGAGGCATGGTAGACCCCAGAGAAGTGACAATTAAATTGACTTTAAATCCTGGCTCCTTCTCATCTCAGTTCTGCGGGTGTCCCAGGCTGAGTGCTGTACCATGTGGCTCACTGAGTCACATCCTCACACAAACCTTCGGAGAGAAGTCCGTTATTCTTCTCATTTTACCCATCGGGAAGCTGAAATTCCAGAAACAGTAAGTCACTTGTCCAAGAACACCCGGACCGGAAGGGCACGTTTCCATGTCTGCATCTCAAAATGAGTAAGTTGCTAGACCACACAAAATTGTGTTACCCCTAAAATAAGACACTGGCACAGCAGCTGGTACACAGTAAGTGCTCAAGAAATAAGTAGCATGAAAGAGCCCGCCTGACAGGCGGCTGCTGAGAAATTCACTTGGCTTCAGGCCGGTCAAACCTTCCAGCGTGGATGAGAATCCAGTGGTAGCAGGTTGTACAATTTCGTTTTATCTCAGACACCCAGAGTTTGGACCTTCAAGATGCAGAGCACAAATGGATGTAAATGAGATGCAAATCAAACTGTCCCCAGATAAACAGGAAACCAAATATCTCTAGTGATAGCTCTTTCCTCTCCTTATGGAGATCAAGGACATGGGCTGCCTCTGAAGGCAATCCAAAGCTCACATCTGTCAGACTTCACGACTACCACCAGCTCTCCCAGACAGACAATGCCATTGCCAAGCACTGCCATGGCAGTGCTTTCAGGGGCCCCAATTCCAGGGCCTTCTTTCCCCTCATCCTCCTTGAGGAGTGAGGGCCTCACAGGCTTTGATCTTTGGATCAGAAGAGGTGAAATTTCTTCTTGCTCAGGACTTGGTGAGTGAGATCAGCTCCAAGTAGTGCCCCTGTCAGAGGCATCTGCATGACAACAGCAATTATAACTGCAATAATGTGATGTAACAAGAAATATATACTTGGTCTCTGCCCCTGGTTCCAAGCACAGAGCTCCTAAAACCCTTGTAATGTTCTGAGCAACAAGGGTTGTGAGGTGCATCTTTTGTTCTAATAATGTTTGGTCTATGACCCCAGTTCCTGACAGAGCTCCTAATCCCTTGGAATTTCCTGGGTGATAGGGGCATTTTTTGTTCTAATTAGGTGACTCTTGTTGGGATCCTGGGTAACTTCAGGATGGGGGATGGTCCCCAGAAAGACCTGGTCATAATTGGAGGCTTGAAACTTTCAGCTCCCTCCTCATCCTCCAGGAAGGAGAGGGCCTGGGGATTAAATTAATAAGTGACCATACGTATGTGATGGCGCCTGCATAAAAATCCCTGAACTACAGGGTTTGGAGAGTTTCTGGATTGCTGAACACAAGGAGGTCCCTGGAGGGTGGTGCCCCTAGAGAGAGCATGGAAGCTCCACGCCCCTTCTCTCTTACCTTGCTCTAGGCATCTCTTCCATCTGGCTGCTTTTCTGTATCTTTTGTAACATGCTTTGTAATAAATGTGTAAACACAAATAATTGCCCTGAGTTCTGTGAGCTGCTCTAGCAAAGTCATTAAACCTGAAGAGAGAGTCATAGGAACCCCCACTTTATGGCTGGTTGGCCAGAAGCACAGGCCACAGCCTGGAGCTCACGATTCATATCCGAAGTCAGGGGCAGTCTTGTGGAACTCAGCCATTAACTTGTGGGATATGATGCCATCTCCAGGCAGATAATGTCAGAAATGAATTAGAGGACACCCATCTATTTTCCCCTGGAGAACTGGTCGTTAGTGAGGAGAAACCCACACACATTTTGGTGAGCAGAAGTGAAGTGCTCTGTAGTGAGTGGTGTGTGAGTAGGAAAAGCAATGTGGGTTTTCCTATCTGTTATGATAACAATCATAGGCATCGATAGAGTCCTGCATGGTATGATGAGATGCAGGGACAATAAGAGCTCTGCATGGTATGCTGAGATGCACGGTACGCTGAGATGCATGGTACGATGAGAGCCCTACATGGTATGCTGAGATGCATGGTATGATGAGATGCAAGGACGATGAGAGCTCTGTATGGTACGCTGAGATGCACGGTACGCTGAGATGCACGGTACGCTGAGATGCATGGTACGATGAGAGCCCTACATGGTATGCTGAGATGCACGGTATGATGAGCTGCAAGGACGATGAGAGCTCTGTATGGTATGCTGAGATGAACGGTACGCTGAAATGTATGGTACGCTGAGATGCATGGTACGATGAGAGCCCTGCATGGTATGCTGAGATGCATGGTATGCTGAGATGCATGGTACGATGAGAGCCATGCATGATATGCTGAGATGCATGGTATGCTGAGATGCAGGGACGATGAGAGCTCTGCATGGTGCGCTGAGATGCACGGTACGCTGAGATGCATGGTATGATGAGATGCATGGTATGAAGAGATGCAGGGACAATGAGAGCCCTGTACGGTACAATGAGATGCAGGGATGCAGGGCATTAACAAAATGCAAATGCAAATGCAAATGCAAATTCCTGCGTGTGACGTGCACAATGAAACCAGGAGTGTGGAAGGAAACCACCAGGGCAGCCCAAGGATGGCAAGTGACATTGGACCCTTGGTGCCTGGGAAGCAATAGGAACTGGGATGAACCAGAAGACCTGCCTTGTCTCCAGCTGGAGCCCCCACTTGGAAGGAGCCTGCTACTGCTATGTAGGAACTGCAGGCCCAGATCATCTAATACTTCAAAAGAAGCTAATGATCTTGACTTGTAACATGACATTCCTGATTACTGGTTCAACGTGTTGTAACACCACCAGTGAGCTTAACAAAAATCTGAGGTTTCTGGCTCATGGGCTTCCTGTTTATAAGACCTGTATTGAAAATGGTTTTCAACCTTTCCTCTTGTGGACCCTTTGAAAATGCAATGAATACAAGTCAAAAGAAAAGGCCCGGTGTGAGAAGATATTTGCAATTCATATAACTGCCAAGGATTGATTTCTAGAATATATTAAAATGAAACCCAGCAAAAAACACTTTATGAATCAATAAATTAAAAACAATACAACCCAATAGAAAAATGGGTAATAGACTTGAACTGTACTTTATATAAAGGACACCCTAATGGCCAATAAATGTATTAAAAGTGTCAGATCTTATTAATCATCAAATAAATGCAAATTTAGCAAAAACATTGCCCATAGACACACCTGCAGGATTGACAAAAGTGAATCTACCTACCAATACCAACACTGGTGAAGATGTGGAGGAACTGGTACTCTCATGCTGGTGGGAGTGTAAACAGGTAGAAACACTCTGAAAAATGGTTTGATTACAAATAGACATCTTTCTTTTTAAACCTTAGGAGGATAATGATCTGGGTTTGGTGTATTAAAGCTTAATTATGTGTGCTTGTCTGGTAAAACTGAGTATGCACATACCCCACGATCTGACAGTTCCGCTCCCAATTATTTTCTTTAAACAATCTCTTGCATGTCCACGGAACATTGTTCTTAATAGTCAAAACCTAGGAACAGCCCAAATGTCCAGAAACCTGTGATCTGCCTTGAGTCACGTAACGGAAGACCAGAGTGCAGAGAAACAGAAAAAACCATAGGTCCACACGTGGGCAGGAATAAACCTCAAAAGATCCCCTATATATTTATAGTATAAATCCACTAGAAGTTCAAAACCGGGCATGATTAAACAATATGTTGTTTTGGAATAGATTCACAGGTGGGAAAACTATAAAGCAAGCCAGGGGAATGATAATTTTACAAAAATTAGGATAATAGTTATCTCCGGGGAGAGGAGGGAGGTATAATCCTGAAGGACCTATGGGAGGAGGTTTCCGAGACATTGACAGGTTCCTATTTCTTCTCCATCTGTATGGTTGGTACACAAGTGACCACACCTATGTGATGAAGCCTCCATAAAAATCCCTGAACGACAGGGTTTGGAGAGTTTCTGGATTGCTGAACACACGGAGGTCCCTGGAGGGCAGTGTGCCCAGAGAGGGCATGGAAGCTCCACGCCTCTTCTCCCTTACCTCACTGTAGGCATCTCTTCCATCTGGCTGTTTCATTATTCTCTACATTAGACACATACACTTTATATGTGCTTCTTCATATTTCATAACAAAGCAAATGAAAGAAAAAAATCAATGAATCTTCCTTTTACCATTAAAATTATCTGATGAAATCCATGGACCCTATTCCCAAACAATTAGAAAAAGATCCAGACATTTCATTTGAATGCAGAGGGCTCATAGACCCCTTGAAGATCCTCTATGGGAAGATTCCACATCTGGTGTTACAGTTGATTTACACCCCCGTAAATCCCTGAGGCAGTGGCCATCTTTATCCAGAGCAGCAATGTGGCCCAGGAAACAAACAATCTGGGCTGGGATGGTCCAGTGACGTCAGAACCAAGCCCGCACCCCTAAAGAGGAACTCTGCACGTAGGCAGATCCCCCACAGCCAACCCTAGCCCCCTTTCCTCCCTACTTGGAGCATTTCCAGCTCCCAAGATCCCAGGATCCTCCCTCTGCCTCCTCCAGGGCCACAGCTTTGGCCATCACATCTAGCTGCTGGGCCCTCTGCAACATAAAAAAGCATAATCCTTTGGGGAAGAGGAGTGTAAGGAAACACCAGAAGGTAGCTAATTACTTGTGTTACAAATAGTAATCTTGCTTTTTAAACCTTAGGAAGATAATGATCTGTTTTTAGTGTATTAAAGCTTAATTGTTTAAGTGAGGGAATAAAAATCAGCTTCAAAACAGGGGGAGCCTAGAAGCAGAAGAAACGTCCTTGGAAGCAGTGTTGTGAGCTAGAACGAGAGGACTCGCCATGTGGCTTCGGGGAAAACACTTCCTCCCTCTGGGCTTCAGTTGCCCATCTGTTCAATGGAGGAGTTGCACTTCTAGAAGATGCCTAAGTCATCTGCACTCCTGATGTCGCAGGGTTCTCTGGTCACCAGCTTCATTTCTCTCTGCTCTGGAACTGTGCCAGACAAGCATGGAGGCTTCCTTATAACCCAGTGCCTGACACATGGTAGGTGCCCAACTAATAGTGTTGTTGACTTGTACTGCGCTTACTCTTGTTCCCTAGTCCTCACACAGCCTATCACAGACACGAGCCTTTAGCTGGTCCTCAATACTGCTTTCCTCACCTCTAAAATGGGTAGAACCATGTAGGGCCAATGTGAGAATTAGATAAAGTATGTGCAAGCCCCTTGCCCAGTGCCTAGCACACACTAGGTACAATTTAAATGGTTCCCATCTTTTTTGTCCTTGTTCATCATTCACCTGAAAAAGTTTGTCTGTTCTGGCTAATCCCGGCCTGCTCCCTACAAACAGAGACACACGCACGCACACACACACACACGCAGACACATACTCTTTCTCATGGAGCAGCTGCTTCCTCCCCAGGACTGACCATCATCCCACTGATGTCCAGACAGTGCTGGGCAGCCAGGCACTGACTAGGCCAGTTACTGCGGATGGTCAAGAACTGCTGGTGGAAATGGAAGGCTAAGGCTCTACACCTCTCTGGATTCCCCAAGAGCCTCCGTGTGTTAGACACAGCCACCAGGGTGACTGGGGCCCCCAACACCTGCACAACACCACATCTCCCTCAGGCCAAGGTCCACAAATGTGAAGTCAAAAAGTGAGGGCGATTCTGACTGAGGAGTGTCTCTTGGACGGTGTTGGCTGTTAAGTAAGGTCAGAGGTGGGGGATAGGGAGAGAAGGCCAGAGAGAGAAGAGAGGAGGAAGGAAGAGGAAGAGGAGAAAGGTGGAAGGGAGGTACAGAGTGGAGGAGGAAAGACAGAGACGGAGGGAAGAAAAGAAGCAGGAGAGAGAGATGGGGCATAGAAAGTGGAAAAGGGAACTTCAGGTCCTGGGGTGAGGGCTTTGGACACATTTGAATTTTAAATCAGCAGCTTCCCTTGGCCTGTCCCCCTGATTTGGCCTGGTTCTAGGAGGCTGATCAAGAAAGTGAATCTCCTATGACCTCCATATGAGACTGATTGTTGGCTGGGGCTGCCCACTGCTTTTCTCACACTCAAGGAGAGACCCACACTCAGTCTCCTGGGGTATAGACCACTGAAGCCCAGGGACCAGGGCTCCCCATCTGAATGGTCAGAGGGAGGCTGCTGCAGCCCCAGCCCCAGCCCCTGCCAGGTGGCCCTCCCCATATAGGCTTCCGGGTGGTCACTGGGATGACTGTCACCAGCCCTGGGCACCGAATTGTCCCTTGAGATTTTTCTACACCCACCCAGATCTTTGGAAATAGTCCTTTTAAAAACTCCCTTCCAATTACCCAATTTGAATGAGCTTGTTTCCTGCCAGGACCAATCTGAAACAAACACAGAGTTTATAATCCTCATGTTAGCCCTGCTTCCAGGTCATCCCATTTCCAGATAAGGAAACTAAAGCCCAGAAGGTCAGAGATGGGGAGTGACTTGTCCGAAGTTGCGCAGCTAGGGGTTGGGGAGCGGGGACTGGAACCTGCCCAGCTGGGTGTTTACATTGCTCAGGCTTTAGAGAGACCGGGTGGTTCAGCAAAGGTGGACCAGGCCGGAGGTCAGGAAGGACTAAAGTTAACACTGCCCCTGCCTGTCTGGGTTCTCCTTATGCTGGAACCTCAGAGGCAGCCAGGAAACCCGCCTTCCTCACTCCCCACATCCACTACCCTCTACCCTCTGTGCCCACAACCAGTGCCTGAGGTCAGACACTCTCATTCCCTTCCTCGTGGGCATGGCCAAAGCCTCCTGGCCGGCCTCCTGCCTCCATCAGCCTCACTACAGTGGGAAAAGCTTTTCTAGAGGGATCTTTCTGGCTCACTCTGACGCTCCTCCTTCCTAGGATCTGTCTCTGCATCCCTAGTGCCTGTGGGACAAAGTCCAAAATCCTTTGGTATCAGAACCCTTCCCAGCTGGCCTTCTACACCTTGCAGTTCGGCTGTGCCCTGCCCTTCTGCACCTCCATGCCTTTCGGCAGACCTTCTCCACCCCCGGCAGCGCCCTTCGGAGTCCTCTGTTCCCCATCAATGTCCACGTGTCCCTCAAGATCCAGCCAAAGCGTGGTGCAGGGGAGGGTCTCCTTAGTTCTGCCTCCACCCCGTCTCCCCTGCCCCCGACACACACAAAGACCACCCCTCCCACTGTTGTCCCCTCGCAGAATCTGTGTTCTTGCTTCTGGTGCAGTATTTTTTTTCCTCTGCTGTCTCAACTCCCTCAGAGAATGAACCATGGCTATACATCCAGAATAATCCATGGCTCTCCGGGCCTGGCATCATAATTGCATTGTGTCTTTCTCTCTTGCCATGGCACAAGCTTCTGAAGGACAGGAATGTATCTTCATCCTCCAGACCTCCAGGCCTGAGGGCAGGGCCTAGTCCCCAACAGCGCTAAATACATTTTCCCTAGCTGAGCCACTGAGGACGGGTGATCCTTGACTGCATGAGTGAGGAGTCTTTGGGCCTGTGGCTGCTGTGCAGCCTTGGGCAAGCACCTGAGTCTCTCTGTGCCCATTTCCGTTTCCTTACGTCTGGGGAGTAAGATCTGCTGCTTGCTCATAAACATTTAGCTATCCTTTTCCTCCCTTTCCTCAGAGCCCAGGCCCTCTCGGAAGGGCTCAGACACTTGTATTTTATGTGTATCCAGCGCCTTTAGAAAATTCTCCTCTTTGGGTTTACTAAACCCTTCTGCAATGGCTTTATTCACACTCAGAGGAGAACTGGCTGGATCACGGAGGCACTGCTGATGGAGCCTGGGCGCCCCCATTGCATACCCATGTGAGTTCTCTTGTCCTCTTGTCAGTCAAGGGCTCCAGCTCTTAAGCAAGCGTGATGGACCACAGGAACCCCCAGGCCCTTGGAGGCATCCTGGCCAAGGTCTCCGCACCCTCCAGAAACCCAGCTGGGGGCATCCTGGATGGGGCTCTGCCTCTTCATAGAAACATCAAGCAGGGTTCAGGGCAGCCGACATCATTCTCCTCTTGTGATTCGCTTTTCCCTGGTGCCCCCGCCGACCCACCGCCCCCAGCCTCACCACGAATGTGCTGCCCCTCGCTGAGGTGGAAGTCATCCAGAAGCAAGGCTCTGTGAAGTATCTGGCTGGTGGACGACACCCCCCTGGGAAAACCTGGCCTCCCCCATCGCCTCATTACAGCAAGCTTTCCCACACACTGCCTCCGATTCACAGATCCCAGGAAGCCAGGAAGCCATCCACTTACAATAACGTGACTTATGATTTATGGTTATGATTACCAGGCCTTTTTTTTTCTTTTTCTTTTTTTTCAAAACATCTGATTTAATGGGCAAAATGCTATCCAGAGGAGCTGTGGGCCGTAAAAATGCAATAGCAGGAAAAAAAATGCTGCTAATGGCCTCTTCTAGTAACAGACCCTCAGAGATCAGCTCTCAGGGTTGTAACCAAGGCTTCTCAAGAGCTGGTCTGAGAAAGAGACCAGGGCTCAGCCGCAGCCCAGAGGTAACCCCAGAAAGCTGGGCCTCCTTTAAGACTTGTCTCTGCCTCCCCACCTTCCGTTTAAGAGGGGCCTTAAAACAGAAAGGCAGTTCCCATCTACTCCTGCTTTCCCTCACCTCCGGGCCTCACCTGGCCACACAGTCAGCGATGAAAGGGAGGGAGGGACCCCGGACTCTGGGGTCAACAACCCCTTGCCAGGCTTCTTGGCTGTTGGGGCACCCAGCAGCTGCTGCCAGAGCTTTCAGACCTGCCTCTTCTCCCGAAATACAGGATCGACAACCCGAACACAAAGGCACTTCCATCTCCTTTAACTCCTCTGAGCAGCCTGGGGTAATGGGAGCCCTGCTGTGTAGGACCCAGGATGCCTGGGTTCAGGTACTTGCTGTGTGACCCTGGGCAAGTCCCTTCACCCTCCAGATTTCCTTCTTCAGAAGATGAGGGAGGTGGTGGACGAGATGATCATCTTAGGGACTTCTGGGTAAACAGGGCAGGCAGGATTATGCCAGTTTTCTCTTCCTTGTGGAAATATAAACTCTAAGAGTGCCGGATTCTGTTTCCCCTTAGCTGTGTGTAATTCACATGTGAATTCTGCAGAGCAGTAATTGGTGGCCTGAACGGGGGACTAAGAATGACTCTGAGACCCCAGCTTAGGTGTGCTTGTCCAGGGCACCTCGGCTTCCCACCCCCCCACACACACAGTAAGCTCCTCCCAACTCTTGCCGGCAGGAAAGACATGTTCCTGGGGCCCACTGCTCCCATCCTCAGATGGGCCAGCAGGGCTAAGCATCCCCAGGATTCCTGCCTCCTGTCTACTCTCAGGAGAAGCAAGCCTAGCCCACTCTGGGACTCAGGCCCCAGGGACGGCCGCCTCCCCTCTGAGAGACTCAGTCCTCAAAGGTTGGGGGTTGACTGCTCCAAGCCCACATCTGGATGGGTCTCTCAAAGCTCTGGCTGCCTCCGGAAGCAGAAAAGCAAACAGGCAGTTTCTAAAAACCAAATATTTTGCTTTCGATGGGTTGAAGGTCAGGATGGATAAACAGACTGGAGAGTTCTCCTACCAAAGGAGGTCACAAGGTGAGAGGCTGACTTCTGGACTGGATGGGGATTTAGCATCCTGCTGCCCCACCTGGACCTACCCGAAAGGGGCAGAAGTGCCCTGAGAGGCTAAAGGGGAGGACAGAATACACCCAAGAGCACACTCCCCTCTCCTCCTCCAACCGCCCTCCAATCCCCCCACTCCCCAGCTCCGAGGCCATCACTGGGCAGGAGAGGCTCAGGCAGTCTTTAGCACAGGCCTCTCTCTTGAGCACCTGTTGATTAGATCCCTGCTCCTGCTCTCCCCGAGCCTCCCTGTGATGTATCAGAAATAAAACTCAACCTCTCCACCCAAACCTGCTCCTCTGTGGGCTCAAGACCAAGCCATGGGGGTCGTCCTAGGCCCCTGCCTCCCCCTTCCTCCCTGCCCTGTAGGCTCTGTCTCCTCGGCCCCCTCAGCCGGTCCCTTCCTCATCATCCTGCTGACCCCACCCCTCTCCTGGCCGCCATCTCCTGAGAGCATCCTGTCTAGGACCCCTCAGTTGTCCCCTGCCTCCAGTGAGGCTCTCTCAGCAATGCAGGGCTGAGGGCAGACCCTCCATGGAGTGCCTGTTTGGAGGAGGGTGAAAATGCAGGTTGGGGGCTGCTGTGGCTGAGAGGACCCAGAGAAGGGCATGAGGCAGGAAGGTGGGCTTGTTCTTCACAGCCATGGTGGGATGAGATTGGAGACAGAGGAACAAGAGGCCTAGGCGGGGGTGGCAGAGGTTAGGGGCCCACCCTGCCAGCCACTGGTGGTGTGCCCACCCAATCAATACCAGTTGCTCCGGAGTGACTCAGGCAGAGCTGCTCTCTGCCCGGAGCCCAGTAGCTCCCAAGCAGTTATTTGCTCACAGCATGTGGGAAGGGATGAGTGGTTAGAATTTATTAAGCCCGTGCAGGGGCTGGCTGAGGACAGGGAGGTGCAGAGAGGTTGCAAAACTTGCCAGCATCAGACAGTAGCGGGTGGAGGCAGGCTTTGAATCCAGGTTTCTCTAACCCTCATTCACTCTATCACATTGGAAGCAGCTACTTAAACTGTGCCTCAGTTTCTTCAGCTTCAAAAATGGGGATGATGATAATTTCACCATCTCAAAGCAGTGATGAGGATCAGAGATGATGCTCGTGTAAGTCAAGGTCAAAAGCGTCAAAGCAAGATGGTCAGTGAGGGTCCTGGGACCTAACTCCAGTCTGTGGGTCCCAAAGTGCTTTACCAGGCACTAAACTTCCTCCTACCATCATCAACACCATCATTGTCCCCATTAATGCAAATATTATACAAGGATAACGGGAGAGTCTGATAAACTGAGATTCCTGCCTCCCAGGCCCTTACGTTCTAGGAGAGTAACAGATCAGAGAGAAAAACTAGAAAGCAGCACCAACCCAAAAATGAGTGTGAAGGGGGGACTGGGCATAGGGGCTTGCCAGGGGTCTGGGCAGGGTGCATACTATGCCTGTAGCTGGGACACTCCAGACCACAGGGCTCAGCTTGGTTTGAGATGATTTCTACCTTGCTCTGTCCTCAGACAGGGAGCTCTGGGGGACATCTGAGGCCTGGTAGCCAGTTTGCAATTTTTACAAAGCACAGAATGAGAAAGGGTGCTGCCTCATCAGGAAGGTGCATTCCAAGAAACAATCTGTTCTTTGTAATAATCATTTTTTTCATGACTGTCTAAAATTCTACTGGTGCATACACCATAATTTAATGTGCTGCAACAAGGAAAATGCTTATGATAGAATAGTAAGGGAAGAGAGTAGACGGCAAAATGGCCCATTCCTTCTGGCTACACCCATTTAATAGTCTACCCGCTATGGAAGGGAGCTGGCCAACACAAAAGCCATTTTACAGGGCAGTTCTTTCCACAATGCTGTTTAATATTGCTGCACTGTGTTTTTGGTTTTTGTTTTTCGGTTGTGTTTTGGGCCTTCCTGAAGCCATAACAACTTTCCAGGCTTCTTGGCAAACTCTGAAAGTAACTTTTGGGAAGAAGAGGTAAAAAGGGGGCAATGTTTGGTTTTGTAGAGAAGCAACTAAGTAAACCCATGAATAAATACATAACACACAGCAAGAACCCCTCCACCTCCTGTTTACACCCAGTGAGCTGGCAGGTGAGGCTAAACCCAAAGGAGAGAGTCAGTGAGACAGCTGGCTACATCCATAACCAGGCTCCCTGGACATCATGACGCTGGGGACAAGGATCTCCATTGGGACCCGCATTGTTATTGATGTTTTAACTCTGTCGGGGGTGATAGACAGTGTGAAGGGACCCTGCCTAATCACCATTAAATTTAAAATCCTGATTTTGCTAAATACTAAAGAGATCTCCCACTATAACTCCCAAACTACTCCGCTGGCACAGGGAGAGGAAGAGATCCCTCCTGCTCAGGGAATAAAATCGTATTCTACAGAGGGACATTTAGGACTCTAGGGTGTAGCCCCTCATCAGGGATTCCAGAGCTCTTTCCAGCATCTCCACGGCTGAGATCTGTCCCTGTGGGAGAGGTTGAGTGGCCCAGGACAGGGGCAGCTCTCCTCTGTGACCAGATAACCTGGGCCACATTTTAACTTCTGCAAGTCAGGGGAACTCTCTAAACCTCAGTGTCTTCGTCTATAAAATGGGGCTGCCAGCTCCTGCCTTGCCCACCTCCCAGGATTCTTGTGAGGCTTTCAAATCTGAGCATGGATATGAAAGTGCTTTGGAGATGGTTAAACTGGGATGTTATCAGGCAGGCTTGTTCCTATGCAACTGGCAGACTCTGCTTGCCAAAAATCACAGTGTTTGTGAAATCTGCACCAAAGGCATGTGGCTACCAATTCTAGCTTGTCTCCCTCCACTGGGAAGATATCCTGGCAAAAAATTCAGGCAATCTGGGCTGATGAAGATAAGAAGAGGCTTTTTTGGGAAAATATGAACATCAACTACCACAAATAAACAACAAAAAATGTCATTTGGAGCACTTTGGTGTCATGCACTTTACTTCCAATGTCTTTTCTAGTCCTTACCACAACCTGATGGGGTAGAAACTGTGCCTTTTGTAGATGGAGACACTGAGGCACAGAGTGGTTAAGAAGCCAACTGCAGGTCACACAGCTGGGATAGGATTCCAGGACTGTCTGACTCTGGAGGTCACAACCTCCACCACTAAGCAAATTGCCTTTCTGTTTGGGCAGCAGCCCTGGTGGCCACAGAGAAGAGAAAAACAGAAGTTACTTTTGCTTTTCAGTGAGAGCACACAGATCCAGGGGGCTGTGAGGGTGGGCACAATCTCTGTAGCAGCCAGCTGTTGCTGCATAACAAATCATCCCAAAACTCAGTGCGAGCACACAGATCCAGGGGGCTGTGAGGGTGGGCACAATCTCTGTAGCAGCCAGCTGTTGCTGCATAACAAATCATCCCAAAACTCAGTGCCTAGAAAAAATAACCATACATTATTGCTACAATATACAGGATGGCTGAGTGATTCTTCCATTCTCTGTGGTGAGGTGCAGGTTGGGTAGAAAGCTGTGCTTATCTTGGCTGTAGGCTGATCTGGGAAATCTTGGCTCTTACTCACACGTCTCCTGAATCCTTCCAGCAAGTTAGGCTGGACACATTCATATGACAAAGGCAGAAGAGCAAAAGGAACATGAAAATACACCAGTGTTTTTGCAAGCTCTGCTTCAACCTAGTTGGTGACTATTCCATTGATCAAAGCAAATCATAGGGCCAAGCCAGAGTCAATGATCTGGGAGGAACTACTGAAGGGCAAGGACACACAGAGGCATGAGAAACTGGGGGCACCATTAATATCAACCCTTCTGGAGGCACAGTCCCTTTGCAGAGAACCTTCCCTGTGGGCAATGCTGAACCCCTTCCAAAGCCCTCTCCCCTTCACGCTGCCATTTAATTCCCACCACAACCCTGGGAGGTGGCACAAGGCAGGGGACATTTCTGCCCTTTTGCACATGAGGACACGGAGATCACCCAGCAAGTGCATGGCAGAGTCCCAACAAAAACCTGAGTCTCCCAAGACCCACATGGGCTCTTTCCAGAACACCAGCCCCCTGATTAATCTAATTCTACAGATTCTTTTTCCCCCCAATACCTTCAAAAAAGTCCTGTCCCCCCACCCCACCCTACACCCACTCCTGGGCTTTCCCAGCCCCTCACCTGCATTCTCCTTCCTCCTGCAAGATTCTGGGCATCTCTCTGCCGTCACCCTTTGCGAGCTCTTCCTCCTTTTCAAAGAGGCTCTGGCAGAAAGGGGAAGCATGCCATCAAATGGTTAAAATTCCCAGTCTCTCATAAATATTTCATGAAAAATATCTGCTGAGATAACCCCAGACTGTTGATGTCGACATTATTGCACCTGCACATTTTAATTGGTCCAAGAGAGCTGGCCCATAATTGGTGCCTGAAAATTGGCACAAACCTGACTTGGTTGTAAATTGGAAGATTGGGCTCTACAGAGAATTTGGCATTTTAACTCTGACATGGCCAAGGGACTGGAAAGGGTGTGTGAGGGTCAGACAGGGAAGAGAAGAAAAGGGGTACACCCCACTCAAATGTGCCAAGCCTCCAGAGGCCACTAGTCCAAGCTTACTGTTCTGCATGGCTCTGGAAGCAAAGTGATGGCATAGAGGCTCAGTACCTGCGAGGGAGGTGAGCCTAGTGGTTAGAAGCACCGGCTTGAGAGCTGGGCCTCCTAACATTTTCTATGCCATGACCCCTGTGACCGGCTGCTAGAGACTGTAGATCCTTTCTCAAAACAACGTTTTTAAATGCGTAAAGTATGCATGATTACAAAGCAAGTCAATTATATATATTTCCAAAAATAATTTAAAAATTTAAAATTGTAGGCCAGGCATGGTGGCTCACGTCTGTAATCCCAGCGCTTTAGGAGGCTGAGGCAGGCAGATCACCTGAGGTCAGGAGTTTGAGACCAGCCTGGCCAACATGGTGAAACCCCATCTCTACTAAAAATACAAAAATTAGACTGGCGTAGTGGTGCACACCTGTAGTCCTAGCTACTCCAGAAGCTGAGGCAGGAGAATTGCTTGAACCCAAGAGGCAGAGGTTGCAGTGAGCCAAGATCGTGCCATTGCACTCCAGCCTGGGTGATAAGAACAAAACTCCGTCTCAAAAAAAAAAAAAAATAAATAAAATTGAGATGTAAAAATATATGTGCATTAAATTCTTTACTAGTGCATTACATGATAAGATCTAACATCAGGTCTAGTAACTACTGCAATTTCAAAGTAGTGATGAGCATAAATGATAGTTCAAGATCTTTGTCACCATTGTAGTGTGATGTGAAAATACCTGTGGTTTCCAGTGGCAACGAAATCACAGGTGCTGTTAACAGAACTGTGGTATGTTGCTTACATTTGTGCTTGAAGGAAATGCTACGTTTTAGTTAGAGGTGAGTGAACATAAAGTTGTATTTTGTTCCCACCCAAGTTCACAGACACCCCCTTCCCCCACCCACCAACCGCCAGTTAAGGACCCAGCCTCCGAGCCTGCCAGCTCTGATATTTATAGCTGGGTAACCTTGGCTTCCTTTGGCTTTGAGGTCTTCATCTACAAAATGGGCTTTGGAGGCAGACTGAGCTGGCTTTAAAAACTGCTCCGCCACTTGGGTGTGCCCTTGGAAAGTGAGCTCACTAAGCCTCAGTTCACTGGCTGGAGGATGGGGTTCCTGACAGCACCTTCCTCATGGGTGGTTCTGGGACTTGGATGAGATACTGTGGGCGAAAGGATCAATACACATCAACCCACTGCAGTCTCAAGGAGCAACCTGGTGCCCAGCAACCAGCCCAGGCTGCTCAGTGTCGCCCCAGCCAACCTCGAGTGCCGGATACATGTGCATCTTCTGTCCCCTGTGCATCCCCTGTGCTGGACTCTGTGGCTTCCCGCCCCTGTCCAGCCCGATGGCCCCAGAACTCAGGGACGCATCTGTCTCCACACTGCAGCTATTCAAGGCCCTTTCAAATCAGCGCCCCCCAAGCGGCTGGGATGGGGAAGCCAGACACAGGCCCATGTGGTGACTGGTGTATCTCGGCATCAGGTGAAAGCCCCACCTTTAGGATGATAAATACGTTTCCAGTTCTTCACACTGGGTGCTGGTGCACAGAGGCATCACCTCCCCCCTCTCCTGTGTCTGCTAAGGGGCCTGGTGTGCAGTCATCAGGCCTCTACAGGCTCTGGAGGGCTCGGAGCCCCCCACCCCCACCACTTCACCCCAGGTCTGTGGTGGTAGGGGCAGGACAGTCCTCAAAAGCGACAGCCCCGTTCAGTATGCAAGGCTGGGCAATGGCTGACCTTGGACGCACTGGCCCTCTCCGGGCCTCATGTAGACATGCAAGGCACTGGGGCAGCTCCTATTATGGAGTGTCAGGGAAGGTTGCCATGGCTACCTCCCCCTTCAGGTTCCCACTCAGCCGGAGCCCACCCTGTCATTGACTGTCAGCTTTAGAGTCAGCCAGAGCCAAGTGGCAGCCCCTCCTCATCCTTCTCCACTCAGAGGTGACCCCTCTGGAAGGCAGCTGCTCACACCCCCGAATCCTGGGGGAGCCCCTCCATTGCCCAGGAGACCCCTCTTCCTCTGGCACTTGCTGTGGGCTCTGCGGGGAGCCATCACCGTCTTTCGGAGGTGTGCAGGGCCCATTAGTGCCAAAGCCAGTGAGAGATGCTGGCTGGGGAAGCTGGGGCTCGGGGAGGGAGCTGTGGGGCTGGCGTTGGGGAGGTGGAACCCTCTCGGGAGCACATCTGGCAGGCCCAGTTTGGGTAATTGTGGGAGGAGGGATGGATGGCCATGAGGAATAGGGGCCAATGCCCCCAGCAGCCCTGGGTATTTGCAGGTTTCTGCTGCCAAGCTTCTTACAGCCCCCAGCTGGGAGGAGGGAAGGGGGAGCCTGTACTCCCTGGATGCCTACTGCTTGCAAGCTTGCTTTATGGACACAACCTCATACTATGTCAAAATAACTCTCTGAGGTGGGGGTGCTGTTTGAGCCCCATTTTACAAACAGGAAACTGAGGCTTAGAAAGGTTCCACGATTTGCTTACGGTCACAGAGCTGGGAAGTGGTGGGAACCAGAATTCAAACCCAGACCTGCTAACACTTGAGACCTCCATAAACCATGGAATTCCCACTGCATGCTTGACCCTCAGAAGCCTGCCTACCAGCTCCCGAGAAGCATCTCGGCACCGGGCATTGCTCTGTGCTGTGCAAGCTTTCTACCTGCTCATATCCCCACAGATTCTCTACTTTATAGAAGTGGACACTGAGACTCAGTGAGGCCATGTTGTGGGTCCAAGGTCACACAGCTAGCAAGGAGTGGGCATTTCACCTGGATTTGTCCATCTACAAAGACAATGATCTCAGTTCAACTCAACAAATATTAATTGAACACTTGCTATGTTTACAGCCTTGACCTAGGTGCTGCCACCATAGCAGTGAGTTTACCAAGACTCCACCTTCCCAGAGTTGTGGGGAACAGACAAGAATAACAGACAAACATAAATCATCTAGGTATCAGAGGTGATAAGTACGAGGGGGAAAGCAGAGCTGGGTAAACAGGGTGGGGTGAGCCAGGAGTGGGGTTGGAGGGGGCTAGGCATTAAAGAGGGCAGACGGGGCAGGCCCCAGTGCAAAGGAGGGAGGGAGGAAGGGAGGGAAGGAGCCAGGTGAATAGCAGTACCTGCTGCATCACAGGTGCTTAATGAATAGATGCTGAAAGAATGAACTCATCATAGGATGTGCCTGGTGGAGAGTAATAGGGTTCTGGCCATGAATAACAACAGCTGCCTCCTATCAGCACTTAATAGGTGCCTGGGCTCCCGTTGGCACTTTACACACTTTGCTCCTCTTCCTTACTTGTTCTTCATGGTGTGTGTGGACGTGACATTCGGGGCTAGATCGCTGTCTGTGGACTTACAGATGACAGGAATACAGAAGTGAAGGAAGGGCCTTGCGCCATGCCTGGCATGAGATGAGCCCTCAGTGTTAGCTCCTTCCCCAAGATGGCTCAGTTCTGCTCCCTCTGGGACTTCTGACTTTTCTGCAAGGGAGGAAACTGCCAACCACAGAGATGTGTGCTGGACAGAACAGACATTCTTGGGGGTGCGGGTTGTGGCTTTGTGGTTAGGAGCCAATGAAGGGGCTGGGCCTCTGGCTTTAAAAGGAAAGTCTGGGGAATCAGGTTCCTCTCCAGCCTGCTCAGGGCATCTCAGCGCAGCCTAAATCACTGTCTGCTGAGAGATCAGCAAAGGTGGTATTTTTGAGGTTAATGCCCAGTGAGATTTGGGGGTTGAGGGCAGTTGGAACATTATCTGTAGACTAGGCTGGCCAGGGAAATCCTGACAGTACTGCAAAAGTAAATTCTGCTCTCCTATAATTAGATACATATTTATTTTAAAAGGTTATAATTTCCTACTGGTTTGCTGCTTGATAAATACAGAGTTTATTATTTTTTTTTCTTCACTGCAGCTCAAGAAAAACAAATCCAGGCTTGGACATGAATAGGAATGTCATGATGACTCCGGGCAGCAATTTTCTTCCAAACCCCATCAAATGCAAGTGCAAGATTGGATGGTGCTGGAGTGAGCTTGGCATGTATAAGATTTGGTGGGGGCAGGCAGGCAGAAGGGTGAGAGGAGAGGGCTTTCTGAGTACTGCTTACAACAAGTGACATAATTACTGCCCTGCAATTCCCTCCTACATGCTTGTACTCCTGCACTACCCTCTGCCTGGGATGCCCTTCCATTTCCATAGCTAAATCCTGTCAATGTATGGCTGAAAGGCCACCTCCTCCAGGAAGCCACTGAGGATTCCTCCGCTTGGCAAGAACTCTTTATTCTGAATGCTCACAGCCTGTCCCCAATTCCTCTAAGGTAGTTGCCACAGTGCATTGTGATTACTTGGCATTGCACGTTGAACTGTGTCTCCACCTCCCCCACCCCCCAAGAAAGAGATGTTGAAGACCCAACTGCCCAGTACCTGTGAATGTGATCTTATTTGGAAATTTGGTCTTTTCAGATATAATTAGTTAAGATGAGGTCCTATTCAATTAGGATGAGCCCTAATCCTATATGACTGGTCTATTTATGACAAGGAGGAGAAGCGATACAGAGACAGACACACAGGAAGAAGGTCACGTGATGACAGAGGCCAAGGCTGGATTAATGCGTCTGCAAGCCAAGAAACACTAAGATGAATGGCCACCAGCAGAAGGTAGGCAGGGGCAAGGATGGATTCTACCTGGAGTCTCAGAGGGAGCATAGCCCTGCTGACACCTCGATTTCAGACTTCCAGCCTCCAGACCTATGCACGGATGCATTTTTGTGGTTTTAAGCCACTCAGATCATGGCGCTTTCTTGTAGCCACCCTGGGAAATTAATGCACAGGAGGACAGGCGATTTCTTCCTCCTGGAGAAGGCTCACCGCCGTCACAGCATCTGGCACAGCATAGGTGCTATATCGACATTTACTGATGAGTGAATGGTTGGATGGATGGTCAGTCCCTGGAAAGGAGGATCCAGATCTGGCTGGTCTTTGTGTCCCCAGATTGCCTACTAAGGACAAAGGCTCTGTCCTAGTTCATGTTCCCGTGGACTCCAGTCTGGATCTCCACAGCAGACAGCCAGCTGGCCTTCGTGCCTCCACTCTCATCTCCCAGTCAACTTCCTCAAGCTTTGCTGAACTCTGAGGTCATT
The DNA here is from genome assembly GCF_000001405.40 of Homo sapiens. NCBI lineage: Eukaryota > Metazoa > Chordata > Mammalia > Primates > Hominidae > Homo > Homo sapiens. The sequence continues at coordinate 45,381,765 of NC_000011.10, read as the reverse complement.
CCAAGAGTGGAACAGGACTTTCCAATCCCTGGGCCAATGCCCATGCTGTGTCCTTGGCCTGCAGTGCCCCTCCTCCCTTTCCCACCAGGCAGACCCCCACTCATCCTTCAAGCCTGAACGCCAACATTCGCTTCTCGTTAGCTTCTCTGAACCACCACCCATCCCTCATCCCTGGTAGAATCACGTGTTGCATCCTCTGTGCTCTGTCTGTTGCTTCTAGGATAGCTCCTGTCACCCTGGCTTAGCTATTTGTTTGCTTGTCTGTCTGCCCTGCTGGCCTGTCAGCATCTTGAGGTGAAAGACCCTTTATTTCTCATCTGTGCCCTCATCGTGCCTGCCAACAAGTGGGGACATGTGGGTGTCTGAGGAATGAATGAGATGATCGGGTGCTTGAAAATCAGGCTGAGTGGGCCAGGCACAGTGGCTCACGCCTGTAATCCCAGCACTTTGGGAGGCCAAGGTGGGTGGATCACGAGGTCAGGAGATTGAGACCATCCTGGCTAACACAGTGAGACCCCGTCTCTACTAAAAATACAAAAATGTAGCCGGGCGTGGTGGCGGGCGCCTGTAGTCCCAGCTACTCAGGAGACTGAGGCAGGAGAATGGCTCATTGCAGTGAGCCTAGATTGTGCCACTGCACTCCAGCCTGGATGACAGAGCGAGACTCCGTCTCAAACAAACAAACAAACAAACAAAAACAAAAAACAAAACAAACAAACAAAAAGAAAATCAGGCTGAGTGGTGAGGAAGAATGGTCCAGCCTCCTCTTTGGGCGCTCGTTAGATGATTTTCACAGCTGCCCCAGCTCCCTCCCAGGGCCAAGGATCCCATATGACAAGGAGGCTTCTGGGGAGACACAACAGGCAGAGCTAGAAGGGGCTTTAAAGTGACTTCCTGGGTCGGGCGTGGTGGCTCATGCCTGCAATCTCAACACTGGGAAGCCTGGGTGGGGGAATCGCTTGCTCCCAGGAGTTTGAGACCAGCCTGGGCAACATAGTGAGACCCTATCTCTACAAAAATTAGCTGGGTGTGGTGGTGCACGCCTTTGGTCCCAGCTACTCCGGAGGCGGGGTAAGAGGATCGCTTGAGCCCAGGAGGTCAAGGCTGCAGTGAACCATGATTGTGCCACTGCATTCCAGCCTGGGTGACAGAGCGAGATTCCATATCCATAAATAAATAAATAAATAAATAAATAAAGGTGACTTCCTAGCCTGTGCATCTCAAATCAGAGATGAAAGACCCACAATCAGAGGAAAGGAAGAGGCTTGCCCCAGGTCACACAACCCACACGGGGGCATTCTCTGCCCAAAGCCATAAGATTTGACTAGTGCCTTTGTGTACTGGTGTACTAGTGTGTTGAGTCAATACAGCTCTTCCACGTTAGAGGCTAGAATTGGAGGATTTGATGGGAAAGAAAAAGGGATAAAAGATCTAAGTCCCTCAAGAGGAGATGAGAACTTAGACTTAGGTGTGCTTACTATGTGCTGGCCCTGGGCTAGGTGCTTTGACACTTTATCCAGAAGTCTCAGCACAGCCCTAGTAGGCAGGTACCGTTTACAGATTAAGAAAGAGAGGATCAGTTGCCCTAGGTCCTACAGGGAGAGCCGGGTTTTGAACCTAAGCCTACCTTGCCCAAAAGCCATGAGCTTCCTTCTCCACTGTGGTGGCTCCTTCTGTGAAGGGTACCGGAATCTGGGTCAGGTCTTGGCCTCAGAGGTGGCTGATCCTAAAGGGCAGGAGACTGTGTTTCCTCAGGTGCCTGGAGACCATCCTTGTGTTTTTTAAGTGGAGGGGAACATTCTGGAGTTCCCAGGACCTTGAAGAAGCCCCTCTTCCAGGTGGAACAGTTAAGGCAAAAGAGAGGAGGAGGATAAGGATGCAGGCTGGGGCTCAGGCTTGGAGGGTTCTATCCACAGTGTGATGGAGCTAACACTGAGGGTTCTATCCTCAGTGTGATGGAGCTAACACAAGCAGCCATGTGGCTTTGGACACATTAATGGGGGTGGAGTGTTCAGAAGGAAGGAGGTGATTGCTTTGGTAGGCCTTGTAGGGGCCAAACAAAAGCCTGAGCAGAGTCCACTGCTGGGGCCTCATGCTGAGAGACACAGCTTGGTAAGAGGGCTGGGGATTTTTTATCCTAGAGAAGACACAGCAGGAAATGAAAACTGTCATCAATACCTCAAGGGCTCTCCAGTAGATGAGCAATTAGACAGATTCCTTCTGGTTCTGAGAGCTGGAGTAAGGACCCGCAGCTGGAGGGTACAACCAGACAGGCTTCACACCATTGCCTTTCTTCCAACGCAAGGGGCTGCCTTGGAGGGAGCCAGGCCTCCATCCCAGGAGTCAGTCAAGTGAGATGGGTCAACAGGCGATTCAGCGTGAAATGATGGGTCGGACCAGGTGCTTCACCTCTGAAAGAGACAGGAAATGCCTGGCCCCAGGAGACGCTCACAGCTCCACTCTCATTCTGAGTTTTCTATGGTGATACATTAATTACTTCCTAATAATTTAGATGCCCTGATCTTTCTAGATTTGACTAGTGCCTCTGAATTTCCCCTGATAGTGAGGTCTGGGAATCTACAACTTAAAGTGATTCTGGTATGCAGCCAGGTTTGAAAATTACTGTCTGGCCAGGCGTGGTGTCTCACGCCTATAATCTCAGCACTTTGGGAGGCCGAGGCCAACGGATCACCTGAGGTCGGGAGTTCGAGACCAGCCTGACCAATATGGAGAAACCCTGTCTCTACGAAAAATACAAAATTTAGCCAGGCTTGGTGGCGCATGCTTGTAATCCTAGCTACTCGGGAGGCTGAGGTAGGACAATTGCTTGAACCCAGGAGGCAGAGGTTGCAGTGAGCCAAGACTGCGCCATTGCACTCCAGCCTGGGCAACAAGAGCGAAACTCCATCTCAAAAAAAAAAAGAAAGAAAGAAAATTACTGTCTGTGAGGCCATGGGGCAGCAACACCCCTCATCCCCTCCCTACAACCTCCATTACACACTCAGTAACCAACATGCAGCCTTCAGCCCCAGGACGGGCCCAGTCCTGTGCTGCTGCAGTCCAGGAGGCCTTGACTGGCCGAGGCAGAGGTTACACCTAGTGGCCGGTGGCTTCCCAACATGATCTTCTAGAGAAGTGGGAACAAAATCTTACTACTGTGTGGTCTGGAATCCAAGATAAGTGACAGCCTCCCCGAGGCCTGGGATTATGTGTCTGGTATGTTTGCCAATAACAGGGTGGGATGGTTCACTTTATGTGTCAACTTGGCTGAGCCACGGTCCCCAGATCCAGAGTTAAACATCATTCTAGTTGTTTCTGTGAGGGTGATTTGGGGGTGAGATTAACACTGAAATCAGTGAGCTTTGAGTAAAACGATTGCCCTCCGTAGCATGGGAGGGCTTCCTCTCATCAGTTGAAGGCCTCGATAGAACAAAAGACTGACCCGCCCTGAGCAGGAGAGAATTCAGCCGCAGACAGCCTTTGAGTTTGAACTGCCCCATTGGTTCTGCCAGCCCATCCCGCAGATTCTGGATATGCCAGCCTCCATAATTGGGTGAGCCAATTCCTTAAAATGAATCTTTCTCTCTATATGCATCCCATTGGTTCTGTTTCTCTGGAGAACCCTAATACCCAGGGACATGGACCAAGGTGATCAGCAGAGAAATCACACAAAGGCAAGCTCCTTGGGCACCAGGAACTGCCAGGCGTGAAGGAGGTACAGAGAATGTGAAAATTAATTCTGGCCAGGTGCGGTGGCTCATGCCTGTAATCCCAGCACTTTGGGAGGCCGAGGCAGCTGGATCACTTGAGGTCAGGAGTTCAAGACCAGCCTGGCCAACATGGCGAAACCCTGTCTCTACTAAAAATACAAAAAACTAGCTTCGCGTGGTGGCGTGTGCCTGTAATCCCAGCTACTTGGGAGGCTGAGGCAGGAGGATCACTTGAGCCTGGGAGGTGGAGGTTGCAGTGAGCCGAGATCGCGCCAATGCACTCCAGCCTGGGTGACAGAGTGAGACTCCATCTCAAAAAAAGTAAAAAATAAAAAAGAATACTCATTCTCCCAAAGCAATTTCCCTCTGCTCTGAAGCCAGCTTCAGAAACGCTGAGCATGGGCAGGCAGGGGGAAGCACGTGAAGCTCTTCAAAACATCCTTGGGAAATGCAGAAGGAAGCCAATCAGAGACCCAGTCACTGGGGAGCCAGCAGGTGGGCCATGATGGCTAATGGAGAGTGTGCTCTGCCTGAACCTGTCTGGACCCAGGAGGGGATGCTGAGAGTGGGGAGTGGAGGGAGGGAGCCTCCAGGTGACTTGGAAAAACTAAATAGAGACAGAGACCCACAGAGCACAGGGCCCACATCACCATGAGAACCCAGATGAAGAAAGTTCAGGGAGAATGCTCCCAAGCCTTTGAGACTCAAGACTCCTAAACCAAAAAGACCTCGAGGGGTCATTCAGTTCAGTCTTCTGCCTCCAGACTGGACAGCCAGCAGCCCAGGCCAGAGATAGCCGTGTAATGGGAGTATTTGCAAAGAATATCAGAGAGGGAGGGGAGGTGAGAGGGAGGGAAGGAACCTTGATGCCCGTGATGGCCATGACCTTGGAGCATTTCCTGGGTGGCAGGCACTGAGCTGACAGTTTTCCATACATTGTCTCACTGAATATGAACGATACTTATATGAAGTAGGTACCATTACTGTCCCCACTTTACAGATGAGGAGACTAAGGTACTAGTGAAGTAACTTACACAGGTAGAAAGTTGTAGGACTGAAATTTACACCCAGATTTACCTGATTCTGAAGTCCTTGTTCTTTATCACTAAGGAAGAAGAGAAGATAAGGGGGGTGGGGTGGGAAGAGAAGGAGCACAATTCTGTTATTTGATAAATAAAGAAGTAGGCCCAGGAAAAACAAAGGATGTACTTGGGCCTTGTGGCTGGTGATGCAGGCTGGGTGCACAACTGACGGCTGCAGGGCTGGACCAGGGCACACAGGACCATGACCCGAGAGGAGCAGGCCCAGCAGCCTGAGCAAGTGTGTTTTCAGGTCCTAGAGAAGGACTTGCTAAATCTCTCTCCTAACAAACCTGGAATTCCACTGTTTGTGTCCTTTTTCTCCTGGATTTCTCCTTGAAGTTTGAAAACCCCAGGGAGGCAGGGCACACGGAGTCCAGCTCAAACATCTGCAGTAGGGAGTGCATTCATCTGGTGACTTTTTCCAAATCTGGTGATCTAACTCCAAGCTACCACCTTAGTGTGGGTCTAGACAACAGGTTGGAGGAAAAGCCACAGCAAGGGCTGGCCCGGGGAGCAGGGGAAAGAGGAGGGAAGAGCGTCTAGATGCACCTTGAGGTATCCCTCAGGCTCCTTAGATCAGCATTTCCTAAGCCAAAAGTGCCACTTTCCTCCTCAGATCTGATCATCCACCCTGGCCAATGATGCCACAATTCTGGGAGTCATCTCCAACTCACCCTCTCTTTCTCCCATCCCATCAACAACGAGGTCCTGCCAATTCTACCTCCTAAACAGATCTCAAATCTTCCTACTTCTACCTCCACTGCTATCACTCGGTCCACACCATGGTCCCTCACCTGGATGAAGGCCACTACCTACTAGGTGGTCTCCCTGCTTCACCTTTTGCCTCTCAACCATCCATCCTTCACTCAGCAGCCCCAGCTGTCCTTTTAAAAGACAAACCCTGTCGGGTCTCTTGCCTCCTGAAAACTTTTTCATGGCTCCCCACAGCTGGCAGGATAAAGCCCAAGCTGCTAAGCAGTGCATAGTAGGTCCTCTGCGGTCTGACAGTCCCTGCCTGCCCAATCCCACCTCCTGCCCCTGCGCCCCAGGATGCCCCCGACGCTGGCCATCTGGGCTCCTTGGGGCTCATCCCTGAAGACCTCACACTTCTCTGGCTTTGCACATCCTGTTCCGCCTTCATGAATTGTCCCTTCTCCCCTGTCCCCTATGCTGTTCTGTGAAACTCATCTTTTAAGATGTAAGCCAGGCATATCACTTCTGGGAAGCCTTCCTGGATCACCCCTTCCCCATCTGCAGGCAGAGATGCCCCAGGTACTCAGCACATCCCTCTCCGTCTGCTTAAATTACGTGTGGACTTGTCCGTCTCTGCCAGGCTGTTGAGCATATGGGAGCCCCTGAAATAAGGACAGGGATTAGATCTTTCTCATCGCCAGTGACTAGCTCTGGGCCTGCCCCATAATTACAGCTTGATGAGAATTTCTGGAATAAAGGCAGACATACAAGCAACCATGACGTCGGGCAGGAGGTGATGAGAGATGAGATTATAATGAGAGGTACAAGGGCAAAAGAGGAGATCGATTCTAAGTCTTTCTGGAGGTGGTGGCAACAAAGCAGGGTCATAAAGCATGGGTAAGCTTTCAATAAGCAGAGATGGAAAGACAGGAGCCAGCTTGGGAGCTCCGCTAACCATTTGTATAAATGCAATGTAGCTGCTGGCCTCGGCCATCAGGAGCAGACCTGAGACCCAACCCTAGTATCCAGTCCACTGGGAGTCTTGACCTTGCCCTTCCAGCCATAATATTACGAGTAAGGGATCCAGATTCCCAGTGCAGATTGCCTGTCCTTAGGTCACTGGAAAAAGAAAGAAATTTGAATGTTTAAATACCCTGGCCAGATTTTCCATTGTTCTGATTCACTTCCCTTTATTTGCCCTGAAGCTCAGTCCCACTCAAACAGCGCTCCTTGTTCATTCCCTCATTTTATCCTCTGTAGGCTCAAAGTCTGCAAGCAGCTGAAAGGGAACCAGAGCCTGGGCTGGGCTCAGAAGGCCCATAGGCTAAGCCTTTCCTGCTTCTTCCTGAGACCCTGTGTTCTTTGGGGCTATGCAGAGACTGGGGAGAAGAAAATTTCTTTGCTAAGAAGAGTATTTGGATGTGTTGACAAGGTCTCTATAGTAACCAGGAAATTGAACAAGTGTCGCCAGAAACCCACAATCAAGAAGGTGTATTTTTCCCCCAGATTGGTCAAGGAAGCTCGTCTAGGGCTGGGGGTTTAGCCATGAATGTGAGCAGTTAGAAACCAAGAAACCATGCTCCTTCACTGGTTGGCATTAGGAGCTAAGCTGAGCCGATCGCTGAGGCTCACTTGGTGCTCAGGAGCACAGAATCAGATTTGCCTTTGTAGGCAATTCAGTCTTGCTTTTGATCAAAGAAAAGGCAATAAAAACCAAAACCAACAACAAAACAGAGAAGTAAAATAACTCAAGATAGAGCAATCGAGTTGGGTCAACTTTTGGTGTCTGAGAAATAACAGAACCCTGCTTCTAGAACCCACTCTTGAGGTCCAGAAGGGGTGGATGAGGAAGGCTGGTTACAGACAGCAAGGGAGGGGTGGACATTTTTGGAGCTTCTATGTGCTAAGCACTGGATTCTGCCGAAATTGAGGTCAAAGAGCACAGTGGTTAAGAGTAGAGTGCCAGAGCCAGGCTACCTGGGCTCAAAATCTACACTGTCCTCTCCAGTTTTGTCCCTGGGGTTTGTTTAACCATCCTGAACCTCCATTCCCTTAGCAGCAAACTATGTTGTTATGAAGATTAAATAAGCAAATACATATAAAGAGTTTAGAACCCAACCTGACACATAGTAAATGCTCATTAAGTATTAGTATTATATTAACTTGTTGAATCTTCACATTAACCTATGGGTTTGTAATTCTACTCTCCTCAGTTCGTAAGGAAACAGGCTCAACTCAAGAAATCCCCTGCCCAGGGCACACAGTTGGCAAGAGGCAGGAATGGGACTCAACTCCAAGTTTGGCAGGCCTCCTCACCCCTCGATGCCTCTGATAGGAGCTGGCTTTCCCTATGAATCTGGATGATGATGGGCTCTTCCTGGCTCTTGGGGTTTCGTTTCTATAAGGGAGGCACCACTCACCATCACACACGACACCCATGTGATGGGGCTCACAGAGCAGAGTGAGCCTCCCTCACAGTCACAGGCCAGAGGGATCAAGACAGCATCCCATGGTCCTTCCTCCCTGCGGCCTCCATGGCTCCTTGTCACCCAGGATGACAGACAGAGCACCAGGTTGGGAATCAGCAGGTGTGGGTTCCAGCTCTGCCACAAACCTGCTGCATGACCTTGTGCAAACCAATTTCCCCATCTTAAAAACGAAGAGGTTGGATTTTGCCATCCTGAGCTCTCTGAGAGTCTGAATTTACAATTCCGGGGATCAGAGTGTCACATCTCACATGCTAAGATGAAAAGGTGAGCGTTTCAGCCAGTTGACTGCAGTGAGAAGAGATCACCCATCCTCTCAGTGCCCCGTGGAAGCACTTCCATTTAGGACACATCATACATTCAACAGGCTTTGAGAAAAACTGGGGGGTGGAAGTGGGGAGAGAACCACTATTGACTTTGCACACCTCAGGCCCTGGGATTGACATTTCCACACACAAGAACCAGTGACAGCAGCCCGATGGCATGGGGAGTGTTTGTGATGCCATCTTACAGAGGAGGCAACTGAGATGCAGGGAAGTCAGGTCTTAGCACCGATATGACCTTTTGATGCAGGTATTTCTGAATCCAAATTGATGGTCATTATAAGATTATAAGAAAACAATAAATTGCAAGCAAAAAAATGAATTCCTTTTTTTTCTTTTCTTTGTTTTTGTTTTAAAGCATTTTGCTTTTTAAGGGCCAATCTTCTCTTCATGTGCGAAATGGGAACCAAGATCTGGGTCATAGCTTACAGTCCCAAAACCCAGTTGTCCTGGAAGAAAACAAGGACTCATCAGGGCCTGGAAAGCTTGTGTCTGAATCTCCAGCAATCCATGGCTGGCTGATTTCTTCTAAAGTCAGCCAAGTTGGAGCCTGGCGGCTGAAAGACCATTTCACTGGCGGCACAGAACCCATTCCCCATGCGTTTCACCACCCACAGTTTTCTTGTCCTACCTGCGTTCCTCCTTGGCAGGCAGTTTACCAGACATCCAAGCACCAAACGGGGCCATGTGGATCTGGCCTGGTCGTCTGTACAGCTGGAGGAGCCACGCCTCTTCCTGACCTTTCTCAGGAAGCAAAGCACCTACTGTCTTCCCGGCAGAGCCAGGGCAAGCATGGGCTTGGGAATGGAGCACACCTGCCTCCCCAGTCTGGCTCTCTGCCCTTTAATAATCGTGTCCCTGGGCCGGACGCGGTGGCTCACGCCTATAATCCCAGCACTTTGAGAGGCCAAAGCAGGCGGATCACCTGAGGTCAGGAGCTCGGAGACCAGCCTGGCCAATATGGTGAAACCCCGTCTCTATTAAAATACAAAAATTAGCTGGGCGTGGTGGCGCGCGCCTATAATCCCAGCTACTCAGAAGGCTGAGGCAGGAGAATCACTTGAATCAGGGAGGTGGAGGTTGCAGTGAGCTGAGATCACGCCATTGCACTATAGCCTGGGTGACAGTGAAACGCCATCTCAAAAAAAAAAAAAAATTGTGTGATCCTACACTCTCCCTCTCTGGCCTTTAGCTTGGTATTATAAAAATGGGGATACTATTTCCTTGGAGAGTTATATGTAGATTTAATGAGCACAGAGCTTTTAGATCCAGGTTTCATGGAAGCACCAAAGTGTCTGTTAGGAGTGGGGAGGATGCTACATGGTGAGAGACAGGGCCTTAGGTGCCCCATCCCCTTCCATCAGAGGCGCTTCCCTGGTGTTTGTTTACACGGCCAGGTTAGGCTTGCGATTTTGGATGGAGGAAAGGGTTATGCAGCTGAAAGAAAGCAGAAAGACCGCTGCTCTAGTTGTTGAGGAAGTGCTGGGCACCCAGCGGGCACTTAATAAATGTTAGCACTTTCCCTCTCCTCGCCCCCATCATTCTCCCCCCTGGATTCTTTATTAGATGGCTCGGCGAAAACCTGGACCCAGATGAATGGAGAGAAGGCAGCAGGCAGAAGATGGAGTGCTTTTAAAATATCAAGCGAATCACTGCAGGGGTGGAGTGCCTGGCGGGGGCTAGGGGTCACGGAGGCTGTGACCCAAATACGACGGGGCACAGGCTCACCACAGCTCCACACTGAGGGCCCCTGCCTGCAACCAGCACAGAAAAGGCTCCCCAGAAACAGGGGAACCGGCCCCTGCCCCACCAACGCCGTTCGCAACAGGCTCACCCCCTCCTCCTCCTCCTCTCTTGAATGGAAGGACCCAGAGGAAAAGAGAGAGCTCTGAAATGTGCGAAGGGGCACAAGAGGTGGGGAGGCCCAGTGGGCTGACCTGGCTGCTTCTTGCAAATAAGCGGGGCCTGCTGCACTGCGAGGGCACCGAGAAGAAAGAGCTGCCATCAACCCTGCCGGGTTTTTCTCAGATCCTCTGAAAACGAATCTCCTGGGAGCAGCTCGGCAACCGGAGCCATAGCGCCACCTACAGGCTTCCTTCTGCCATGCACTTTGCCTTCAAATACCCCTTTTCAGCAGCAGGTATTACACGCTAGGTATGCCAGGGGCGGGAGCTCACATCAAATCCACTGAACTGCGAGGTGTCGTGTTGCTGATACGCTCAGACAAATGAGCTTGGCGTAGAGAGAACGGTCGTTGCTAACGTGTATCTTGCAGGAAGGGTGTCAGGGCTGCGCTCCAGGCAGGAAGCTGGCAGAGTTGACAGCCAATCTCCCATCTTGATGATGGGGAAACTGAGGCCGAAACTGTCCACAGTTACACAGTGAGTTGAAGGCAGAGCTAGGACAGGAAGTATTCTGTGCCTCTCCACTTGGATGGCTGTTCCCCTGTTAATTCCGCAATAACTGTACTGTGACAGCCACAGGAGCCTGCAGCACACACACTAAAGAGTGGCTCCTTTTCACTCAGAAATGTCAGGAGATGGGGCCAAGTTTAGAGGTTGCAGCTACAGATAAGCCTCCGAATACGGGCTCCATGGGGCCTGGGGATAGGCCCCTGCTCTGAATGTGGATGTGAGAGGATTTAGTTCGCAAAACTGACTTTCCCTCCTACACACCCTCACGCTCACACTCTCCATCTAGCAAACTGTTTGTCCTTTATGGCCCACTCACAGGTTGCTGTCTTCCAAAGCCTTCTCTGATCCCTTCTCCCTGCCAGTGGAGTCTGTCATCTGTGCCACCACAGTACTTATTCGAGACATTGATCATTGAACAGGTCCCTCTGTATTATGATGATTTCTGTGTCTGTTTGTCTAAATGGAGAGTTCTGGTGTCTCCAAAGCTCAGCCCAGAGCCAGACACAAAGCAGGTGGTCACTCCAAAAAGGATGGGTAGATGGAAGGATGGGTGGGTGTGTGGGTGGGTGGGTGAGTGGATGAAAGGGTGGGTGGATGGATGGGTGGGTGGGTGGGTGGATGAAAGAGTGGGTGGATGGATGGGTGGGTGAGTGGGTCGAGAGATGGATGAGTGGGTGGACAGCAAATGAAGCACACCTAGAGGATGGGGAACTACTCTATTCTATATTCTAGAACAGGGATAGCATCTGTTTCTAAGGAGACCTACATCTAAAAGCATCTGCTCCCAAGTCTAAGTCAAAAAGCATAACAGGGTATGCATGCTAAGGGCGGTTGGGCTGGCCCCCTCCTCCTCCTGACTGCCCCTTCCCCCTGGTTTCCCAGATAACCCATTAGAAACCTGCCAGGGGTCTCCAAGGTGTAGTTCCCTGAATGCCTGCAGCAGAATCACCTGAAGAGTTTGTTAAAATGCAGGCTTCTGGGCCCTTCCCTCAGAGATTCTGATTCTGCGAGCCTGAGGAAGGGCCTGGGAATATGTATGTTTAAATCAGCACCAACCAAGTGAGGCTGATGTGAAGGTAAGTTTGATACCACTCATCAACACAGTACAAGGACATGCCAGAAACTGCCTTTGCTGACAGTCCACCCACAAAGGCTTAAAGAAACGACCCTGCCTCACAGACACCAAACGGTAGAAAGTGCCTATGGAGTCTTCAAACATCTAGAAGTCCAGGGAGAGGGAGGGCTTCCAACTCCCTCCACACATCTCACCCCACCCCTGGCCCGACCCGAGCCTGAGGGGGCAGGCCCAGTCCCTAAAGAAAAATGGCCTTCCCCTCCCCAAAAGCGACAGTAAGCCCGGCCTGCCTTGTGCTCCCCAATCCCCAGCGAAGCCCACAGTGGGAGGTGGGGAGTGCTTTATTCCCTGTTTACCACGGCAGAGAAGCCAGCAGCTGTTTTCAGTGTCTGTTTCTACCTAAACACAGCTCACGCTCCCAAACATGGGCTCTGCCAGCAAACGTTAGCAGACCTGGAACACGAGTCCCCCATTGGGTTCAGGCTGGAAAGGGCTCAAGAATGAAGACAGGACCAGAAGATGGTTCTGGACGGGGGCACAGCCAAACATCTTGGCAACTATAAGTGGGCAAGCAGCCCTCCCAGGCCAGCTGGTGAGCTCCTGGAAGGAGCAGAAAGGGCCCATTGGAAGGCAAAAGAAAACAAACAATGACATCCAAACATCTGTTTGTTCCTGTGGCCCAATAACCTGAGCTCCAGCCACACTAGGTCTTCTGCTGAATACCTACTATGTGCCAGGCCCTATATTTGGTGCCTTGCTATTTAGGTTAATCCCCACAATAGCCTTAGGAGACAGGTAACATCATGATGCCCATTTCACATACAAGGACACTGAGGTTCAGGAAAGCAAAGTGACTTGCCCAGACCTTGAGTGGGTCAGCCCAGATGCAGAGGCAGAGCTGGAGTCCATGCTCCTCTACTTTTCCGGGCTCCCTTGCTGCAGCTGCGCTGTTCACCACGCACATGCCAGGCAGTCTGGCCCTGTCCACGCTGCTCCTCCACCTGGAATACCTGACCTCTGGTGCCATGAACGTAGTCCTTCTGGTTCTTCAGAGCCACAGGCCACTTTTTCCCTGAAGCCCTTCTGGATCCCATCTCCCATCCAAATAGAGAAGTTAAGTGCTCTGTTCCCACACACACTGCTTGGCCTGGCATTCAGCCCCATTTTCATCTGTCTTAACAGTTGCTGAGATTCACAACAGTCCCCCTAAATCTCAATCTCCCACCCCCACCTCTGCTGCTGCCACCACCCAGCCTCTGCCCATCACATCCCTGTCCCCAGCACCTAACTCGGAGCCTCCGCAGCCTTCAGGCTGACCCTCTGGGGCACCACACAGGTCCAGAGCCCATATGTAGACTGAGGAATAAATAAATTGCCCCTCCCAGCCACGGGCAGCCAGTCATTACTGAGGGTGGTATGGCCTATTGACCTAATGGAAGAACACTGAATTTTAAGCTTAAAAGCCTAGCTTTGAGACTTGGTTCTGAAACTAATTCACTGTGTGATATTGAGCCTCTCTGGACCTCAGGTTCCATCTGTAGAATGGGTGGGTGAATGGAAGACATGATCTCTATGTTCCATAGCTCTGTTAAACACTTAAATGTTCAGTGAATGAGGACATTTGAGTCTTTATCAAGGGTCTAATCCATTGAGACCACAGAGTGGCTGCAGATGCCTGCCTGAGGGCAACTGAGACAGGCTCAGCTGGACCCAAAGTTCTGACTGTGAGTAGGAAGACAAGTTTGAGTGGGTCAGCTAAAGAGCTTTGAATACCAAGAAAGGAACATGGAACTGACTTAGTATGGCAGGGGAGTGATTGTTGCTCCCTCAGGAGGGAAGGACAGGAGAGTGAGGCGAGGGATCACTCATCTGGCACTGATGTGAGGGGTGACAGAAAGAGGACCTGGGCCTGAGACACTACTTGGGTGCCTGCTCAATGTAGGAAGCCTGGTTGTCATGAGCCGAGGGTCTGTACCAGCATGAGTGGCAGTGGGATTGAAGAAGGGAGGTGTTTTGGAAACATCTCAAAAGAAGAATCTCTAGGATTCCTAGAGATTTCAGCATGCAGCGTGGAGGAGAAAAGGAAACACAGATGGCTCAGAAGCTTGATCCTGGGGTTGGTGAGTTTCAGAGTACAGTGGGTTGAGGGGCTGAGTACCTGTGGCTCCAGTATTGAGGGGCAGGGGCTAAGGAAAAAGAGACAAGGGAAAGACCTGGGTGCCAGTCTCCATTCCTGCTCCTAACCATAGCAGATCATCATTCCATTCTGAGCCCATTTTGTCACCAGTGAAATGGGGGGAAAGAATCCTGCCTACCTGATAGGGATGCTGTGGGGCCTTCATGCACTAATGGATATGCAGTGTCTGTATAGGGTAAGCCTCATAAACATTGACTATTATAATGGCTATGTGTCCGCGATCCATTTTTATTTCACAATTTAATAATAATAGCTACCATTTATTGATCACCTGCCCTGTGCCAGGCACTGTACTAAGTAATTTGTTTACACTCATGATCTGATTTCTTCCTCATAAGAATTCCATAAGAACCCCTTGCATTGTGTGGACGGTTAACTCTGAAGATCAGAGAACTCACGCAACTTTCCTGAGACAGCACAGCGGCTGAGAAGCAGTCACTGCCAACCAGCGTTCCATAAGCCCCTAACAGGTCCCGGGCACTGGTCGGAACACAAAGAGGTGTAGAATCTGGGTTGGTCCTTCAAGGCAGCTCATTGCAGCTACTGGCCTCCAGTGAAACAGGTCTCTTTGAGCTATTTGTTCTGGAATTTTATTCTCTGCTGTGAATGTTGATAGACAGGGAACAAATATCCCCTGGTTGGACTCTCTGAGCACGGGGCACTGGAAAAAGATGTCAAGCCCTGAGACCATTGTTCACGATGAGCGGCCGCACCTGCCCATCCAACAGCCTTTTATCCAACTTGGCTGGGTGCTATTATTCAGCTCTGAGCCATCACCAGGAGCTGCAAAGCAGTTAATTACAGAAGTATAATCCCCTTCTTCACAAGAAGCTGATCTTCTAGGGTTGCGAGAAGATAAGATTTATGCCTCTTTCAATTCCTTTATTCTCTCATCAACATAGATTCATATTTCAGTTTCCTGCATTGGAAACAAAAAGGAAACTCGCTCGGCCCACTGCTGCCTGAGAGAGATAAATTAGGCTACACAAAGAACCAGTCCTATAAACTCAATCTCTTCCCCTTCCTTTCATGTTTGTGATTATAAACAGAGTCAAGGGCAGTTGAAATACAACCCTCTGCCTGCCTGCCTGTCTTGTCCTAATCAAAGAGAGGAGACAAATGCAGTGATAGCAATCCATGTGGTGCCAGGAAAGAGGGACATAGGCCCCCCACGATCCCATGCCAGCCTGGTGAGCAGATCAGATAGAAAGACCTTTGTCTCCAACCATTCTCTGGTCACAAAATTGTTTCCAAAGGCCACAGAGAGAAGCTGGATGCTGCGCCACTGCAAATGCTTTCATTTTCTTGATGGCAACGTGTATGATGCTATTTGCTCAAAAGAAAGGACCTTTCGATTTGGCGGGCTGTGCAGTGTGACTGTGCCAGGGCCCCTGGCCAGTCTCAGAAGTGTGCGGACAGAGGTCGCCAGCAGATCAGACCACAGAACAAGGCCAGTGTTGGCAGCTCTGAGGAACAGAGAGGTTCCAGGCTCTTCTGACAGGAAAGGCCCACTTACTGAGAGCAGTCCTGAGCGAAATGACGTTATCCTACCCAGGAATCAGGGTGGGTTTTTGGATTGTTGTTTTTGCTGTTCAACTGCTTTTGTTGTTTTTTCGAGTGTCGCTGGAGTTATTAACTGCGGAGAGTTCAGTTGGCAGATGAGGAACAAGGGGGCCACAGAAAAGAGCCAATTTGCTCAAGGACCCAGGGCAAACGTGTGGCAGCACTGAGGATGACAAAAGTCCCGATGACAACAGTGGATCGTGGCGCTTGCTGTAAAGTGTCAGACACTGTGCTAAGCATCATCATCCCTCACCTTCATGACAACTAAAAAGTAAACATCATCACCCACACTTTACAGAGAAGGAAACTGAGGCATAGAGGAGGCAAGATACTTGTTAGAGGCCACACATTGGCCAACTCTGGAGCCCATGTAGCCCACTGCCATGCAATTCTGCCTCCCTCAGGTACGGCTTTCTGGCATCCAGACTTTTCCTGGAGGACTTTTTGCAACTGCTGATTGGCGAAGGGGAAAATCTAATTTTTTAAGGATAATGAAGAAAGGGAGGAAGGGAAGAGAAGAAACAGAATATAAGAGACAAGTTGGCCCCTGTAATAAAATGTCATCCCACAAGATGTAAGGCAACAGTCTTTAATAGACTTCGAGATTCAATTATCCCTTTATATGTGCAGCAGACCCATCATCGTCTAAATCATCCATTCGCCGTGAATACACCCTAATTCACAAATAAAATATAAAGCAAATCAAGTTTGAGAGCTGTGTAGCCTCTGAGCCATCACTCCTCGAAGACACACACCTCAGCATTCACTCCCAAGGGAAGAAGGTTAATAAAAGCCTTGGGCACTGTCTCTAGCTCAAGGCCTAGGGCATGTCTCACAGATGGCTAAGAAGAGCTCTGTGATTCAGATGCAGAATCCATCTTTTCCATTCTGGGGCTTTTAAAGCATGTTCTTCTGATCTCTCCTGGCCACCCTCTCTCAAGCCCTCAGATGGCAACTCTTGACTCTCTCTGGATCATTCCCATTTTCTCCCCCAAAAGACTTTACAGATGTGATATCTCCATTGAATGCCAACATATTCAATTTTTCTAGCAGCTGCCAGGGTAAGGACATGCCAGCTCAGCCCCACTTTTCTAGGTAGCCCCACTTTTCTTCTTTGGCACATGCATCAGCCTTGCCAGAAAGGCTGATGATCCACCCTGCACAGGTCCCATTTAACTAGCTCCTAAATCCCACTTCCTATTCTGTCCGTCTCCAGTATTTTTTTTTTTAGTTTTCCTCCTTTAAGTTATAAAAGTAATACATGTTCATTGTAACAGGTTATTCAACAGAGTTGTATAAAGCAAAGTTCCTTATTCTCATCTAGCCCAATTTCACATACCAGTGAGTTACCAACAGTCTGATATGTGCAGTGGTGTGATCTTGGCTCACTGCAACATCTGCCTCCTGGGTTCAAGTGATTCTCCTGCTCCAGCCTCCTGAGTAGCTGGGATTACAGGTGCCCACCACCACACCTGGCTAATTTTTGTATTTTTAGTACAGACGGGGTTTCACCGTGTTGGCCAGGCTGGTCTTGAACTCCTGACCTCAGGTGATCTGCCCGCCTCGGCCTCCCAAACGGTTAAACATGATTTTTGCTTTTATTTTTTTCTTACAAATATGAGATCACACCATACATATTTCTCTACATCTTGTTATTCAGAATTAACAAAATATCATGGATGTCTTTTCAGGTAAGATAAGGATGTCTGTTCCATTCTTTTCAATTATGTTGCATGCATGATTTTATGTGGTATGACTGAGACATCATTTACTAAGCCATCCTATATCCTGACCCTCCTAGATGGCATGCCTGGTCTCTCATATCTCTGAATGGCATGGTTTCCCTCCATTGATAAACCGCTTATCTTTGGCAAGGCCGTTTCCACGATGGCTTAGCCTTGGAGAGGGGAGTCCTTTTCCATGCAATATTCCTGAGAACAGTCCCTGCCAAGGTAATCTCCTGGCCTTTCAGGAAAGACCCAGACAGACTTGTAAAAGCCGGTTTCACTGCCATGAAATCTGGACTTCCTTTGGCAATGAAAAAACAAAACAAAACACAAAGCATAACTAAACCCTTAAGATATCATAAACAGGCAAGCAAAAATACAACACATAAACCCAATACCCGCCAGGAAGACTTAGGAAAACAATCCTTGAGAACGCAAAAAGACGTTGTTTATCAAAGAAAGATTTTTATAATGCCAATGCTGCATTTTATTAGAGAGAGAAGAGGCCTGAAGAGGAGGCAGCCTACAGAAGATTTCTGTACTCATTTAAACTGAATGCTAAAACACTCTATGCCTGAAATGTTGCAAAACTGGAAGTAAATTCTTTGAGGCAATCTGCTTTCCTAGAGCTCTTTTATGGAAGTCACATTCGAACGGTTTTAGAAATCAAAATGAAATCTCATAAAATGTATTAAGAGTTTGTCCCCTTTAGAACTAGTTACACCATTTCTGGAACTCTATCCTAAAAAAAAAAAACAAAAAACAAAAAACAAAAACAAAAAAAAAACAGGAATGCCAGCAAAGATACACATATGAGGATATTTATCCAGCATTACTTATAATTTTAAAAAATAGAAAACAAACTAAATGGTCTAAAACAGGAAAATGTAATAGTACGCAACTATTAAAAGAGATATTCACAGTATTGAATTCCAAGAATAAATGCTTATGTTATGATATTAAGAGAGAAATACAATTGTATGTTCAATCTGTGTAAAAATACACATAGAAAACAGTGGAAGGAAATAAATACACCAGCATATTAACAGTGGTTATCTCTGGGTGGTAGAACCACATATTTTTTTCTTCTTCTCTTTCACTTTTCTGTAATTTAAAAACTTTCTAAAATTAACCTGCATTACTTTTATAATGGATTAAATTAAACCACACAAAAAAATAGAATTGATTCTACTGACTATTTTTAGGATCATGGGCTGGTACATATGACAAGGAACAGGCATGGATTAGGCTAAGGGTTTTCTGGGTTGGGGGCAGTGATGGAGAAAATCCTCCAGCTTTTTGGTATCTTTAAGGGTGTGGACCCTCTAATCCAATACCTTCTACAGAACAATTAGCACACAATGAAAACTTAATAACATCAAATAGATGACATTGCCAATTCACTCGACATTTAGTATGCACATACTATGTGCCAGGCACTAGGAGG
Source organism: Homo sapiens (assembly GCF_000001405.40). Lineage (NCBI taxonomy): Eukaryota > Metazoa > Chordata > Mammalia > Primates > Hominidae > Homo > Homo sapiens. The sequence continues at coordinate 45,363,048 of NC_000011.10, read as the reverse complement.
AAATAACCAACTTTGTATTCTAGATCATTTAAAAAAAAAATCAAAACTACACTTTGTCCCTATCATCATATATGAAATGTAGCACATTGATTCCCTCAATTTTCCTTCCATTGTTTTCAGAAAGGCAAACAAAAAGAAAAATGAACAAGTTGAGATTTGCCGTGGACATCAGGAAGGAACATATTGGAAGTAATCCCAGGACCTTCAACCGTCTCTGTTAAGTGTGTTTATTCTTCGTTAGAGCCAGCTCTGGGAAAAGAGGCAGCCAGGCAGTTATCAAACCAAGGTTTCCAGTTTCTCCTGCCTGTTCTGAAAAATTTTGACAGATGGGTCCTCTCAGCAGGACCAGTAAATTGTTATTAATCCATTCATTCAATCAATACCTACTATGTGTCACCCTCTTTTAGGAGCTGGGAGCAATGCAGAGAATCAAGGTCCTTGCACTCATGGTACTTACATTCTAATGCAAGAGACAGGCAACAGACAAATAAAATAGAAACTAATATTATTCAGGTCATGATCACTGCTATGGAAAAATTAATAAGACAGATTAAGGAATAGAGTGACAAAAGGCTCTTTTCTAGATAGAGTATTAAGAAAAGTCTTCCCTAAAGAGGTGATATTTGAGCAGATGACTGAGTAATTGAGAGGATTGAGTGAGATGAGTATTTGGAGTAGTGTTCTATGTTGAAAGAGCAAATGCAAAGGCCCTGAGGCAGGAATGCGCAAGAAAAGCCATCTAGCAGGAGCACTGTGAGCAAAGAGGAGAACAGATAGAAAGTGAAGTCAGGGATGAAGTCAGGCTAGATCATGTAGGGTCTTTTGGGGCATGGTAAAGGCTTCTGATTGTATTCTAAGAGTGATGAGGGGCCACTGGATAGTTTTGAGCTGGTGGGGTGGGGTAAAATGATCTGATTCAGGTTTTAAAAAATCACTCTGGCTACCATGTCAGGGGAACAAGTGTAAATACGAATTTGAGCTAAGATGCTGTTGCAGAGACCCCGTGAAAGATGATGGCGGGGATGATGAGAAGCAGTACAATTCGAGGTGTATTTTTAAGATGGAGTTCATGACTGAATGTGAGGCAAGAGCAGAAAAGCATCAAGGAAGATTCTAAGGTCTTCTGGCATAAGAAACTGAGTAAATGTTGGTGCTATTTAGTGATATGGAAATACGGGGGGAGGAGTGGGTGTTTTGTTTTGTTTTAAAGGGACATAGCAGATGCTGTTGATACCCAGCCCATATCCCTTTGGCTTTACCACATCAGTGCACACTGGTTTACTTTCAACTGTAGCATTTGCATCTTTTTGCCTGCGGGTTTTCTCCTAAACTGGAGAGAACCACTCTGCCTGTGTGCCCAGCACACCACATGGGAGCAGCTGTTAATAACCTACACTCACAAGTTGGTGTATAAATACCTCAGCTCCCTTCCCTGAGTGGGAGTGGGAAGACAGATCATTCTGACCTGTGTGTCCTACACCACCATTCCCAGGATTCACCAGTGGAATTGAGCTCCAGTCTTCCACGGGAGTAGCAATCCTTTATTGGCCTTTCTCCCTTCCCAGCTTGTTCTCAATTCCCTGCCAACGGTTCCTGAACCTCCCAAATAAATTGCTTACGCTTGAATCCTTGCCTCTGGATCTGGTCTGGGAGAATCCAAACTAAGAGAGGGAAATCAAAAACAACTTCCAATTCCTTTTACCCCATTTTTCTTTCCATCTACTGCTAATCTCACCTTTTGGTCATTCATTCTCACTGCCTGTAGCAGGACAATGGCAGCAGAATCAAGATAATCAGTGAACCTCGGTTCTATATGGTAGGAACCAAATGGAGTAATTTTAATAAACCAGATTGCCACCTGCTCTCCCCATCCTAATCCCTGGGCCTGCTAATCATTAGTCTCCTTTTCTTTTCCAACTACTCCAATGCAGCGACCTCACCTTGCTTTCAAATTTTCAAAAATAGCAAAGAATAGAAAGGACGTTGATCTGAGAGAATCTAGGGAGCTGCCAAATGGGACAGGCAGGGGAATGAAGGATTTTTTTCTGTCCCCCTTCTTCACTACACAGTTCAGCAAATGCCTGGAGACTGGAAGTCCACAAACTATCAGCAGCCACATCAAATGCTATTTATTAAGCATTGCCTCTATGAGGAACTAAATCCTCTCATCAAAAGCTGGGGACAAAGAGACCTGACTTGCCGTATGCCATCTCTCTTAGGGAAGCACATTTGTTTACACAGTAGCATTTTATATGTCACAAATGACTCAGAATCATCACTTTCCATTTGCTCTGTTGGTATGGACTGACTGTTGGGGGGAGGGGGTGAAAAAAAAAAAAAAAGCAAAAGCTGCCCAAAGATCCTTTGGCTTGAGCAAAAAAATGCTTGGTACAAATGAACTGTTGTCAATGTCCATCAGGCACTATGTAAACATGGCCACCCCTTCTACAAATGAGAAGGTAGTGGATGCATAGCCATGTTGCAGCAAGGATGCTGGAATCTGTACCCCTGGCATATCAAGGGGCACTGAGATTGGACACTGGCTGTGGAATCAGTTAGATCTGGGATCAAACTCCTGGCTAGCCATTTACTAGCTGGTGACTTTAGGGATGATATTATTTAGCTTCTTTGGGCCTTGGATATCTCACGTACTTAGTGGAGATAATAATATACTCATTCATGGCGGGGCTGAGATGGATAACAGTCAGTGACAAGCAGAGCAGGCATTGCATCGCTATTAGTTCCCTCCTCTGTTCAGCTACTTGTAGCTGAGGGCAACCTGCAAATCTACCCTGACTCATTAAAGGCCCGAGAAAAAAACATTTCAGTGATTTTCAAGACAAGGGATTGTCACTGAGAAAACAAGGATGATGCCCATAATAAATGTTCCTCCCCAGGCCCTCGGTGCTTCTTCCCAAGGTCCCTGTGCGGTAGGTGTGAGCTTCTTGAACACTATCTCATACTTCTGCATCCTAGCACTAACTGCAGGGCCTGGCGCACAGTAGGAAAGCAAGCTTGGTGCTTTGGAAGTAGCACAAACTTCTGAGTCAGACGAGCCTGGGTTCAAGTTTCAGTTCTGCCACTTGCCTTTGAGTAACTTACTTCCATGAGCCTTGGTATCCTTATCTGTAAAACATCTAATGATGTCCACTTTACAGTGTTGAACTGAGATAAGAGATGCAGAGCCTAGTACAGTGCTTGGAACATTGTAGACACTCAAAAAATGTTACCCTTTATTAAGAAATAATGAACTCATGGATAAGAAGAACTCGATTCAATGAACAACACACACCTCCACACACACACACATACACACACACAATAAAAACATGCCATATCACATTTTCGTTTATGCATATCAAGATGTAGCCCCAGCTATTTATTATAGTGCAAAGGTTTCTTCACCTCTTTGTGCAGCATAATCATAGCAAGCTCTGATCTGTACTTGGGATGTACAGACTGAACAGATCACACAGTCCACCCCATCCCACCTCCCATCACCTCTCCATCCCAACACACATGTAAGGAAAATCTGGTTACAAATAAGGCCAAGGTAACCTCACAGCATCTCTCTCCAAATATATATTAACACAAATGGAATTCTCCTCTTTGCAGTGGAAAAAACAGACAGATGCCACCTTAATCAGTGATCAGATGTCATCGACAGCAATGTGTCTTATTAACAGCACCAATAATAAGACATATTGATATTATGTACTCCAGTATGATGCATGGAGAAACTTCAAAACCCCAGTCTAATCATGAGAAAATACTGGACAAATCCAAACTGAGTAACAATCTAAAAAATAACTGAGCAGTACTCTTAAAAAGTGTTAAGGTCACGAAAGACAAGGAAATAATGAGGAACCATCACAGATTGGAGAAGACATAAAAACTAAATGCTATGTAGGACCCTGAACTGGATCTGAATGAAGTTTGTAGTTCTTTTTTTTTTTTTTTTGTTAAACATCGAGGTAGCCTCAAAGGGGAAAAAGATTGACAAAAGATCCAACCAAAAGGTTCATGGAAGATGGAAAGCTAATCCTTCTGAATTTGGCTGAACAATTGGGGATGAGGAAGATTTATGAAAAGATTAAAGTCTAAGCTCCATTTTTTTCTTTTTCTTTTTTTAACCTGAGCACCAATAGTATTTTCTCTCTTATCCTTATCCCCTCAAATCCAACCTACAGTGAGAGAATAAATTTGAGCCACTTCATCGTAGTTTCAGTGGCATAATAAGCTCCTGTATTTTCATCAGTTATCAATATAAACATTAGATGGCATAAAATTAGATGGCTCTTTAGAAATAATGTGTCATGTAACTGCCAAACTGAGGTGTAATCCAAGGTTTAATATTTTCTAAAAAGTGGGCCTCTTACTTTTTAGAAGAAGTGCAGCCCACCTGCCCAATTTCAGTTAAGTTTCACTTTTAAAGTTGCACAGGAGCCCAAGTAAGCCTTCACTTTGTATCTGAGCAGAACGAGGGCCCAGGAAAGGAAAGTTGCTCATGCTCTGCCCATGTGGTGGTGAACAGAACCACTGCAGGATACCACACTACTTTCTCCCAGCTGCTATGATTTACTGCAGCCTTATTGTCCTGACCAAGAATGAGACCAGTTTACAAGTATTATGCAGTCACAGACACATGGGCCCTACCTAGACCTCTGAATCAGACTCCTTAATGCTGAAGCCTAAACATCTCTACCAAGAAAAGTGTTCTCTAAGACTCAAGTACAGAGCATGTGCTGAGACAAGATTCTTCAAGCTGGTATGTGTGTATGTGCGGGCACACGCATGCTTGTACAAGTCTTAAGATGTCTAGGACATATCTGTAGAGTTGTTCTATATCATTTCCATGTTCCTTCCCAGACCCTCTGCCCTCCATCCCAAATGCTTTTCTTGCCCCTCTCCACTGTGTCTTTGCCCACATCTTGTGCTTCAGGCTCCACTCTATGTAGCATTTGACCCCCTGGCCTTTACCAGCCTTCCTGTTTCAATGTACCTGAGATGAGATGGCAGCAGCTTTGGGGAAGCAGAATCCATTCGTACATTCATTCATTCATTCATTCATATGTCACAGACTATTTGAAGTTCTGGGGATACAGTCATACAATATAGACAAGATGTTTATTTTCAGGGAGCTTACATATTAATGGGAGGAGACAGTCAATAAACAAAGGAAGATACAAGAAAATAGCAGTAATGATGAGTGTTGTGGTGAAACTGAATCAGGATGACGTGACAGAGAGTAACAAGGGGGTACATGAGTTTGGGTGGTCAAGGGAGGACTTATTTGAAGAGGTCACATTGAAATTCAGCTCTAAACAAGAGAGGGCCAGCTCTGCAATAACTGGGTGAAGAGGGTTCCAGCAAAGGGAACAGCTAGTGCAAGGACCCTAAGGCAGGATAAAACTTGGCAGGTTGAAGAAAGAAAGATAGTATGTCTGGATTATAGTGAGTGAAGGGGTAGGGAGTGGTACCAGATTGAGTCCAGATCACATAGGGCACAGTAATTAGTGGGGGAAGACAATAATTCTAAACACAAAAGTGATAGAATCTAACTTACATTTTAAACAAATATTTTGGCTGCTACTGTGTGGTGAATGGACTGGGATGGTGAAAATGGGTCAGAAGATTAGAAGCAGGGAAGTTAAATGAAAAGGATCTTGCAGTTAACCAGGTAAAGGATGATGATGCCTGGGTTAGGGTGGTGGAGATAAGAACAGTGAATGGATTTAGGATATATTTTAGAATAAAAGCGGATCGAATTTGTTGATGGGTGAGCTGTGGGGAATGAAAGAGGGAATCAAGATTGTTCCCAGGTTTTTGCTTTGAGTGCACTAATGATGGCACCATTAGTTGACATAAGGAGCCCTGGGAGAGGAAGAGATTGGGGGCAGGAAAGGAAGAGTTTGACTTAGACATGTTAATTTGAGATATTTATTAATGAACCCACTGAAGCCCCCATCTCATACTTTATATCTATCACTATACCAAGAACTATGAGATCCAAGACCTTGCCTTCCTTTTCAATTCCTTGTTAAGCAGGAATAAAGTGAAAAATTACTGAATAAAATATTCAGTTTTTTTGCAAAACACTCTTACGTTCAGAGGTTTGGTAGCAGAGCCATATCTTCCCAGGCAGGCATAAGTAGCCAATCAATCTCCATGTCATACCAAGCAACGGTCCAAGGGGCAAACTAATTAAAAATTTAATCCCATGATTTTCATCTTAATCTCTTTTTCCCATTAGCTTTGATCAATGCCTACAACTACAATTTAACCAAACTTTTCATTTAGATAAATGACTCAGTGGGGTACCTATTTAGTCCGTTTGTTATGAACCAATGGATAACTAAAATGTATATGCTAATTACTAAAGACCACACACTAATTTTCAAAGCATTTTATTAGCACAAAAGCTGTGTTCCTGTTATCAAATGAAATGCGCTTCCTATGTTACACTCAGTAGTTGTTCAAACCAGTTTCTCTTGACTTCAGTAGCCAAATTGCAGCATGCTGTGTAGGTACACAGTGCACTTGAGAAATGTCTGCACATCCCAACCCTGCACTATATCACAAGCAGTAGTGAAAGGTGTAGCAAATAAGAAGATTCCATGAACTTCTCAGCTACCTGAGACTTCTGCTGCACCCTGAAAAAAAAAATCAGGCTAGAAACCACATAAAACAACTAAACCAAACTGAATGCAGGGGCTGCTATGAGGAAGAATGAACTTTGCAGCCTGTTCCAAATGCTAAGGTGAAGGAGGTCCTTCCTGGCTCTGCTCACTAGGTGTGCAAGTCAGGAGATATTCATTTCGTGATCATCCTTTCCTATCACCTGTGGTGAAATTTCTACTGCTTTCAAGTCTTCCAGCCCCTATTTGAATGCCAAAATTCTTAAGTTCCTTCAAGTAAAAGAGATCTTCATTTTAAAAATAAAAGTCAATGGCTCTGGTCTCCTGTAGCCTTTTCAGCCCCTGTAACAGTGCTTTCTCACTTAGATTTTCACTGTCACTTCAATAAAGGGGTGAGAAGAGAGAACTGGCCTGCGATCAATGAAAACTATTCAGTAAAAACTCTTCATGCCAGACATGGCCCCAGAAACAGGAGGAAAGTTTACCAGACAGCAGGAGTGGGTGGTGGCTGGGTCCAGTGGAATGGGTAAACCTAAAAGGGGACGAAAATGGTTTTCAGGCTGCTGTGGCCCTCTCTACACACAAATTTTGTGGCCATGAAGTCCTGGCTACTAAGCATCATTGTCTTTGCGCAACCGCTGCACCTGCCACTTCCCTCAACCCATTAATAATCGGGTTCCTGGGAGGATTTTCATCCCCAATTTACTGGACATGCCTCCGAGCCACCTCCCCGCTCCGGCCCTCCCTCTCGTTGGTCGCCTTCAGACTCCCCCACACGCGGGACGGCCCCTCCCCCCACCCTCCTCACCGGCTAGCCGCGGCCAGCAGAGCCTTCGAGCGGCTCTGTCAGGCTGCCCTGGAGCGTAAGGAAGAAGAAGGCGCGAAGGAAGAAGACTTCCTCATATTCTTGGCTTCCAAGGGGCGCTAGGGCAACAGAGGGGGAAATGACGTAGCTTCCATCCCGGAAGCGAAAATTGGGCGCGGGTCCAGGAAGCCGCCATGTTGTGTGTGGCGGATGAGAATTTCAGCGCTCAGCATCTGGGTACCAGCAGAGAGGCCCCACAGAGAGGCTAGACTAACCGTCTCCGCCTCCTCTCCTTTCTCTGCTCCTCCCCTCCTCCCATCCCCCCTCCCTCTCCTTTCTCAGTGTACTAAATGAGTGCTTCAGAGCCCAGTGAATAGATGGACAAACATTTAAATTTCCTAGCCGGAAACACTGAAAAGATGAACTGTCAAGAGGCGTTTGAACCAGAGGGACTCCATCTTGAATAGGGGCTGCATAAAAGAAGGTGGAGACCTGCTGGGATGCATTCCCAGGAGGTTAGGCATTCTAAGTCACAGGATGAGACAGGGAGGTCAGCACAAGATACAGGTCACAAAGACCCTGCTGGTAAAACAGGATACTTAAAGAAGCCGGCCAAAATCCACCAAAACCAAGATTGGCAATGAAAGTGAACTCTGGTTGTCCCCACTGCTCATCATATGCTAATTATAATACATTAGCTTGCTGAAAGACTCTCCCACCAGCACCATGAGCATTTACAAATGCCATGGCGATGTTAGGAAGTTACTCTATATGATCTGAAGGCGAGGGTGGAACCCTCAGTTCTGGGAATTGCCACTCCTTTCCCCAGAATACTCTTGACTAATCTACCCCTTGTTTAGTGTATAATCAATAAATAACGTATACACAGTTGAACAGCCCATGCCGCTGTTCTGCCTATGGTGTAGCCAATCGTTTATTCCTTTACTTTTTTAATAAACTTGCTTTCACTTTACTCTTTGAACTTGCCCCAAATTCTTCGTTGCTTAAAGTCTAAGAATCCTCTCTTGGGGTCTGGATGGGGACCCCTTTTCATTAACATAACCACTTTACAATAGTTGAGGGTTTCAAGCACCAGGCTGGTGAGTACAGAGTACATGGCCCTGCTTTTCTTGACTTTGGTTACTTGGACTCAGGCCACAGCTGAAGAATACAGGAGGGAGGGAGGGAGAGAGAGAGATCATTGGGAAGCAGGTGGCGGCAGTGGTGGTGGTGGATTGGGTGTGTGAAATTTGCAGAGTTGGGGTGACTGCCAGGCTTCTGGGCTGATAGCTGGGAGAATGTTGGGCCATCACATACTAAAAGGGAACCACAGGAGAAGAAGCTGATGTGTGGGAAGTTTGGTTTTACATATATTAAGCCTTGAAGGTCTTCTAGGGGAGAAACTCAACAGGCCAATGGATGTGCCTGGTTTGATTTTTTAGATGACAGGCCTGAGCTAGAAATCTGTGCCTTAGATTCTTGTATATGAATGGTGCTAGAGCAGGAGCTTAGAAGAAATTGCCTGGTGGAGAGAATACCCTTTGGGAAAGAGGCGCAGGACAGAGTGTCAAGAGCTCTTCTACTAAAGAAAGGGAAGATGAGCAGGCAGCCCTAGGAGAGGAACCAGGGAAATGCGGCATTGCAGGGAGCAAGGGAAGAGCACTTCAGGAAGAGTAATTAGGTCAGTTTTGCTGATAAATTAGTGAGATGACTGAGCAGACTTTGTTGTTACCTGGAGCAGATTCCTTGGAATGGCTGGAGAAGGTCAGCTTGTGGTGAGTTGAGGAATAAGTGAGGGTGATGGTGAGAAAATGGAGATAAATGAACATAGGCAAATCTTCCAAGAAGTTGTCTGTGAAGAAATGAGAGTGATTCTGAAAGGAAAATGATGATTTTTAATTATTATTTTTTAAGATTGGAGAAACATAAGCTTGTTTTGGGGGGTTTTTGTTTTGTTTTGTTTTCTTGAGATGTAGTCTCACTCTGTTGCCGAGGCTGGAGTGCATTGGTGTAATATTGGCTCACTGCAACCTCTGCCACTGGGGTTCAAATGATTCTCCTACTTTAGCCTCCTGAGTAGCTCTGATTGCAGGCACGCGCCACCACGCTAGGCTAATTTTTGTATTTTTAGTAGAGATGGGGTTTCACCATGTTTGCCAGGCTGGTCTCAAACTCCTGACCTCAGTTGCTCCCACCTTGGCCTCCCAAAGTGCTGGGATTACAGGCACGAGCCACCACACCCAGCCAAAGCTTGTTTAAATATTGATGAGAAGGAGCCAGGGATTTTTTATGTTGATCAGCCCATGGACAAACTGAAGAGTGGCCTTGACTGTTTCCTGGCAAATGATAGTAAAGACCCTTGAGGAAAGAGTGCCTCTTTCTAATTCACACACATGGCCAGAGCAGCCGTGGATGAAAGTTTGATGCTGGAAGGTGAAGTATGTCCTGTCTTGCAGTGTGCATTTTGCCTAGGAAAGGGAGGTGAGATCATTGAAGGAAGGAGATGAAGTGCCTGAGAAGTTTGAGATCAGTGGAGGATGTGTGCGTGGCTGTAGGGGTTGGGGGGATAGCAGAGCAAGCAGATTTTAGCCATGTAGATTCCTAGATAGTGACTCTACAGTAACCTTAAAATGTCTGAAATAGGATAATAGCCTCTTTTTTTTTTTTTTTTTTTGACAGAGTCTTGCTCTGTTGCCCAGGCTGGAGTGCAGTGGCACCATTTCGGCTCACTGCGACCTCTGCCTCCAGGGTTCAAGCGATTCTCATGCCTCACCCTCCAAAGTAGCTGGGATTACAGGCGTGTGCCACCACACCTGGCTAATTTTTGTATTTTTAGTAGAGAGACAGGGTTTCACCATGTTGGCCAGGCTGGTCTCGAACTCCTGACCTCAAGTGATCCACCCACCTTGACCTCCCAAAGTGTTGGGATTACAGGCGTGAGCCACTGCGCCCGGCCCAGCCTCCTTTATAGTAGGAGTCAGGAGACAGCAGATGACCAGAGACTGCAGCCAGTGCCATGTATTGGTTTTGGTACCCATACTCAGCTCTCAGTTTTCCATGTCCTGTTGTTTACCCTACTTGTCTGACTTTAAAATGTCTTTTTGTTATTGGGAATCTGATAAGTTCTATCTTAATATGCATTTTTATTACTTGTAATTTTACAGATCTCTCAGTGAATTCTAGTGTTGACCAGTACACAGCTGAGCTTACTCAAGACCAAGAGGCTAAGTGGTTCCTTGGCCCACCTAAGACCTACAGATTGAGGCCTAGAATCTGCACTTTTTAGCTGTGCAAAATGCTGCCATTATTATTTTATAAGAAGTGACTTTTCTATGAGCCAAGTACTTATTACAACCCCAATAACCAAAACAATGCTGTATAATTTTTAAAGAGGCAGTTTCAGGGGGACTTGCCTTGGTCTGGACGTACACTGGGGTTCCCAAATGGCTATATACACACCCAGCACTGCTCTGCTTTCCCCAGAGGTACCACTGCAGAAGCTGTATTTTAATAACCATTCCCCAGGTACTTTGGTTGCACTATAAAATTTGGGAATGATTGGTGTAGACTGGCAGTGGTATATAATGGATTGAGACAGATGCATCCCCAGGGGTAAAGTCCTCACTAGCTCGTATCGCTGAGGAATGATACCCCTGAAGTCTGTATGAGGAATCAACGAAATCATCAATGTTCATATTATCTCATTTTCTTGAGGCATTTCTAGAAAACTGAGCTAGCTTTTTGCCCCTCTATTTTTAGTGTCTTGGCAGGCAGATTGAGATGATTTAAACCTTGCTGATCATCTTGTCTCTTACTGCAAACTTGTTTTCCATTTTGAAGAGCAGTGGGATGTTAACGCTCTTTCATAGGGAAATGTCTTTTGTGAAAGTGGAACAAGAGGCCAGCTTTAGAAATGCATCAGGGCTTCTGCTTCCAGGAAAATGGAGTAAATGTACTTTCTCTTCTTCCTCCCACAAAGTGCAACTAAAACCCCTGGGCATTATACAAAAAACAAACATAAGAAGACTTAGAAAGGTGGAATGACTAGGAACCTTGTGATCTAAGGAGCACCATGCTGGCAAATTTTCTGGGTTTTCCTTTGCCTCATATATTCCAAACCTAGAGCTGAGGAAGCCAGTGACCCAGTAATGCTAACGGCATCAGACAAAAAAAAAAAAAAAGTCCCAAGAAAAGCCACCTTTCTTAAGATAAAGGACTAAGAATGGGGCAACTTAGCAAGACAGAAGGCTTTTGGACAATAACTGCTTGACTCCAGCCAAAGACCACCAACAAAACAAACAAAAAAGTACTTCCCCTGTATCTGCTGATATCTATCTAAATGTTTGTAGAGGAAATATTTAAGACAATTATAAGTGGGAGAAGGTAAAGGGATATAGAGGATGGTAAAAATTTCTCCACTGCATTCAAATTGGTAAAATGATGACCCCAGAGAATGCGATATTATGTATATATTAAATGAAATACCTAGAGCAACCACTAAAAAGAATATACAGAAAGACACTCAAAAACACTAGATAAATAAAAATGAGATTCAACAAAAAAGTTAAAATAACTCACAGGAAGGCAAGAAAGAGAAAACAGAAATGAGAATAGAAAATACAAAATGGTAGACTTAAACCTTAACATATCAATAATTACATTAAATGTCAATGGTCTAAATACACCAATTAAAACACACAGATTGGCAGAGTAGAGGAAAATGATGACCTAGCTACATGCCACCTGTAAGAAATTCTCACTTCAAATTTAACAATATAGGCAGATTGAAAGTGAAAGGATGGAAAAAATATATCATGCAAACAATCAAAGTGGGAGTAGCTATATTAGCATCAGATAAGGTAAATTTCAGGGCAAAGAAAATTACCAGAGATAGAGAACAATGTGACAAAATGATAAAAGGGTCAATCCATCAAGAAGAAATATCAACCCTAAATGTGTACACACCAAATAACAGCTGCAAAATATGTGAAGCAAAAAATAGATACGTTAAAAGGAGAACTGGACAAATCCACACCCCTCTCTCAATAATTAATGGGACAGCTAGACAGAAAATCAGCAAGGATATAGAAAAATTCAGCAACACTATCAATCAAAATGATCTTATCAGCATTCATAGAATGCTCCACCTGACAACAGAAGGTATGTTCTTTTTAAGTGCCCAGGGAACATACTCCAAAAATCGACCACATTCTGGGCTATGAAACAGACTTTAACGCATTTGAAAGAGTTAAAATCATACCAAGTGTGTTCTCTGACCACTGTGGAATCAAATTAGAGAACGGCAACAGAAAGATGACAGTAAACTCACCCAAACAGGTGGAAACTAAGCAACACGTTTCTAAATATTCCATGGGTCAAAGTGGAAGTCTCAAGGGAAACAAAAGAATATGCTGTACTGGATGAAAATGAAAATAAGCATATCAAAATTTGTAGAAGAGAGCTAAGCAGTGCTGAGGGAAATTTATAGCACTAAATGCATAGCATACATTAGAAGAAAGGAAAACTCTCATCAACAATCTTAGCTCCCAACTACAGTACCTAGAAAAAGAAAAGCAAATTAAACCCATAACAAGCTGAAAGAAAGAAATAATAAAGAGCAAAGTCAAGAAATAGAAAGCAATAAAACTATTAAAGCAACTAAAAAAAAAGAGCTGGTTTTTTGAAAATATTTTCTAAAGGATAAAACTCTAGCAAGACAGACAAAAAAGAAGAATATTAGGTAACATTCTAATATCACCAATATTAGGAATGAAACAGAGGATATTACTACAGGTTCTCCAGAATAAGCAAGATAATAAAGGAATACAGTTGACCCTCTTCAGGAGGATGAAGGCACACACTCTCAAGTCAGGCTGCCAGATGAGCCATTACAACATGGCATGTTGTAATGAGGTAACATTTGGGAATGATGGATATGTTCATTATCTGGATTATGGTAATGGTTTCATGAGAGTATACATATGCCAAAACTTATTAAATTGTATGTTTTTAAGTGTTCAGCTTATTGTAGGTCACTTAAATAAAGGTTAAAAGAAAGCATTATCAAATCTTAATCTTTGCCATATGTATTTATTTCAGATTCTCCACTTACAAACACAGATCATTTTTTTATCCCAAACCTATTTTCCCCCATTTCCTATATATAAGCACTAGGAAATTGAATTTGGTGTTTTTGATCCCCACGCATAATTTTCTATATTAGTGCAGAAGTCTTTATAAACATTATATAACATAGTTTTGTATTACTTAATATTGTACATAAATGAAGTATCTATCATTCTGTAATTTGCTTTCTTTGTTTAACATATTTATGAATAAATTACATAACTTTAACAAAAACTTAAGGGAGGTATTATTACCATTTTACAGATGGAGAGAGAAACTGAGGTTCACCCTGATTAGGTGAACCATTTCTTGCCAAAGGTGATTATGAAGCCAGGATTGAGCCAGGTCTGACCTGGGTCAAAGCCAGAGCTTTAAACAGTGACCACAGGTACTTTGGGGGAGATTTTCCTCAAGGGCTCCCTTGTTTGTGCTTCCTGGGATTGTCATGAGCAGCACCCTTCCAGGCAATTTGCTCTTCTAGACTGTTCTAGACCACACTGGTTTGTCTGGCTACCTGGCATTCAGGTTGGGTCAGGCATTGCTTTGCCATATCCAGCTGTACTTTGCCGGGATCAAAGATAGTACCTTTGCCCTGCCTTGCTCCTTCTATTAATACTACTCCCTGGTCTAAATAAGGCCTGCCTTTTTTTGTCTAGATAGGGCTTCTTAACCTCTTTCATGTCAGGGATACCTCTGGCAGGGAAGCCTAGGGGCACCTTGGAATAAAACTTTTTAAATGCTGAAGACACATATGATTACAGCCTTATTGAAATACAAAATATATTTTAAAATGGTGATTGAATCATACATATGCTCCTTTTTTTTTTTTTTTGAGATGGAGTCTCCCTCTGTCACCCAAGCTGGAGTGCAGTGTTGCGATCTCAGCTCACTGCAACCTCTGCCTCCTGGGTTCAAGTGATTCTCCTGCTTCAGCCTCCAGAGTAGCTGTGATTACAGGTTCCTGCCACCATGCCTGGCTAATTTTTGTATTTTTAGTTGAGACAGGGTTTCACCATGTTGACTAGACTGGTCTCGAACTCCTGACCTCAAGTGATCTGCCTGCTTCAGCATCCCAAAATGCTGGGACTACAGGCGTGAGCCACCATACCTGGCCGATATATGCTTCTTTATTTATGCTTTTATGTTACAAGGTCTAATAGTGGATCTAATTGCCAATTTTGCTGCACAGATGAGCCTGAGCTTGATTTCAACATATCTGTAGCAACTGTAATACATGAAAATGTCGGTGATTTCTATTGGTGACAATGAGGACTGATAACATTACTATGGTTTGTTGCCTGCTTTCCAAACCAAAGTGCTACATTTCGGTTGGAAGTTAGCAAACATAGATATATTTTTCCTCATTTGAGTTCACAGACCCCTGAATTCCCTCCACAAACATGTTACGGGTCCGTGGACCCCTGGATAAAAGTCACTGGACTAGCACCTTCCCAGAGAACCAGGAATTAGAGGGGCTTGGAAGCAGCTGGTTTTTGGGGCAGACAGAAAGCTGGTCCCAGGGTTCCGTGTTTTATGTTAACGACAATCATCTCTCCGTTTTCCTGATTAAGAGCTGCTGTGGAGCCTCATGCACTATTTGACTTAGCCAGGAACTTCAAAAGCAGATGCCTGACAAGAATAACTCTTTACTCTTAGATTTAGGGCAGAGCATGATAACAAAGTCCTGAGCAAAGCTTTGCAAATGTTCAGTTTTCAGTGATGTAGTATAATTCTGCGGGGCATTTGTTACAAACACATTTTTTTCCAAAGAAAATTGTTTTATGGCTTAATGTGAAAGCAACTCTCCTAGCAGACTCTCGCCTGCCTCACCAAAGCCCCTTGCAGGGCCCCTCTGGTTCCCGACCTCAAAGAATGCCCTGCAGTTTGTGAGGAGCCCACGAGATCTGCTTTAAAAAGGTCAGGCACTATATTTTGTCATTTGTGAAGCTTACCATATTTGCAATCCTGCTCTCAGCCTCCCTGTGGCTCAATTAACTGCTGATGATACCTTCCAGTGTGGCAAGGCCCGAGGCCTTCTCTCTGCCTCATTATTTTATACATTTTGAAACGCTGGCTTTTTAAGTTAGAGATTAATTTTCCTGCACCGAGGGGGGTGTTAGTGGAAGGAAGCATGCTTTTACTTGGCAGGAAAAAAAAATCCTCCAACATGGTCATACCAATTTATACCATACTAGCGATATGTAAGAATTTCAGTTGTTTCATCTTTGTCAGCATTTGATATTTTTCCATCATTTTCATTTCAGCCATTATGTTTTAATTTGCATGTAATGTGTTTATTGGCCATTTGGACACCTTGTTTTCTAAAATGCCTGTTCAAATATTTCACACATTTTTCTATTGAGTTTTATTCCTTTTTTAAAAAATTGATTCACAGGAATTTGTTATATATCCTAAATATAAGTCCACTGTTTGGCTATATGAATTGCAAATATCTTTTCCAAATCTGTAGTTTGCTGTTTTACCCTATTAGTAGTGTCTTTTGATAGGCAAAAGAGCTAATTTTAATAAAGTCCAGTTTACTTATTTCCTTTGTGGGTGGTGCTACTGTTAAGATTTTTTTTTTTAAGAAGTTGGGTAGCCTCGCTGACGTTAAGATGCACTGGTGCAGTGTTTTCGCTGCTTAGCCTGTCCTGTGGAGGGCTTGTGTTCACACGCCAGGCCTGTGTACCCCTGGGAAGGCGCCATGCTTAGAGTAGCACCGTACAAGAAATATATGATGCAAGCCATGTGTGTTATTTAGATTTTTCTAGTAGCCACATTTACAAAAGCAAAAAGTAAAAGATGAAATTAATTTTGATAGTATATTTTATTTAACTAAATATATCTAGTACTCAGGCCATTTCAATGCTTAAAAATTCACTCTGCTCTTTGGGAGACCAAGGCAGGCGGATCATGAGGTCAAGAGATCAAGACCATCCTGGTCAACATGGTGAAACCCCATCTCTACCAAAAAATTAGCCGGGCGTGGTGGTGCGAGCCTGTAGTCACCGCTACTCAGGAGGCTGAAGCAGGGGAGGGGGGCTTGAACCTGGGAGGCGGAGATAGCAGTGAGCCGAGATCGTGCCACTGCACTCCAGCCTGGTGACAGAGGGAGACTCCATCTCAAACAAACAAACAAATTACTGTGCTTTGGTTTTGAAATGAGATTTAAATTTTAGTCACACTAGCCACGTACACATGGTAAGTAGTCACATCTCTCTGACTGTTATCATATTGGACAGTACAGGTTTAAAAGTTGACAATCAGCTCTGGAGGCAAATGACCTGGGTTCTAATATGGCTGTGTCCCTTTATAACAATAGCTAACACCTATGGACTGCTTCCTCCTTAGCAGGCTCTGTCCATAAGAAAATAAAGACACTGAGGGCCTCAGGCATACCAAGTACTGTGCATGATTTATATTATTTAATCCTTCCAAACCATGCGAGGTAGGTAATGTTCTTACCCCCAGTGGTGGTTAATTTTATGTGTCAATGTGGTAGGTTGTAGCACCCAGTTGCTAGGTCAAGCACCAGTCCAGATGTTGCTGGGAAGGTATTTTTTTAGGTGATTTTAGGTGATTAACATTTGAATCAGTAGACTTTGAGTAAAGTACATTACCCTCTTTAATGTGAGTAGGTCTCCTCCAATCAGTTGAAGGCCTTAAGAAAAAAGATTGAGGTCCCGCCAGGAGGACAGAACTCTGCCTCCAGACTGCCTTTGGACTCAAAACTGCAACAATCAACTTCTGCTGGAATTTCCAGACTGCCAGTCACCACTGCAAAGTTTGCATTTTCCAGCCCCCACCATTGCATGAACCAATTCCCTAACATAAAGTCTCTCTCTCTCCCACACTGCTTCCCCTCAGCGCCCCCACACCCACATCCTATTAGTTCTATTTCTCTAGAGAACACTGTCAAATATACTACCCATCCCAATTTCCCTCAATAGGGAAACTGAGGCAGCTTGGCTCCAGAGCTCATGCTTTTAACCTCTGTGCTGCCTCCAGCCATTTGGAAAACTCCTTAACTTATTTAGGTCTCAATTTTGTTATTGGCAAACTAAGATGAGTAGTGCCTACGCAATAGGTTTGTTGTGAGGACTGTTTGAGATGACATAAAGCACCTGGCATGTAGTAAGTACTCAATGCAAAGTATTGTTGCTTGTTGATGTTTTCCATCTTAAGACACTCAAAGCAGAACATATTACTGGTTATACTGTAGATATCAAAGAATTAAAGAGAAGGAAGGGCAAAGTTTAGAAAAGTCTATTGTATGAGATTCACTGATGATCTTTATCACAGGCACTTTAAATTTTTGCCATGCCCATGTCAATAAAAATGGCTATTTTTAAGTGAGTCCCTGCCATCTGCACAACATTTGAATTCCATCATCTCATGAAATCCTCACATGAATCCTACTGGGGAATCATCATTGTCATTTCCCAATTCCCAGTTTAAAGATGAGAAACTGAGGCCGCAAGTGAATCAGAAACTTATCCAGCTTCTAAATGACAATCTCTCAGGGAAATAATTTCCCAGTACCTTCATGTTGTCAAACCATCAGATTATTTCTTTTCTTTATTAATCCTTTACAAAGAGGCTTGTAAGTGAATTGAAATTAACATCAAGTCATTGTAGGGAAATTGAAAACTTAATCATTCCCGTATTCTCCTTCATTTTTATCTGCTGCTGGGTGCATACATTTGTAATTCAGCTTTGAAACTGTCATATAATCTTACAATTTTTTTTTCTTTTGCAATTTTGTGCAGGTAATCCTGAGGGGGATTTTTCATATATTGTAGATGATTAAAATTGAATGTAGCTTATAAAAAAATGAATTGTTAATGACTGAGAAAGCCTTGTGTTCTTTGAAAATATTTGTTGTTAAATGAAAAGAGACTTCAGAATGTCAATATATTTCCCTTTGTTTGTTTTCCCCCTCTTCCTACTTGTATTCTTCCCATACATTTTAAATTGGTGTAATCCACAGATTAATTTTTAGGTATTTCTTTGAGTTATGTTCATAAATGTCAGGTTTTATAGAAAGATTATTTTTTGCAAGTTTTAATACGTTTTTTTCTCCTTCATTCTCCTTTCTTTGATGTCAGGGATGAATAAATCCAGTTTAATATGACTTTCATTTGTGAGGCTTAACATAGAAACCATTGTAAGGCTAAACCAAACCTCCTTCTGTTTTTCAATGATTATCTTTCTCTGTCAAAATGAACCAAGCCCTCTAGTCTGAGGATTTGAAAGAAACAAGTCCTAAGAATAGTCAGAAATCAAAGCTTGCAGGGTGAGCTCAGATTGTAACTAAGTGTTCCTTTATCTTCACCCACACTTCTTTGAAGTGCTTTCCCTAAGCTGGTTACGTTGGATATTGAAGGGAGGGTGTGGATTCCCAAGTGGCAATTCCATCATGTTTATTGGGAGGTTGGATATTATGATAATTATTTTCTCCATGGTCTTTTACCTCTAAGCCATGGTACTTCTATGTACCCGACTTTTGCCTGGTATGGTTACATTGGGATGGTTTAAATAATTTAGACTCTAATTTATGTTGGAGTAGAAATGTTCATAAGTGGGCCATTAACACCTATATTTCAGTGAAAGTGCTGTGTAATGACCTAGGGTATTATTAAATGGCACACTCCCCTGAGATATTGTTCCACTTTCTTTTCATCATCCCTTACCTTTCTCTCATTTTTATGAACAATTCTTTACTCTGTCTCTTGGAGGGCTAACAGCAGACAGAAGAACTGCAGATAGTGTGCTTGAAAGAGTCTGGATTTATTATGCTCAAATTACAATCTATGCATATTTAATCAGCTCTTATTATATGCAATGCTTTGCTCTAGACCCTGCATATAAAGATCAGCATTGTCCCTGGGGACAATAGCCATCCCTGGGGTATAATTTATCACTACTTTTCCTGAGGTTAGTGAAGCAATGTGCATCAAAGCCTTAAAAATGTGCATATCCTTTGATGAGGTAATCCTACCTTTGGAAATGTAACCCAGGTAAGAAAATGAGAATGTGGATAAGTAATTATGCAAAAGGATGTTCGTCACAGTTGTTTAGAGTAGTGAAAATTGGAAAACAGCCTAAATGTCCAATAGTAAGGGATTGGTAAATTAAAGTACTTGCATGCCCATACAATGGAATATTACATAATCATTAAAACCCAGATTGTAGAGTATTGACATGAAAAGATATTAATGATATAATGCCAATTGAGTTTTTAAAAGGTTATATAGGTATGTGGTATAAAATTTAATTTTATTAAATGATGCTATAAATATATTGCACTCCTAGGAAAAAGCCGGATGGACACTGAACAAGTATAAAGAGCAGTTACTGGCTGGGTGCAGTGGCTCACACCTGAAATCCTAGCACTTTGGGAGGCCAAGGAAGGTGGATTGCCTGAGGTCAGGAGTTTGAGACCAGCCTGGGCAACATGGTGAAACCCTGTCTCTACTAAAATACAAAAAATTAGCAGGGTATGATGGTGTGCACCTGTAGTCCTAGCTACTTGGGAGGCTGAGGCAGAAGAATCGCTTGAACCCGGGAGGCAGAGGTTGCAGTGAGCCTAGATCAGCGGCAGAATGAGACTTCAACTCCAAAAAAGAAAAAAGAGTAGTTATTGCTCAGGATTAGGATAGTGGATGTATTTTTATTTTCTTCTCTTTGCTTTGCTTGTCTACATTTTCTAGTTTTTCTCCAGAGACCAGATATTGCTTTTGAAATCAAAACATTCTATAAAAGTCATTTTTAATGAAAAATAAACTAGAGAGCCTGTCCCTGGACCACTACAGGGCAGCAGGCTGTGCAAGAGAACACAACCCAGTGCACAGTCAGTGTTCATGGGGTCAGCTCCGGGAGCCCTGCCTGTGCCTGCCTTGCTGTGACCCTCTGACCTCCCTCATCTGGACCCTTCCTGCCTTGGCCGTGGCTTTATTTCCTGGCTTCAGAAAGCCATCCTTCCCTCTTGCTCAGTGCAAATAACAGAAGAGCCAGCTCAACATGGGCTCAAACAAATCTGGGTTTGTTTTTCCTCTTGCAACAAGAATTCCAGAACCTCATAACTGATTCTAGCTTCCTGGACCCGGTCTTACGGTGAAACCTCAGCTAAGCAGGATTCAAGATGAAAGGCAGCCCCCGAGCCCTAGAAACTCAGAGGACACGGGGACATAGACAGCATCAACAACTCTGGAATATAAAGTCATGGTTCTCTCACCTGCAGCGCAACTCCCCTTCCAGCTCCTTAATGTGCACTAGGGCAGGGCGCGGTGGCTCATGCCTGTAATCCCAGCACTTTGGGAGGCCGAGGTGGGTGGATCACCTGAGGTCAGGAGTTCGAGACCAGCCTGCCCAACATGGCGAAACCCCATCTCTACTAAAAAAAAAAAAAAAAAAAAAATACAAAAAATTAGCCAGGCATGTTGGCAGACGACTGCAATCCCAGTTACTCGGGAGGCTGAGGCAGGAGAATCGCCTGAACCCGGGAGGCGGAGGTTGCAGTGAGCTGAGATCGCGCCACTGCACTCCAGCCTGGGCGACAAGAGCAAAACTCCATCTCAAAAAAAAATAAACTATGCACGGGGTCGTGTTCAGCATTGTCCTGGCAGGCCTTCCCTCCAGCAACACCCTCTTTCCCATCCTGGTAATAAAAATTGCTAGCATGTATCAACTTCTTTCTGTGTATGAATCACTATTACAAGCACTTAACAGGTCTTTTCTCATGTAATCTTCACAACTCTTTGAAGCTGATTGCTTACGATTCCATTTTCATGTGAGAAAATGCAGGCACAGCAAGGTTATCTAGCTTACCCAAGGTTAGCTAGAAAATGGCAGAGCCAGAACGTAAACCCAGACTGTGACATGCCGAGGCCCTCGCCATAACCACCAGGTGTCCTACCCCACAAGCGACAGCCCTGCCCAGCTGCTTGCGTCTATTCAGTTCTCCCGCTAACCCCTGGCAACCATTGATCTTTTTGCTGTTTGTATAGTTTTGCCTCTTCCAGAATGTCATGTAGTTGGAATCATACAGTATGTAGCCATTTCAGACTGGCTTCTTTCACTCAGTAATATGCATTTAAAGTTCTTCCATGTCTTTTTAGCACTGAATAATATTCCATTGTCTGAATATATCACAGTTTGCCCATTTACTCATTGAAGGACATCAATTGTTTCCATGTTTTGATCGTTATGAATAAAGCTGCTATAAATATTTGCATGCAGGCTTTGTGTGCACAAGTTTTTAACTCCTTTGGATAAATACAAGGAGGGAGATTGCTGAATCATATGGTAGGGGTATGTTTAAGAAACCACCAAACTGTCTTCTAAAATGGCAGTACCACTTTGCATTCCCATCAGCAATACATGAAAGTTCCTGTTGCTCCACATCCTCACTAGCATTCGGTTTTGTCAGCGTTTTGGATTTTAGGCATAGAATGTTTCTTATTGTTGCTTTTAATTTGCAATTAATTTGCAATGACAAACAATGTTGAGCATCTTTTCATATAGTTAATTCCCATCTATATATCTTCTTTGGTGAGGTGTCTGTCCAGATCTTTTGCTCATTTTTAATTGGGTTGTTTGTTTTCTTATCGTTGAGTTTTAAGGCTTCTTTGTATGTTTTAGATACCAATTCTTTATCCAACGTGCTTTGCAACTATTTTTTCCCCAGTCTGTGGCTTGTCTTTTTATTCTTTTAACAGGGAAATTCAAATTTTATTGTCCATAAATAAACTTTTAGTGGAACACAGACATGCTTATTCATTTACAGATCGTCTGTGGCTAACTGCACGCTATTTCAGCAGTTTCAACAGGGCCTGAGAACCCGCAAAGCATAAAATATGTGCTAGCTGTCCCTTTACAGATAAGTTTGCCGACCCTTGATTTAGGACATCGTCTCTATTCCCTCCTTAATGAGCCTGTCATTCCCAGAAAACCAATTCTCATGGGCAGCAATTACTGATCAAAAATTCCCTTCTGGGGACGCTGAGTTGAAGTGTCTAATTCTGGCCCAGCAAGGTTCTTTTTTTACGGTTCCTCTTCCAAGGCTTGGTTTCCACTCCAGCTGGCCTTGCTCAAGTCCTGCTGAGTGAAGGGAGCGCCGCTTGGGGCAGCCTGAGCGGGTCCGGAGCTGCCCCTCCGGTGTGGCTGGATTTCTCTTCTCCTTCCTCTGAATGGGGCCAGCCCTGTGCCTCTCATTTTGCCACGCCCCTCCCTACAGCCCCGTCTTCCTGGTGCGAGACGTTGGTCGCCCCCTGGTGGCGCGTGTTGTCATTACAAGGCTATCAACGAGAGGCTGGAACTGGAAGGCGTGGCCGGCTTTCTCTCCCACGAGGGCATCTCCCAGCCCTTCCCTCACTTCGGTGTTTGGGATTGAATATCCCTCTGAAGTTTGCATGATCACACTTTGCCGATCCATTTTCTCCTCCCAACAGCAGTAATCAATTCCAGTTCGGGGGTGTCAGATCATTAAAACAGGCTGCACGTCATTTGCATGTTTCGGTTCCCATGGAGCTGCCAGTCTGATTCCCCTCCCCCTCAAATTTCTTGCTTTTTAATTTTTTTTCATGCTTTTAACATCTGGTCCTATTTTTTTTCTCTTTCCAATAAGTGAAAAGGATGTAAATCTAGAAACCCGTGGGCAGACGTATGCTCTTTTTCTTGTGAAGTGTTCACTCTTTAACTGTAATAGTGTGA
This sequence comes from Homo sapiens, assembly GCF_000001405.40. Taxonomy (NCBI): domain Eukaryota; kingdom Metazoa; phylum Chordata; class Mammalia; order Primates; family Hominidae; genus Homo; species Homo sapiens. The sequence goes on along the minus strand of NC_000011.10, from coordinate 45,339,765 downwards.
CAACAAGCGAAGGGAATCAGAGATACATGCTCTGCCTGGTCTCTCCTCTCCTGCCAGTTATTTTTGACGGCTTGGCATCTGATGTGGATCAATTTTTTTCCAACTCGCATATTCTGCCTCCCACAGGGCATGGGTGCACAGGAGGGACATAACCTGCCTGGTCCCTGGATATTAATAAAATGTATTATTGTTATGCATTGAGCACCTACTATGTGCCAGCACTTTGCTAAGTGCTTTCACATTTAGAGGCATTGAAAAGAAGACATGCTAGGTGGTTTTCTTTCCTGCCTGTATTCCCTTGCCATCCCTGGAATAGGTGATTGATAAGCCTGGCCTCTGACATCATATACCCTGGGTTCAAATCCTGTCTCTGCTGCCTATGAGCTATGTGACCTTCGGCCTCCCACCTCATCTTTTGGAATCTCAGTTTCCCTACCTGTAAAATGAGGATTTATAATAGCACTTATTTCCTAGGGCTGTTCTGAGGATTACGTGTGTTAATATTGGTAGGCCACTTTGAACAGCATGTGGCACATGGCAAGGACCCTGTAAGTGCAGATGTTAGTAAACAGTGTAATGGGTGAGCCTGTGCCGATTTGGCCAGAGATGAGTACTACTCCACCCCTCTGCTCCCTGCTCAACCTGCTGGGCACTGGAACATTCTAGTGAGAGAGGATGAGAGTAGGTGAATCTGCTAGCTGAAAAACACACACACACACGCATGTGAAGAGCACACACACAGCACACAGGAAGCACACACAGGGCTTTTATATAGGAAGTGCATTTGGGCTAATGTCTAAGTGTTGCCACTTCTGTAGAACTGGCTCAGTCATTCCAGACAGTATGCAGGGGTTTAAGCTTCCTCAGCCTCTCCTGCCTCTGCATCTCACCACCGCCTAATCAGCCCAGCAGCAGTCCCTTCAATCCTTCCCCTACAATGTATCCAGAATGGTCCACATCTCACCATCTTTACCCTCTAAGTTCGGGCTACCCTCATCACCCGTGTGGCCTCCTAGAGTTACCTTTTCCCTGCTCGCCCATGCTTTTTTGCCCTCTTATAATCAACCATTTTTCTATAATTAAAATGATTTTCTTAAAATGCAAATAACTTCTCTACTTCAATCTTCTAGGGTTTAACAAAACAATCCACAGCTTCCATGCATGCTAAAAGGGTGCTGCGAAATCTGGCCCAGTGACCCATTGAGGTCATCTTTGCTCACTCTCTTTTCACCATTCAATAAACCCGCTGGCCTTCTTTCTTATCTGTGACCAAGGCCAAGCTCATTTCTTTCTCGGGGCTCTTGCTCTTGCTGTTCCATTTGGAGGCATTGACCTGATCCCTCTCCGGGGGATTCTTCTTGGCACTTAGATTGGGGTTCAAATGTCTACCAGGCCTTCCTGGATATCTGACTCAATGCAGCACTACTGCAAGACCATTCTCTGGATGGCTGTGGACCGACCCAGTTCTCCCTCTTTTCTGTCATAGCTCCCAAGAATCGCTGTGTAATGTGCTGGAAATGCAACATCTGGAATAGGGCGGGACTGGTCTGAGCAGGCCAGGCTCTGCTTCAGTCACTATTAGAAACAAGGTGTCCTTCAATGCGTTGACCCAGCAAGTCCTGTACCCCGTGGTCTAAAACCCAGGGCTGGTTGCCTTCAGGGCTCCGCAGCTGTGGTGCAAGTGGGGCATGTGCAGACAAGACTCCATCTGGGCAGCTTTCCTGAGGCTTGGAGACTGATACTCATGAATTCTAGGCTGCTGCTGTCCCTTGCTGACTATCTATAAGTAATAACTTGTGTATTTCCTCATGTAACTTGTGTATTTCAGTGTTCTGTTTCACAGAACTTGGGCAAGTAGTGAACGTGCAACCCAAGATCAAGTGGGTTGAAGTGGTAACTAGCGCACAGTGAGTCTGTTTCATAACTACCCCTTCCCACTGCCCAGCGCTCTGTCACTTTACCCCTTTTTATACTCAATATAAAATTGATACTCAGCATTTTATACTCAATATAAAATACTTTGCTGGAATATTGAATATAAAGTATAGTTTATACTTAATACTCCAGCAAAGCATTCGCTCTATTGAAAATAAATAGGTGGCTGGGCACCACAGCTCACACCTGTAATACCAGCACTTTGGGAGGCCAAGGCTAAAGAATCACTTGAGGCTAGGAGTTTGAGACCAGCCTGGGCAACAGAACAAGACCCCATCTCTACACAATATAAAATAAAATAAGATAAAATAAAATAAAATAAAAGTTATCCAAGTGTGGTGGCACGTACCTACAGGTAGTCCTAGCTGATTGGGAGGCTGAGGGAGGAGGATGGCTTGAGCCCAGGAGTTCAAGGCTATGAGTGAACTATATGATGATGCCATTCCCTGTACTCCAGCCTGGGTGAAGGAGTGAGACCCTGTCTCAAAAAAAAAAAAAAAAAAAAAAAGAAAAGAAAGAAAAGAATTAGGCAATTGACGGCCGTCTGTAATCCCAGCACTTTGGGAGGCCAAGGCGGGCAGATCACGAGGTCAGGAGATCAAGACCATCCTGGCTAACACGGTGAAACCCTGTCTCTACTAAAAAAAATACAAAAAATTAGCCAGGCGTGTTGGCGGGCACCTGTAGTCCCAGCTACTCAGGAGGCTGAGGCAGGAGAATGGCATGAACCCGGGAGGCGGAGCTTGTAGTGAGCCGAGATAGCGCCACTGCACTACAGCCTGGGCGGCAGAGCGAGACTCTGTCTCAAAAAAAAAAAAAAAAAAAAGAAATTAGGCAATTGACTTTTGCATATGATTATCGCCCATCTCCCCAACTGGAAGGCAACTGTCTGTCTGTCCGTACAACCCAGAGAGTGTCTGCCCCCCCCCAGCAAGTGTTCCAACAATATTTGGTGAAGAAATTCTTGAATACATTTAGAAAAAGCCAGGACTTTGTTCTTGAGAAGAAAACATGTTTTTTAAGGTAAAAAAGGTAGTCTGGGGGACTGACAGCATAGATTTTATACCACACCATAGAGTAGGAAAGAATATTCAATAGTAAATGAATAAAGTTCCTACTCAAAAGGAGACAAAAGTTCAGTTTTGGGAGGTGGAAGGAGGATCGAAGGGTTGGAACTAGAACCCACAGATGCCAGGGACCTGTGAGAAAGCCTGGGATGCGGGTGGGTGGGAGACAGTGAAGCAGAGGAGACCTGCGCCTCTCTGCCCAGGAAAAGCTGTGGTGGACACTGTGCCACCACACTGTGCCAGGTGAGGACTCCTGTGATGGACCTGTTAATGAGAGGGCCTCAAACACTCACATCCCCAAATCCTCAAGGAGGGATAGAAATGGCAGAAAGCTGGTGGGTGAACCTGGAGAGGCCTAGCAATGGGACGCAGGGGGTGCAGACGCTTAGGTACCTGATGAGGGAAGACAGAGTGGCAGTGGCTGTGACAGCAGTGAATGCAGATGATATCAGACATCAATACACAGGCCTGGCAAATTACATCAACCTCGGATGCTCCGTAGGAGGGAACTAGATGAGGGGAAGGGGAGTGCCCCTCACACCACCAATGCCTGGAGAGGACAGAGGGGAAGGAGCCTTAATTGACAGAGCTTGAGAGCACCTGACAGTGACAGTTTACCTTGAGTTGGCAGGATTGAGTTTTGCACTCCCAGGGGAGAGTAATGTGCGCGTTCACTTCCTTTTGAAAGAAATTGATGAACTCTAACACCTATGCTTGCTAAATAAGAGCAGATGTACCATCTCTTTGTAGAGCATTCAAATAATACAGAATGGTAGCTAATATATAGTGAGGATTTGCCACGTGCCAGGAACTGATCTAATGCTTTATGTGTGGTTAAGGCCAAGGTCCTTGGTTGCAGGCAACAGAGTCCACATTAGCAAGTTCATGCTGACAGAGATCTATTAAAATGTATTTATTAAATACTTAATGGACTTTTTTGGGGGGACCACAGAATCAAGCTTAAATGGTACTCAGACCAGGACAGACCTGGACAACAGAGTCAGCCAAGCCCTTAAAATGCCCCCACTCTCTGCAGAGCTGTTCAGAGAGCCCTCTGCTGCTTCCACCTGTTAACTGACACTCATGATGTTTGGGACTGAAGTCAAAACTCCTCCCAATTTCCCAGAACACCCAGCACCCCTGCCTCTGTGCCTTCCAGCAGGTCCAGGCTCCCAGCCTTCTTGCACCACTCACTTCCACATGCAAGTCCTGAATGAGTGTAACTGGTTGGTGGAAAGCAGGCCATGTGCCTGCACTCTAGCTGCAAAGGAGTCTCAAATTTGGTTTTCAGTTTTGCAGTTTCTAGAGTGCAGGAAGGTAGTCTAGAAGGAATAGGAATGTGTGCCCAACTGAGTCACACAGGCACTAATTTCTCTTTTACAGATGCAGAAACTAAGGTACAGAGGGTTGCATCTTTTCATTCTCTTTGAATCTTGATTGTTAGGAATGAGCGACCCCACTCTGGTTTAGGGGAACTCGAATTCATTTTCCTATTTTTCCTTAGCACAAAAAAAGACCTCAGGTACAGAATGTTCAAAAAGCACCCTCCATCAGGAAATCCACCCCAAAATTAAGAAGAGGTCATAATTCAAGGACGGTCCTCCTTTCCAGAAACACTGTGGCCTGCCATCTCTTACCGCATTTTCCTTCTAAGCTGCCATCTGCTTCTCGGATAGAGGATGTGTATTAGGATTTTGCTTCTCTCTTGGGGCCTCTGATCCTGTGTTAAATTTTCTGCGTGGGCCCTTTTGGCTTTCCTTCCATTTTTGTGCTGTTTTCCTTTGTGTCTGTAACTGCAACTCCCTCACTTTCTAACAACAAGGAGGCTATGATTTCGGATTTAAGTCCTTACTAAATTTCTTTTCAAGTCATCTACAAAATTATTTCCATTTGGCACTTGAAGCTCTGCTCCCTCTTCTATTAACTCAAGTGAACAGTAGCTGCATTGCTGGATGCATTTCCACATTTCCTCCAATGCCTTTCAGACTGGTACATAACTGAAAAACAGTCCACGAGGTTGCCTCTTCAGCTTTCAGTGGCCAAACAGGATTTCAGTCTAACCGTCCTGGTGAACGCCTCATCTATTTTGCCCTGCCAGGAGCAGGCCCGGCTGTGCTGAAGCCCTGGAACGTTCTACCACCTCCCGCCTCCTACTCAACCTTCTCACACATGGAGGCAGAGGTGAGGTCAAAATTAAGGACTGGTATGGAGAAACATCATGAACAGCAACATCTCAAATCAAGCAACTTAAGGAAGGGGCCGGGCGCGGTGGTTCATGCCTGTAATTCTAGCACTTTGGGAGGCCGAGGTGGGTGGATCACCTGAGGTCAGGAGTTCAAGAACCAGACTGGCCAACATGGTGAAACCCCGTCTCTACTAAAAATACAAAAATTAGCTGGGCATGGTGGTGGGTGCCTGTAATCCCAGCTACTCGGGAGGCTGAGGCAGGAGAATTGCTTGAACCCGGGGGTGGTGATTGCCGTGAGCCGAGATCGCACCACTGCACTCCAGCCTGGGCAAAAGAGCAAGATTCCATCTCAAAAAAATGAACAAATAAATAAATATAAATAAGGAAGCCCAAATAAAAAAAATTATAAATGAAGAAAATCGCTCAGAAATACATCCTGAGTTCCAGAGAGAGGATTGAAGTGGAGAAAATATGTCAACGAAAAGCTTTCAAATTTAAGTTCTGAAAAGGCTCATGCAACTGGAACCTGGAGATGCTATTAGGCAAGGGGTCTTAATGATTTTGGTCGGCACGTGCCCCCTGCCCCCTTTCTTTCATGCTAACAGAGCCCTGGTTTTTGTCTCTGTTAGAAGGCCAGATCCCTTCATCTCAGGAAGGGTAGGTCCTTTGCAGGCATTGGTCCAGGGTCCACCATGTGACCTCATTCCGGCCAATGAGATAGGAGAAGCCTCCTGCAGGGCTTCCGGGAAATATTTTCTTTCTGGGCACAGGAATCACGGCAGAAGAAAGTCTTTTCTCTCCCCCTGCTCCTTACTTCCTGTCTTAAATGTAGGCTGTGTGTAGATGTGACTCATGGAATCGAGGCTGCCATCTTGTGATCAGGAGAGAAGACCAAGAGAACAGCGGGAATGTTATGGTTATGTGAGACAGCTAAATATCTTTATTAGTGAAGTCGGAGGTCAGCAAACTTGTTCTTTCAAATGGACACATAGTAAATATTTTCAGCTTTCCAAGCCGCAACCACTCAACTCTGACATTGTCACGGGAAAAGAGCCCTAGATAAGTACATAAACAAATGAGTGTGGCTGGGTTCCAACAGAACTTTATTTATAGAAACTGAAATTTGAATTTCATATAATGTTCATGTGTCACAAAATATTATTTATTCTTTTGATTTTTTTCAACAATTTAAATTGTAGAAATCATTCTTAGCCCACAGGCGGCACAAAAACAGATTTGGCAAGTGGGTTGTCGTTTGCCGACCCTGGATCTACTCACCGTCAGTTGTGTTTTCTGTTTCCTGAAGCTGAGTGCCTTCTGGATGATGCTGTCATTTAACCTTCTGTTTCCCAGATGACAACGCTGAGGTCCAGAGAGGCGACAGACAGAACGTTCCCAGGGTCCCAGAGCTTGTTAGTGTCAGAGCTCATAAATCTAAATCTCAAAGCTCCTAACATCAAGTCGAGGATGTTTCCCCGGTACATAAACCCGTTTCCTACTCATTTACACACATTTCTTGCTTTTTCTTCTAGGCTGTAACATTTTCCTTTGTGTCTGTGACTGCGTTTCATTCATACAAAGTGTATAAAGAGCCAAGAGGCTACCAACCTTGATTAAGGACCTACCACATTCCAGACACTTTACATTACTTAATCCTACAACAGTTGTGAGGTAGATGTTATTATGCCCACTGCACAGATGGGGAAATAGAGGCTCCGAGAGGACAGAACCACGCCCAACTTCACCCAGGGAGTAGGTGGTGGTCCCAGTCCCACCAGTGCCCTTCCTGCTGAATCTAGCTGTCTCCCACGCTTCACTGCTCGACTCTGGGTGTACCCTAATGAAGAAGACATGGCCCCTTTTCTCTGGCCACTGAATATTTTCCTTTCTGAAGTGGTTCTTGGCAGGGCTAATATATTAGAAACAGTGGCGGGAGAGTGGGGGCGGCGGTGGGGATGATGAAGTGCCATTCACCATCTCGTCCACTAGAGGGCAGAAAGAGGCCATGTTTCTGTAACAATTCTGCACCTTAACTCCCTGGTTCCGTTGAATTCATTCACAGGTTCATGGGAAACTTAGGGGAAATAATATGTTTCAGCCTTTTATTCCAACCTCCTCATTTTTCTGATGAGAAAAACGGAATCCCACAAGTGTCGTGTTGTTTACCCAGGGTCAGACATCGTGACTCATTAAATCAACAAATGTTAATTGAATGTTCATTGAGTCAATCCATGTCACTGCACAAACACTCATGGGTGATGGAGACACAAGAGTGGCAGGAGAGACGTGGCCCCTTCCCACACCAAGGCTGCAGGCGAGTGGAGCACAGGGGCAATGAGAAGTGATCAGATCAACACAATTATCAGCAATTGTGGGGAGGGGGTTAAGAGATGGAGGGACAGGAACAAGATCTGTGTGGAGGTGGCATTTCCCCCGAGCCTGAAGATGAAGAGCAGCCAGGCTTTCAAGGAGCTGGGGGCCAAGAATTCCAGGAATAAGGAACCACAAGAGGGAGACTTCTTGGCTTGTGCTAGAGCCTGGCAGACAAGGACCAGCAGCATGACTTAGTTGAGTCAGGGAAGGAAGGGGGTGTAAGAGACCTAATGTCATGATAATCATTAGCACTGAAGCTTCACTATGTACCGAGCTCTACGGAGCCGGTGCATTTGCTCATGCATCCTCCCCACAAATCTCTGCTTTGCAAACACAATTACTCCCATTTTATAGCCTCAGAGGGGTTGAGCCACTTGGCCAAGGCCATGCAGCCTGAAAGTGGTCTAGCTGGGACTTGAACCTGCACCTGTCTGACTCCAGCACCCAAACTCATCCTCACTATTCCAATTAAAGGCAGAGCTAATACTAAACCCCTGAGATCCCGTCTCGTGGCCAGGACTCTCTCCATAACCCTGTCCTTCTCTTGCCTTTGAGGAAAGCATACTTCACTGTCAGTTCTTCAGCCTGGGTGGCAGGGATGAAGGCAGAAGTTAAATAATAAAGAGGAAAAGGTTTTTTTCTAGAAATCAATGACTAAAGACTGGGAAGAGAATTCCTAAAACTCAAGTCAAGGACTGTCTCCTTTCGAAAACGGTGTGTACGAGAACATACGGCTCTCTGACCATCCACACAGACTCATGAGAAGGAGAGGAAGGACACCTCTCACTTCTGAACACTGCCTTGAAGCTTAGAGAAGTCAGATGTGACTCCCGAAGCTGAGCCGACATTCCAGGGCTCCTGGGAAATGTATCAAGTTGTGTGCAGTAGCATGGCTGCCCCACTATCTTCTGACTTTTGATGCATGGCCTGCCATTAGGGCACAGGCCTGTAGTGTTATCACTGGGGGCTGGGCTTTGGGGTACATGGAGAGCTTCAGGAAGAGGGAGGATGAAGAGTAAATCTGGGTTTCCTTCCTTAGCCTTGGTTCCCAGCCTCCCTCCTGCCTCTAGACCCTGGCATCCCCATGCTGGGTGTCAGTTTATCTCTTCTGTCCTGTTTCCTTCACCTGTCCAAACCCTTCTAGTCATCAAGGCATACCACCCCCAACCCCAGTCTCAAAGCTGCCACCAACATTCTCTCCAGGCCTCACAGTGTCTCTCTGCCCTCCACCCATTTGCTCATATAGTCTGGAGATAACAGAGGTCAGCATTTGTTCAGCAGAGGGAAAACACAGGCTTTGGCATTAGAAAACCCAGGCTTGAGTCCCTGGCCTCATGTTGGCAGGCTGCATGATCTTGGATGAATGACCACACCTCCCTGAGCTACCTCAGCCAGGCTCAGGGCTAGCTCAGGGTAGCAATGGTGAACAGTCCCTCCCTCAAAGAGCTACTGTTTTAATCTTCCCATCTGGAAGATGGACGTTGTAACAACCACTTCTCTGGCTGGTTGTGAGCATGAAGAAAAGAGGCATACAAGGAACTACTTTTGAATTTCAATGTTCCATCCCAGTTTTATTTTCCCCAACAGTTACTTCACGGTTGCCTTGTTTTTCTCATCTGCAAAATGGGGACAAATGCCTACTTATTTTAGGCACATTCCAGCAGTCTAGCAGAGCAGGAGGCATCACAGACTGTGGCTGGGAGGATGGTCTCTGGGGTCATTCTAACTGGTTTTTCATCTTGGTGCTGCTTTTTCCTGCCTTTGGGACCCTGGACAAGTTATCCAAGCCCTGTGCCTCAGTTTCCTAATCTATAAAATGGAAGATGACTGTGTCTATTTTCCAGAGTTGATGGGAGACTCCTCTATTTCCTTTGGGTGGTGTAACAAATTACTATAAACTGGGTGGCTTATAACAACAGAAAATTACACACTCACAGTTCTAGAGGCTAGAAGTCTGAAATCAGGGTGTCGGCAGGGCTGCACTCCCTCCAAACGCTATAGAGAAAATCTAGGCTGGGTATGGTGGCTCACACCTGTGATCCCAGCACATTGGGAGGCCAAGGCAGGTGGATCACCTGAGGTCAGGGGTTCGAGACCAGCCTGACCAATATGGGGAAACCCCATCCCTACTAAAAATACAAAAATTAACTGGGCGTGGTGATGTGCATCTGTAGTCCCAGCTACTTGGGATGCTGAGACAGCAGAATTGCTTGAACCCGGGAGGCGGAGGTTGCAGTGAGCTGAGATCGTGCCGCTGCATTCCAGCGTGGGCGACACGCTGTCTCGAAAAAGCAGCGAGACTCTGTCTTGAAAAAGCAGCGAGACTCTGTCTCGAAAAAAAAAAAAGAAAAAGAAAAAAGAAAATCTATTCTTGCCTTTTTGTGTTCCTTGGGTTGTGGCTGCAGAACTCCAATCTTTGTCCCTCTGTCTCTTCTTCATGGATCCCTTATAAAGGCACTTGTCATTGGATAGAGAGCCCACCTAGATAACACAGTATGACTCCAACCCAGGATTCTTAATTATATCACCAAAGATCAATTTTCCAAATATGATCATATTCACAGGTTCTGGGCATTAGGACACAGATGTATCTTTTGGGGGCCACCATTCTACCCACTCTAGAAGCCAAATAATGAATCCATGTAATGGGGTCAGCACAGAGCCAGGCACACTGGAAGTGCTCCATTGATAAGAGCTACTACTGTTGCACATCTAGAAATTGTGCCTGAAGTTTAACTCTAGAAATTGGACCCACACAAGAACAGAAACCCAAGTGTAGAAAGATTGGGTCCTTCTGTCCCTGTAGGCCTCTAGGGCTGTTGGCCCAACTTGTAGCACTGCATTTCCCAACTTAACCAGACTGATTTCAGCTTTGAGATTCCTCAAATTCTCTCTCTGTTCTGAACAGGCTTTTGTTGAAGCCCCTTATTATTGCAAAGCTTGCGTTTTGCTCCATTAAAAGCAGTCTGAAGGTGACAGCCAGTCAGAGGTTGAGAACAGGGTACCTGGCAGGAGGGAGAGAAATGTCCAGCCAAGGCAGTCCTGATGGCTCAGCCTCATGTTGGATCTCAGGCTGAAGTCAGTTTGGTTGCATCAGGGAATGCCAAGCATCAGGTTTAAGGGTCAAGGCAGGTTTTCACTGAAAAGAAAGGAGACTGCTTTCATCCTGAGTGAGAGTCAGTTCTGTGGCCGAGCTGGATGGGGTGTGTACAGGTGTTGGGGTGACATCTGGTTGGAGAAAGGATAGGAAAAAGAATGGCCTGGGTCGAGGAGAAGGGCAAGGAGGCTGCAAAGGTGGAGAGAGACCGAGGGAGCCCAGACTTTTCTTCAGACTTTACAGCAGCTTTGTGGAAGAGAAGGACCACAGGACTGCTCAGAGCCTCAGTTTTCTCAGCTGTGAAATGGGATCACAGTGGGACCTGTGCCTTCAGGACTTAGCACATTGCAAGTACACAGGCAGTGCTAAGTGATGCCTATTGATACTCCCACCAGCATCAAAAGGAACAAAAGGGCAGCCAAGGCCCTTTAGGGGTGACTGGTTCAGATCTAGGCAGCAGAAGGACCTGATCTCCAAGCTTGACCTGCCTGTGTCTGGGCTGGAAATGAAGCCAGAGGGGCAAACTTACAGTGTGCGGAAAGCAGAGAGGGGAGGTCTTTGTGCTGATGGAGAGTTGGTTCTTAAACCCCACAAAGCGTGTTCTGTTCCACAGTTTACGGGCTGGCAGTATAATTAGAAAGGTAATATTTTATAACTGTTTTGTGACCCTATTTTTACCCCCAGAGAATCCCAGAAATAACTAGTGGTCAGGTCCTTGCCAGAAGCAACATCAATATGGTGTCATTGTCCCTGGACTGATGGAGCTGGGTGGTCACCCTGGGATGGAGCACTTTTCCCCAGTATTCCCCAGCTCTGCACAAAACTGACCCAACAGAGAGGAAAGTCCACACCACCTTCCCCAGGCTGGAGGCCATTACCACACCAGCTTCTGAGACTCTCCTCCCCTTGAGGCCAATCTTGGCTGGTCTGAGCTTTATTTTTCAACAAAGCTGTTTGCTCACCAAGATGAAGAAAGAATCCTTGAGTTAAGAAGCAAGTATAATTTTAACAGCTCTTCCTCTTGTTCCATGAGTTCAGAATGACTTTGGTAGCTCCCTTTTCTGGAAAACTTCCCGCTTGATCCAGTGTAATTATCTTTTTTTTTTTAAGTTGAGAGGCTCAGATCACTCTCACAGCAACCTCTTAGTTCAATCACAGTGAACCTGCAGAACTCAAAACACAAAGAGAATGTCTTAAAGCAGTCAGGGAGAATAGAAGATCATTTTAAAGGAATGACAATTCGACTGGGACCTAACCTTTCTCAAACCCTAATGGAAGCCCGAAGACAATAGCATGGTGTCTTAAAGTGCTAAAAGAACATAACTGTCCAACTAGAATTCTACAGCCAGTGAAACTGTCAAGCACAAATGCTTAAAACAAAAGAGAACACTCGTTATCAACAGGCCCCCAGCACAAGCATAGAGATAGTTTTACATCTTCTTTTCTGATTTGGATGCCTTTGACTTTTTCTAGCCAAACTAATTACTCTGGCTGGAAATTCCAGTGCAGTGTTGAAAGTGGCAAAAGCAGGAACTCTTTTCTTGTTCTTGGTCTCAGGGGGCAAGCTTTCAGTGTTTCCTTAAATATCATGTTAGCTGTGAGTTTTACATACATGCTCCTTATCAGTTTCAGGAATTCCCTCATATTCCTAGTTGCTGAGTTTTTTTAAATCATGAAATGTGTTGGATTTTGCCAATTTTTCTTTGGCACCAATGGAGACAACAATGTGGCTTTCTTTCTTTATTATTTTAATGTATTACCCTGATCAGTTTTCACGTGTTGAACCAACCTTGCATTCCTGAGATAAATCCCCCCTGGATAATAGTGTGTATTACTTTTAATACGCTACTGGATTTGGCTTGCTATATTTTGTTGAGGATTTTTTCATCTATATTCATAAGGAATATTGCTCTGTAGTTTCTTTTCTTGTGATGTCTGTGCCTGGCTCTAGTTTCAGGTTAATATTAGCCTTATGGAAAAGTTAAGAAGTGTTCACTCCTCTTCTAATTTTTGGAATTGGACTGAGATTGCTGAAGGATATTAAAGGAGAATTAAATGAATGGAAGGCTCTCCGTGTTCATGGATTGGAAGACTTAACATTGTTAAGATGGCAATAATCTCCAAAGTGACCTACAGATTCTATGCAATTGCTATCAAAATTTCAGCTGCTTTTTTTTTTTTTTTTTTACAGAAATAGGAAACCTTATTCTAAAACTCATATGAAATTCCAGAGGTTCTCATATAGGCAGAAAAATTTGAAAAAGAACAAGATTGGAGGACTCACATTTCCCGGTTCCCAAAGTTATTACCAAGTTATGTTAGTCAAAAAGTCGAAACAGTGTGATATTGGCATAGGGATAGACATATAGATCAATGTAATAGAATTGAGAGTATAGAAATAAACTAATGTATCTATGATAAGTCGATTTTCCACAAGGGTGGTCAAAACCATTTATGGAGGAAAAAAGCATTTCTTCAACAAGTGCTGCTGAGACAACTGGATGTCTGCATGCAAAAGAGTGAAGCTGGACTCTTACCTCACATCATATACAAAAATTAACTCAAAATGGATCAATGACCTAAATATACAAGTTAAAACTATAAATCTCCTAACAGAAATCATATGAGTAAACCTTCATGACCTTGGATTTGGCAATGGTTTCCTGGATATGACACCTAATGCACAAGCAACAAAAGAAGGTATGAATTGGACTTTATCAAAATTAAAAACTTGTGTGGATCAAAGGACACTTTCAAAAAGAGAGTGAAAAGATGGCCTCCAGAATGGGAAAAATATTTACAAATCATATAGTATCCAGCATATGTACAGAACTCTTACAGCATAACAAAATAAATTAGAAAATGGGTGAAAGACTTAATAGACATGTGCCCAAGGAAGACATACAAATGGCCAGTAAGCTCATGAAAAGATATTCAATGTCATTAGTCATTAGGGAAATGCAAATCAAAATCACAATGAGATGCCATTTCATGCCCACTAGGATGGTATAATAAAAACAAAACAGAAAATAACAAGTGCTGGTGAAGATGTGGAGAAACTGGGACATTTATACATTACTGCTAGGAATGTAAAATGGTGCAGTCACTGTGGAAAATGGATTAGTGGTTCCTCAATAAGTTAAAAATAGAATACCATATGACCCAGCAATCCCACTCCTAGATATATAACCAAAACATTGATAACAGATGTTCAAACAAAAACCTGTACATGAATATTTATAGCCACACTATTCACAATAGCCAAAAGGTGAAAACAACTCAAGTATCCATCAATAGATGAATGAATTTGTTTAAAAGGTGGGGTATCTATACAAGGGGACATTATTTAGCCATGAAAAGAGAAGTACCGATCCATGCCTTGACATGGAGGAGCCCTGAAGATGTTATGTTAAGTGAAAGAAGCCAGGCCAAAGGCCACATGTTGTATAATTCCGTTCATATGAAATGTCCAGAATAGGAAAATCCATAGAGATGGAAAGCAGCTTAGTGGTTGCCAGGGGCTGGGGGGAGCGAGGAGTGGGAAGTAACCACTTCATGGGCACAGAGTTTCCTTGATAGATGAAGGTAAAGTCCTGGAACCAGGTAGTTGTGATGATTGCACAATGCTGGGAATGTATTTAATGCCACTGAATTGTATGCTTTTAAAATGGTAAATTTTATCACTTTTTTACCACCAAAAATTTCCAATAACTTAATTGAGTACTTATTTTTTTCTTTAATATATGCATCTACGTTGACATAACTGGTTCATGTTTTTTAGAAGAATGATTTGGCTTTGAAATAAAATCATAAAGGTTTCAAATGATGTCCAAGATAAGTAAATTCATTAACTCTTGTGACAACTCAATATATTAACATTGAATTCTAAGAAATATGGCAAACTCTAAATTTGTCAATGTCAACAAGGTATTCTTCATATTTTTCTTGTGCAACCCTAACTACCCCTACAGCTGTTTTAGATGAGAAAGTTCTGTGTAAGCCACATCTCGGGGTGGGGTGTATTGGATTTTCTAACTTTGACTAACCTATTAGTGTTTTTAATACTAACTTTAGCTTTTGTATGTTTTTCAATGACTCTTATGAAAAATTTAAGTGTTTTTTGTTTTTTGTTTTTGTTTGTTTGTTTGTTTGTTTTTGAGACAGAGCATCGCTCTGTTGCCCAGGCTGGAGTGCAGTGGTGCGATCTTGGCTCACTGCAACCTCCGCCTCCTGGGTTCAAGGGATTTTTGTGCCTCAGCCTCCTGAGGAGCTGAGATTACAGGCACGTGCCACCACGACTGGCTAATTCTTGTATTTTTAGTAGGGATGGGGTTTTGCCATTTTGGCCAGGCTGATTTCAAATTCCTGACCTCGAGTGATCCACCCATCTTGGCCTCCCAAAGTTCTGGGATTATGGGCGTGAGCCACTGTATCTGGCCCAGTGTTTTTAAAATAGGACATATGAGTAGGTGCAAATGAAGGAAATCACAACAGTCGTTAGGTGTGAAACCTCTCTCCATGACCTCAGCCATTTTTTTAGAAGCCAAAGCAGGCACTCAGTAAGAGCTGAAGCTGGCTCTGAATTCCTCTAAGCTCAAGCCCCTCGGATACTATAAACCTATGTTCCAAACACAGCACAGAAGGAAGACACCACTCTCCTATGAGAAGAAAACAGCTGCATGGGGAAGAATCTCTATGTTTCATTCTGAGAAAGAGAGGCCACCCTCTTCAGAGAATGCGTGATGGCATGAGACTTGCAGATCTTCTCTAAATGGATTGATACTTTTCCTTTGAACCTTTCTTCCTAGAAGAGGATGGAGGAGAACATTCTTGCTGAGTAGAAGACATGCCGCCTGACAGACAGAGCCTGTGGCAGTAGATGGAGTGGCCAGAGGTTCTTGGCATCCTTGGCCCACGCTATTGGGTGCAGGCTGGGGACACAGGCTCCCTGGTGGACTTGAAACGAGGAATCCAGACACAGTTGCTGCCCTTTGCACCTCTCAGATTTCCAGGCATGTCTGTCCTGGTCGGGGCCTGATCCACCCATCCCTGTTGGGGCAACTCAAGCCCTCTGAGCCTGCTAGGCAGCTGCAGGATGAGGCGCTTGTCTCAATCCTTGCTCAGGGTAGCAGGGAGCCCTGTTGTTGCAGGAATGCTCATCTGCAGGCTCTGCCCAGACCTTGAGTTCTTCCTCTTGCTGACTTCCCTCCCATACACCAAGTCCCTACCTAAGGCTCAGGTTCTCTAGGAGGAGGCTGAGGGTTGCATGTCCACCTGCACCCCAGGGTACCCACCGCCCAGGAAGACAGCTCTGGTTTCCATTGGCCTGGGATCTGCCCAGAGGCTGACACTGACTTGGCTTTTCCAGAAGCCCCATGTCTGTCTCATCCAAAACCGTATCCTACAGACTTCTCACACCTGCCCAGGGCCTGGATCAAGGAAGGAAAACTCCCACGAGGGAGGCAGGTGACGTTCCTGAGCACCAAGGGCACCAAGCTTCCAGCTTCCAAGTGCATCATGAGTAGTGGGCAGGGACTCAGCCCGGATCAACTTGCCCCAGCTTTGTTTTCCAGTTGCTTCTGGAACTGGAGTGAGCCTCTTGATGAATCCTTCTCCGAGTTGCTCACCAAATCCCTTTTTGTCTCCTTCTCAGAGTCAGCTGCCAGGCCCTGTGTGGGAAATTTTCCAAGGCCCTTGGAAAATGAGCTCAGCTGCCAGGCCCTGCATGGGAAACTTTCTGAGGCCCCTGGAAAGTGAGCTCTAGGGCCCTCCTCAGAGTGTCCCCCAGGCCCTTCCCTGGATCCCACCCTAACAGAAACTTAGCTGGACCCCTTCATGAAGCCTCCTGGTCCCTCAATGCTATCTTCCCTTGATTCTTGCTCCTTGGCCTGTAAACACAGAGGGCCACCCGAGGCCATGTTCACCCTTTGGCTGGGATGTCCCAGGTTGTGTCTTGAGGTTGCATCGTGGCAGAGGCTCCTGGATCCTGTGTTGGATAACTCTGTTTTGAAGGTGGTGCCCCAGGTGCTTCGAGATGTCATTCTGGATAGAAGGTTCTCCAGGAGGGATGGAGACTGGCAACTAGAACAGGGACGCCAGGCTCGCTGGGGAAGGTAGGGGCTGGAGGGCTACAGGTTTGCTGAACTCTTGAGACCACAGAGGGTGAACCTCACAAACTTTCCAGCTGCTTCTCTAGGCAGTGCCATTGCAGGTATTGAATGTCAGCCAAGGTGAGAGACTGAACCTCACTCTGGACTCTAAGGGAAGGCATCCCACTGGCCCTAGTCTAGGGTGAAGAAGAGGGCAGTGGGAATGGGAGAGAGAACTGAAGGGGGTCTGGGGCTGCACTTAGGCCTGCAGTAGAGCTCCAATTGGCACAAGGCTCCAGGAAAGGATTGGGGCTGGGTCTTCGGGTGTGCCAGAGGCTGGGGTGGGGGATTCTTTAGCCTGAAATTGGATCTGGAGAAATAAAGGAAAACTCTAGTGGGGAACTACTACCAGAAACTAGGACAGTAGCCACCAGGACTTGCTTTTTAGAGAGAGGAGACCCCAAAAGAGCTGGCTCCATTTCCACTGCAAACAGTCCCACAAGATGGCATGGCGTGGGGGCTGCCAAGGACAGTGCCCTTCTCTGGTTTGCCCTTGGTGCTCCAGAAGCACTGAGGGACTCTGGGACCCTGTTGGTCAGCAAAGGACTCCAAGGATGTCCCAGAATCTAGCTTGCGGTCTGGCTTCAGTTTTTTGGGAAATGGTCCTGCCCTCTCTTCTTTCTTCTCCCAAATCTGGAGATCCACTCTTTCTCTGACTCATATCTCCAGGAGCTCCTGGATATCAGGACTGAGGAAGAAGATGTCACCGGCCTCCAAATGCCTGGCTGCAGAATGTCCAAGAGAGAGGCTTCTTGTGGACAGGGAAGGAAGCACGTTGAGAGGCAGACAGGAATGCGCCCTTAGCAGACGTCTACGCTGAGAAGAAGGCCAACATGAGCAGGTGCTTTCAAACGTGCCTGGGATTTGTTTTAATCAGGTGTGGTAAAACACATAGACCTAGAAATGACTGTCACAAAGGGAGATGTTTTTATATCCAGAGATCCCTAGAACAGGAGGCACTGCACACCACACAGAGCCACGTGGCAGTCAGGAGATAGAAGGAGAGAGGAGGGCATGGACTGGAGCCCTTGCTGGAGTTTTGCGGACAGGCATGGGCACGGCAGGGTCATCAGGCTCAGCAGGTTCGGAGTTGACTAGTTGGAATCATTTCGGTGGACTCCAGGGTATAGGGGCTGTCCTGAGTTGTTTGGTACCTGGCCCTGGGGTGACGAGGACAGGGGAATATTGGCTTAACCCATGAGAGCTCGATTAAGGAGGCAGGGGGCAGGTATGGGCTGTGGATTGGATGGTTTGTATATGAAAAGGGTGCTCACAGGCAATCATGTGCTACCTCTAAGAACTGGCTAGCCCTGACCAGTGAGGCTAGAGCATCAGGAATACAGAAAGTGAGAAAATATAGTTAATACTGCAGGAGGGAGTGTCCCTGCCTGGGGGTCCAGCGAGAAGGTGGAGGCCAGAGACAAAGAGGGTCTGGCCGGGGAATAGACTCTAGGATCTGAGTGTGCTCCAAGGGAGGAGGGGGGAAGTCAAGTCATGGGGGTGAAGAATGTGGGGTCCTGAGCTAGAAGGGCTCTGGCGGAAGAGAGGCATCAAGGGGTAGGAGAGAACAAAACAGAGTGGAAGCTGGCTGGGCCCGGGGAGGGGGTGGAACCTGGAGGAAAAGAGGCCAGCGCTTGTGCAGGCTCAGGCCAAGGAGCAGCGGAAGCCACCAGGGACCCAGCAGGAGCAGCCTCATCCCAGGCTCCCCCAACAGCAGACAGTCACATATCATAACCTGCAGCAGTGAGCTTGCTGCAACTGTTGCAAAAAGCCGCCCTCCCAAAGGAGCTTGCCTTATGCCTGCAGGAGACAGGCCTCACACTAAGTTGGGGCCAGGATCAGCATGGGGTCCAGCAGGGGATGGGCAGGGCCACATCCCACATCCCTGGCTCTTCAGCAACCCTTATATCCCTCACCCCTAGATTTTCCTTCACATCACCTTTCCTGTGGGTTTCACCTCCCACATCGCCCTGTCTTGGGACCCTAGACTTGCATAGATCATGCTAGGAAGAAGGACCAGGAAAGAAGGAGAAATACACCACCTTTTCCTAAGAGAAAGCAGGTGCCATGCTGCCTCAGCTTCTCCAGACCAGCTATGCAAGCCAGAGCCTGGGTTAGGCATGGGTAGGAAACTGAGGAGAATGTTCCTTTCAGGGGAGACCCTTTAAGATTAGGCCCTAAGAACACTAGGAATTAGGGAGTATAATGGCCAGTGACAGTAATGGTAAGGCTCTTGCGTGTATAGCACTGTGTCATTTACAAAGTGTATTCCCATGCAGTATCCCTGGGAGCCTGGTAGGGGATGCAGACCAGATGTCACCTCAAAGGGGAAGTTGAGACGTGTCCTCCAAAACCAACCACTAGTCCCTCCTCCACCTCTCACAGCGCCACCCCACTGCAGGGCCCCTTGCCAGCTCTGTGGTTCTTTCAGCCCTCTGGATGGGCAGAGCAGAGTCTAGAGTCACTTCTTGGGAACCTCCCCTTTGAAGGTGTTGCTAGAGCATCTAATGAGAGGCTTCCACAGGTCCAGCATTGTCTCCAGATCAGTCTTAATGCAAAAGAAAGGCTCGACACAGACACACCTGAGATGCAAAGGTGATAATGAGCAAGAGTGGTGGGACTCTGTCCCATACAGGTGTCCTAAACTCTCTTAATAATCCAATCTATGGTCTGGGGGTGGTGGCTCACACCTGTAATCCCATCACTTTGGGAGGCCGAGGTGAGCAGATCACTTGAGATCAGGAGTTCGAGGCCAGCCTGGCCAACATGGCAAAACCCCATCTCTACTAAAAATACAAAATTAGTCGAGCATGGTGCTGTGTGCCTGTAATCCCGGCTACTCAGGAGGCTGAGGCAGGAGAATCGCTTGAGCTTGGGAAGCAAAGGTTACAGTGAGTCAAG
This sequence comes from Homo sapiens, assembly GCF_000001405.40. NCBI lineage: Eukaryota > Metazoa > Chordata > Mammalia > Primates > Hominidae > Homo > Homo sapiens. The sequence goes on along the minus strand of NC_000011.10, from coordinate 45,320,055 downwards.
ACTGTGCCACTACACTGCAGTCTGGGTGACAGAGCAAGATTCTGACTAATAATAATAATAATATAATAATAATCCAATCTATGATCACTGAATCACCCATTTTGGCATCTTACCCTGGAGCTTTCTGCCATCCTCAGATGTAGTCTGTGAGACTCAATAGAAGCTCACAGCTTCTATTGCCAACCCCTGCCCTGCCCTGCCCTGCCTGTTCCTTAGAATATTGTTCTAATCTTTCCTGAGAGTTCCAATCCCAGATGTTTCTCTGCACCAAATAATTTCAAAAAGCAGGAAGAAAAATGGAATCACCTCTGCAAAACTGTGACGCTAAGGGAAATCTGACATAGCTGACTCCAGCTTGCTTCTAACCTCTAAGCCATCCCTGTTCGTTCCTGGGTGTAGGCCAACCTAACTTTGGGAGGAATTTAGTTTATAGTTTACCCTTAAAGTAAGGATGAAAATGGCCCTTCCCAAAACTAGCCCCTCCTCGTTCAGGGATGAAAACTGCCTTTATAAAAACTAATATAAGTCTATAAGATTAGGATCATGAGAGGGGCCTGAATTCTGCTAAGATGTAGGCATATTAAACCAGCCTTTGTTCCAGAGGTCACAAGATTTGTAACTTTCCCAATTACTTCTACAAATAACACACTATTGTAGAACCTAAGATTGGTCTTTTGAGATGTTTTTCAGACTTTTGCATTTCTGGTGACTAGCTGACTCTCACCTGGACCCGTGACTTGTGACTCATCTGGTCTTGTGGCCCTACCCAGAGGCTGACTCAGTGCACAAGGACTACTTTCCATGCCCCCATGGTTTCAGCCCCAATCAATCAGCAGCACCTGTTCCCTAGTCCCCTGCACAACAAATTATCCTTAACCCCAGTCTCTGAATATTCAGGGGAGGCTGATATGAGAAATAAACTCCTGTCCTTTATGTAGCTAGCTTTGCATTAATTAAACCCTTTCTTTACTGCAATACAGCTGTCTCAGTGAATCAGCTGTATCTGTGCAGTGGGCAAGAAGAGCCCATTGGCTGATTACAAGGACAAGATTCATTCTTTGCTGGGATTGGACCTTGGCTTTCTATGTCTCCAATTTTCTTCAATAGTGATCGAAATAGATTCCTCTGTAGGACTTACAGAAACAGAAGGAGGAGTTCACCCCATAAGAAGTAAAAGATAGAATTGGTGCTCCAGGGAGTCAGACTTGACCTCAGCATGAGACTCTAGGCCTCTTCAGAAAAAGAGAGAGATTCCTCCCATCACTTCAAGCCCACTCCTCCCTCAGGCAGCTGGGCCCCGGGCATGTACACTGGAGACTAGAGTTGTGGCCAGCATCACAGAGCTGTGGCCCAGCTACAAAGGGTTCTCATGAGGGCTGGGAGTGGCAGAAGAGACACAGAGAGGAGGTGAGCCCACAGCTCCTACCACCACCATCCAGCCTAGCAGATCCTACTAAGTAAGCCCAGGGCTTCCTGGGCTTACTGCATCCCTCCATTCATCTCTAGGTGGCCGTATTTGACAAAGCCTTCATGATTTTCTATTTATTTCACATATAACCCCCATATTAACTGTGCTCACCTCTCAACCTGCCCTGGCTCAGAAATAGTGCTCTATTTAATTGAAAAGAGCCTAGATTCAGAGTCAGGATTCCAGCTCTGGCCATCAGTGAATAGGGAACCTTAAGCAAGTCATTCCTTGCTCTGAGGCTCAGCTCTTTTGTCCGTAAAATAAGAGGGTTGGGCTGGAAAAAGTTTTCCAAATTGAGTCCTATGGAACATGGAAGATGGTAAACCCAAAAGTCCCAGAGTCAAAGAGATTCTGATTGCAGCCCTCTCTTTGCCATTTAAAGACACATGCCAAATAAAATCAGGGTATTCAGAGCCCTGGAAAGTCCTGTGGTCAAGAAGCCTCTTCAATTTTCTTTAATCTGGCATTCCTGAACTGTCTTAACCACAGAACCTTCCCCTCCTTTTTCAGTGGAAAATCAGTTAAGATCTTGAGGCATATAATCTTCAATGGATTAATCTCAGAAATGATGAATGAGCTATTGCTAAAATCCCCTCCTGTTAAACTCATCACATTTTGAAAAAAAAAAGTAGAAGACTTAAATTAGGAGATAAAATCTCCATTAAAAATTAACTCTCTAAAAGAGAAATGAGCCAGTTGATAAAACAGAACAAGCATCAGTGAAGACCCCAGACTAGAGCAGTCCAACAGGTGGTAAAAGGAGCCCAGCCCATCTGAGGCAGAACCGGAACAAGCCCACGTCATTCCCAGTTCCTTTCCCAGGACCCTCCCCCAGAACAGTGTCCTCATCTCAAGCAGGATCTGGACAAGGCAAATAAGAATGAGAGAAAGAGCTGCTTTCATTTCTGCCCAGTGCCCCAGAATGTGACCTCCTTTCATCATCACAAGAATATTGTTATAAAAGACACCTCCTTTATTTCAAAGGTGATTTTACAGAAAGGACCTCAGTTGGGCATGTACTTAGTTGCATTTCTTTTCCCAATGGAGACAGCTATTCTCCATGGATGTGTAAAATAAACTTCTGTCATTCCATTTGTCCCGTAGCCTCTTGTGTTGTTGATTCTATTTATTTCTTCCTTCCGCAAGCAGATGCTACACCTGCCAGGCTTTGGGCCTGAGGCCTGAACAGACACCAGAGAGACTAGTCTAGAGTTGGATGTTTTAGTCTGTGCTTTAGTCTTTCCCTCTCTATGTGCATTTATAGCTCTTCAAATATATTGTAAGCTCATTGGAGCAAAGCCTTGTTCTCTGATCTCTGACAGTGGCTCCACAGTGACATATGAAGACCAACACTGGGCACCCCACACATACCTGCTGGCTGAGTGAAAGAATGAATGAATGACCAGGCTCTAGCAGACAGGTGGGCTGGGCTTTGAGATGAAATCCGTGTTCCAAGAGATGCCAAAGCAAATCTTCTATTTTAAGCAGAGTGAAGATTTGACTATTACTTACCTAACAGTAGTCTTAAAGACTCAAAAAAGCCGGGCGCGGTGGCTCACGCCTGTAATCCCAGCACTTTGGGAGGCCGAGGCGGGCGGATCACGAGGTCAGGAGATCGAGACCATCCTGGCTAACACGGTGAAACCCCGTCTCTACTAAAAATACAAAAAATTAGCCGGGCGTGGTAGCGGGCGCCTGTAGTCCCAGCTACTCGGGAGGCTGAGGCAGGAGAATGGCGTGAACCCGGGAGGCGGAGCTTGCAGTGAGCCGAGATCGCGCCACTGCACTCCAGCCTGGGCGACAGAGCGAGACTCCGTCTCAAAAAAAAAAAAAAAAAAAAAAAAGACTCAAAAAAAAAAAAGTGAGGCTGAGAAGGGTTCCAAAATAATAGGAAATGGGTTCTCAGATTCCCACATGACCTTATGGGCATGGCACATGGAAGACCAGGGATAAAACGGCTGGCTGCTCTGAACTTGTGATCTTGGGCACGATATTTCATTTTGCTTCCTTCTCTTCCTTAACCGACAATGAAGATATCAATAATCCCTTCCTAGAGCTTGTTGTGAGAATTAAAGAAAATCATATACGGAGGACTTAGCATATTGCTTGCAAAGAAGCATATTCATTCTGCAATTTCAACTACATGTGCATAGAAAAAATATTTTTAGACTGGGCGCGGTGGCTCATGTCTGTAATTCCAGCACTTTGGGAGGCCAAAGCAGGTGGATCACTTGAGGTCAGGAGTTTGAGACTAGCCTGGACAACATGGTGAAACCTCGTCTCTACTAAAAATGTGAAAAAAAAAAAATAGCTGGGCATAGTGGCGGGCGCCTGTAGTCCCAGCTACTCAGGAGGCTGAGGCAGGCAAATCGCTTGAACCCGGGAGGTTGAGGTTGCAGTGAGCCGAGATCTTGCCACTGCTCTCCAGCCTGCGCTACAAGAGCGAGACTCCATCTCAAAAAGAAAAAATATTTTTAAAAGAGAAAATGAAAAGAAAAATCCTTCTTAAATTAGCATAAAGTATAATGTAAAAATGTAACGATATGATATAATTCTCCTTGGAATAGGAAAAATAATTTTAAAATTCAGATGGAAGAATAAATATTCAAGAATTGCCAAGAAAATTTTTGAAAAGTAGTAGTGAGGAGAAACTTGCCCCAGAAAATAATTAAAACTTTGGTCTAAAGGTATTAGAAGAGAAATAAGTCTAATTTTGACACCAAAATACACAAATATATCTTTGGCCCAAGAAAGAGAGTCCAAAAATAGACCTAAAATATGTGAGAATGTAATCATAACAAAGGTGATGCTTCAGCTCAGTGGGTTGAGCCGTTTATTTACTAAATTGGCTCTGCATCTGGATTGAATAAAGTTAGATCTTTTCTATACAGTGTGCACATTAACAATTTTCAGATGTTTTAAAGACTTAATATAACAACTAAAACTCTAAAAAGATAAAATGTAGAAGTGGGAAATACCTTATTAGGTAAGGTATGACACACAAGCCATAAAGAAAAAATGGACAGATTTAATTTCATAAGTATTAACATTTTCTCTCTAAAAATGACACCACAAACAAAGTCAAAAGACAAAGTCTATTCGAGGAGGACATAGTATAAAACAAATGATGAGTAAATGGGTAATATCCCTAATAGAAAGAGATCTTATCAATATAAATTGATAAGAATATGACAAACAGCCCAGCTGGGGAACGGACAAAGAAGAGGCTTCCATTTTCAGAAATATTTTGGAATGAGTTTTCCAAGAAACTCTTCTCCATACAGAAAGATCTAAAAATGCTTAAGAGAGTAGAAGTAAAATATTTTTCAAAAGCCCGATTGAGCTGGCATGAAAGTCAGGGAAACAATCATAGGGCAGAAATGACAAGAGATGCTGACTAGAAGGGCAAGAAATTGCTGGAGTTGATGTTTGCTCTAAAGACATCTTTTCATCCCTGGTGGCCAATTGGGTTTTAACAGCGCAGGAGGTGTCCAAGACAGGACATAGAGCCTGGGACCAGGGCAGTAGGGAGGTCACCCTAAAGATACTCACATGAAGCCAGAATTTTAAAAGGGAGTTTGTGATCTAGGATATACTTTAAACATAAGAAGAAACCTTAAATGAATTGAAAAGGATACATTTTGCAAATACAAACCAAATAAACACTGAGGTAACCATATATCTAAGACTACATGTCAGACAAAGTGTACTTTGCAGAAAGAAGCATTACTAGAGAGAGGGGAAATAAATAAGGATGCAGGTGTGTAAATGCACCAGAAAGATATCACAGTTCTAAATCTGCATGCCCCCAGTATCATAATGTGAAAATATTTAAAGCACAAATTGGTAAGACTTAAAAAATAAAAGAAAGATGCAAAGCCTCAATCATAGCAGGGGACTTTAATGTGACTTATTTAATTGCTGATAGAACAATCAGACAAAAAACATGCAGAATATAGATATGCAAAAAAACCTTAAACTTGACCCAATTAATATATATTCACACACACACACACACACACACACACACACACACAACATTGCAAATTGCCAGGTGTGGTGGCTCATGCCTGTAATCCCAGCACTTCAGGAAGCCGAAGTGGGAGGATCACTTGAGCTCAGGAGTTGGAGGCCAGCCTGGACAACATAATGAGAACACATCTCTACAAAAAAAAAATATTAGCCAGTCATGGTGGCACTCACCTGTAGTTCCAGCTACTCAGGAGACTGAGGAGGGAGGATTGCTTGAGCCTGGGAAGCAGAAGTTGCAGTGAGCTGAGATCATGCCACGCACTCCAGCCTTGGCAGTGGAGTGAGGTCCTGTCTCAAAAACAAAACAAAACAAAAAACACCACTGCAACTGACAACTGTGTAGGAGATAGAAAAAAACTAAACTTTTGTTTCTACTTTTAACACAGCACAAAGCACTTCTGGTTACCAAAATGTGCTTGGGGTTTTCCCCACACACTAACCGGTTCTCCAGTGAACACCAACACGGTGTCCTACAATGTAACCAGATTCTGACACCATCTACCTGGAGTTACAGTGAGATCCCACAGGTGAAGGGCTCAGTTTCACAAGACTGCCCCTCACTTCAGATATCACTTCCGAGTGGTAGGTTACCCACAACTTCTGTTCAACTTGGCTACAAACTGGAGGTTTCCCAGACCCCCTTCTCAGGTTCAATTACTTTTCAAGACCAACTCGCAGAAGTCAGAGAAACACATTTGCTGGTTTATTATATTATTAATGGATATGATAAAGATTTCTAATGAACAGACAGTTGAAGGGATACAAAGGATGAAGTCTGGAAGGATCCCAAGTGCAGGAGCCTCTGTCCCCAGGGAGCTGGCACGCACCACTCTCTTGCCACATGGATGTGCTTATTTAGAAGCTCTCCAAACCCCAGAGTGCAGAGATTGTGATGGAGGCTTCATCACTTGGGCATGATGGGTTATTAACTCAATCTCCAGCCCCTCTCCCAATCCCAGAGAATGTGAGGTGGGGCTGGAAGCTCCAAGCTTCTAATCATGGCTTCTATCTCTGGTGACCAGCTCTCATTCAGGAACCAGCAAGAGACAAGTCATTAGAGCAAAAGATGCAAAAGACTTCACAAATTCCAGGGAATTAAAAGCTGTGTGTTAGGAACCAGGGTAAAAGACCAAATAGTAGAGCAAAAGAGGCTCCTGGCACTCCTACTGCTCAGGAAATTACAAGGGTTTTAGGAGTTCTGTGCCAAGAACCAGGGACAAAGACTGAAATAGATATTTCTTATTGTAAATCACAGTATCACAGTGACAAAATCCACACATTTTTCAAGTGCACATGGCATGTTTACCAAATTTACCACATGCCAGTCTATTTTTAAAAGTCTCAAAAAAGAATTCAGCAGATTAGAAGCATTCAGAGTATATTCTCTGATAACTAGAATTAAGCTAGCAATTAATATCAAAAAGACAACTAGAAGATTACCAACTGCCTGGAAGTTAAACAATGTATGTTTAAAAATCCATATGTCAAAAAAAGAAATTACAATAGAAATTAGAAAACAATTTGAAATGAATGACAATAAAGATAAGACATATAAAATATGTGGGATAAAGCCAAAGCATTGCTTAGGGAAAAACTTACAGTCTTTGGTACATATATTAGAAATAAAAAAAAAAGAAGTCAATAGTTTAAATTCTTATCTCAATAAGATCAAAAAAATCCTAAGCTAATTAAATCCAATGAAAGTAGAAAGAGGAAAATAATAAAGATAAAAATCAGAAATCAGTGCAATACAAAGCATGCAATAGAGACAAATCAATAAAGCCTAAAGTTAGTTCTTTGAAAAGATTAGTAAAATAAACCTCTGTCAATACTGACCAAGAACAAAGAGATAAAACTCAAATTATTAATATAAGGAGGACGTCACTACAGATCTTAGACAGAAGTGTATAAGAAGAAGACATTATAAACAATTTTATTTTAAAAAATTTAAAAATTTTGATAAAATGGACAACTTTCTTTTAAAAAGAAATAGACTTGGCAAATGAAGAAGGAAAATATAGAAAATTTAAATTTTCTTACACCTGTTAAGTAAATTGAATCTGTTTATAAAAATATTCCCACAAAGAAAATTTTGGGCTCAAATGGCTTCACTGGAGAATTCTTCCGTACATTTAAGGAAGAAATAATACAAATTTGCATAAATTCTTCCAAAGAGTGGAAAAAGAGAGGATACTTCCCAACTCATTTGATGAGACCAGTATAGCTTGCATATCAGAACTTGAAAAGAACATTATAGGGAAAAATTATAGATAATTCTTTTTGTAAATATTTATACAAAAATCTTCAAGTAGTAGGAGATCAAGTACAGCAATATATAAAGGAATATCACATCACAACACAAAAAGTTAATCAATGTAGATCACCACATTGATAGATGAAAGGAGAAAAAACCATATGATTACTTTGACACATTAAAATTCATTTGACAAAAATTAATAACCATTTATAATAAAAAAGAAAACTCTTAGCAAGCTAGGACTGGAAGGGAACTGCCTAAATTTGATAAAGAACAGCTACAAAAAAACCCTACAGCAAACATTATACTTAATGCTGAATTGTTAAAATCTTTTCCCTCTGAGATTGGGAATAAGACAAGGATGGCTACCATAATGACACTTATTAACATCATATTGAAGGTTCTAACCAATGGCATAAGGCAAGTAAATGAAATAAATAGTGTTAGTATGAGGAAAGAAATAAAACTGCCATTATTTGTAAAAGATGTGATTGTGTATGTAGAGAATTCCAAAGAATCTACAGAGAAACTATTGGAATTTCTAAGCAAGTTTAGCAAGGCCACTAGATTCAAAGCTAACATAAAAACTTAATTGTATTTCTATGTTCCAGCAACAATACATAGAAAACAAAAATTTTAAAATGAATCCTTTTACTGTACCATGGACCATCAAACATCTAGGGATAAACTTAATGAAAGTTGGGCAAGACCTCATCACTTAAAAATGTAAAATATTATTGGAATAGATTAAAGAAGACCTAAATATTGCAAAGATGTAAATTTTTCCCAACTTGATCATAGACATGTGAAAAGGTGTTCAACTATTTTTTTTTTTTTTTTTTTTTGAGACAGGTTCTTGCTCTGTAATCCTGGCTGGAGTACAATGGTGTGTGATCTCGGCTCATTGCAACAGCTGCCTCCCCAGCTCAAGCAATTCTCCCACCTCAGCCTCCTGAGTAGCTGGAACTACAGGCATGCGCCACCATGCCCAGCTACTTTTTGGCCTATTTTGTAGAGTCGGGATTTTGCTGTGTTGCTCAGGCTGGTCTTAAACTCCCGGGCTCAGGCAATCCACCCACTTTGGCCTCCCAAAGTGCTGGGATTATAGGCGTGAGCCATTGTGCCAGGCCAGATATTTGACTTTTATTCATTACTAGGGAATGCAAAATAAAAGCACAATAAGAAACCATAACTAACCTACCAGAATGGGCAGAATTTAAAAGATTCAATACCCATTGGAGCAAACAGAACATTTATACATTGCTAGTGGGAGAATACATCAGTAGAAATACTTTGAAAAGCTCTGTCTCTAATAAAGCCGAACATGTGCCCATCCAATAACCCAGTGATGATGCCCCATTTGGGTAAATACATGTGTTCACCAGGAGATGTACACAAGAATATTATTATCAGCACTATTAATAACAACAAAATACTAGAGATTACCCAACTGCTCACCAAGAGTAGAACAAGTAAATAAATTGTAATGGGTTCACACACCATAAAATATTATACTGCAATGAGAATAAATGAACTCTTGTTACATGTTGTTAGTATGGATGAAATTCTTAATATAATGTTTATTTGAAAGAAGCTAAATCAAACACAAAAGAAGATGGGGGAAACTGTTCTAAATTGGAGGAGATCAAAGACACATAAGGGCATATGTTTGGAAGATAACTGAGGAAATTTGTAAATAGACCATATGTTGGATAAAGTAATTGAATTATTGGCCTAGATATGGTAATGATAATGAGCTTGTGTAGGGAAATGCCTCCATTCGTAGGGGAAGCATACTGAAGTGTTTAGGGGTGAATATCATGATAATTGTAGACTATTTTGAATGATTTGATGAGAGGAAAGTGTGTGTATTTAAAAAGAGAGAGACAGAACCAACATGGCAAAATATTAAAGGTTGGTGAATATAGGTGAGGAGGTACACTTTCTACTTTTCTAGGAGCTTAAAATTTTTTTCTAAAGAAAATTAAAGGGACAGACACATGAAAAAATGCTCATCATCACTGGCCATCAGAGAAATGCAAATCAAAACCACAATGAGATACCATCTCACACCAGTTAGAACGGTGATCATTAAAAAGTCAGGAAACAACAGGTGCTGGAGAGGATGTGGAGAAATAGGAACACTTTTACACTGTTAGTAGGACTGTAAACTGGTTCAACCATTTGTGGAAGACAGTGTGGCAATTCCTCAAGGATCTAGAACTAGAAATACCATTTGACCCAGCCATCCCAGTACTGGGTATACACCCAAAGGATTATAAATCATGCTGCTATAAAGACACTTGCACCCGTATGTTTATTGCGGCCCTATTCACAATAGCAAAGACTTGGAACCAACCCAAATGTCCATCAATGATAGACAGGATTAAGAAAATGTGGCACATATGCACCATGGAATACTATGCAGCTATAAAAAAAGATGGGTTCATGTCCTTTGTAGGGACGTGAATGAAGCTGGAAACCATCATTCTCAGCAAACTATCACAGGGACAAAAAACCAAACACTGTATGTTCTCACTCATAGGTGGGAATTGAACAATGAGAACACTTGGACACAGGGTGGGGAACATCACACACCAGGGCCTGTCGTGGGGTGGGGTGAAGGGGGAGGGACAGCATTAGGAGATATACCTAATGTAAATGATGAGTTAATGGGTGCAGCAAACCACCATGGCACATGTATACATATTTAACAAACCTGCACGTTGTGCACATGTACCCTTGAATTTAAAGTATAATAAAATAATAATAATAATAATAATAAAGAAAATAAAAGGGAAAATAAAAGTAATGCACACCAATTAGAGAAAATTTGTAAAATAAAATATAAAGAAGAGGAAAAAGATATAGAAAATCCAAATAGATTCTCCTTTAAAAAACATTGACTCCATTGAGAATATCTGCTATTTCTGCTTTTATTCAATATTGATTTGGAGCTCCTGGTAGCACAGTAATAAAAGAAAAAGAAATGAGTAAAGATGGAACAGAAAGAAAAAATTATCCACATGGAAGACCCAAGAGTATCTACAGACAAATTATAACTAAGAGAGTTTGCAAGGTTGCTGCATATAAAATAAATAAGCAAAGATAAGGCTGGCGAGGTGGCTCATGCTTCTAATCCCAATACTTTGGGAGGCCGAGGGGGGTGGAACACTTGAGGTCAGGAGTTCGAGACCAGCCTAGTCAACATGGTGAAACTCCGTCTCTACTAAAAATACAAAAATTAGCTGGACGTGGTAAGGCTGAGGCAGGGAGAATCGCTTGAACCTGGGAGGCAGAGGTTGCAGTGAGCCAAGATTGTGCCACTGCACTCCAGCCTGGGCGACAGAGTGAGATTCCATCTCAAAACAAAAGAAAAAAATAAAAGACAAATAAACAAAGATAAAATTCACTTTTTACATTCTAGCATCATAGAGCTAGTAAAGGAAATTTTTAAAAGATTTCATTTAAATATAACAACAAAATAATTAAAGACTACAAAAGATATACAAGATCTTTAGGTAGCAAACAATAAAACTTAATTGAAAGACATTCAAGAAGGCCACAGTGATGGAGAGATAAGCTGTGTTCATAGTCGGGAAGATTTAACCACATAAATATATCAATTCACCCCAAATCAATTTCTAAATTCAATTCCAGTCCAAATCCCCAAGATGCTTTTTATTGAACTTGACAAATGGATTCTAAATATATAGAGATATGAAAAAGCAAGAATAGCCAAGACAATTTTGCAGTTAGTGAAGCTTGTCTTGGCAGGTATTAGGATTTTAATAGAAACCCAGTGTGATCGAGAACAAGGAAGGACATATGGATTAACGGAACAGAATAGGGAGTCCAGAAACATAGATGAAAATATTATATTCCCACATGAATAAGGAAACTTTATACTTGCCAAAGATGGCATTGCAAATCAATGTGAAAAGGATGGACTCGTCAATCAACCACGTACAGAAGACTGATTATGGAAAAAGTAAAATTAGCTCCCTACCTCCAACCGAACACAGAAAAAATTCCCACACAGATTAATGACTTAATGTGAAAAACAGAAGTTTAAAACTTTCAGAATAAAATATAGAATATTTTTATTATTTCAAATAGGGAAGAATTGTTTAAAACACAAAAAGCACAGCTATGAAAGAAAAAATGGATAGATTTGATTGTCTTCACACTAAAAGTGTTTGTGTAGCAAAAGTCACCATAAACAATGAGAAGACATGAGTCACTAATTGGGAGAGGAAATCTTCCATATAAATGACAAAGAACTAGGATCAGTGTTATATAAAGAATTTCTACGAAGCAAAGAAGAAAAAGATAGTAAAATTTGGCAAAAACCATAAAAAGACGTTTCTCAGAAGCAGCAATATGAAACGTATCTATGAAAAGATGATCAGTATCCTTCATAATTAGGGAAATACAAATCAATCTCATTATGAGTTTTTATTTTACCCCCATTATTGGCAAAAGTTAAAAGTCAGATAACACCAAGTGATGGTAAAGATAAGGAACAGTGAAAACTCTCTCTTTCAATGCTAGAGGGTGCAGCTTGGTTTATGATAACTTAAGGTGTGCATCTCTTACAACCTTGCCATCCACTCCTGGGTACATTCTAGAGCAAACTCTGGCACAGAAAGAGGACATATAAGAATACTCAATTCAACATTGTTTATGACAGTAAAAATTGGAAACAACTTTTATTACCCATCAGCAGGAGAACAAATAACTACTTATGGTATATCTGAATAATATTAATAACATACCATATACCACTGGGAGTGAGTGAACTAGAGCTATAGACATGACATGGATAAATCCCACCAACATAAAATTGGAAAGACTGCATACAATAAAGAATGCATACAATTAATATATAGAATTTAAAAATATGAAAAACACAGTATATAAAAACACACATATGTGTTTCAAACACAAAACACACATGAAAATAAATAACCGGCAAATTCCAGACTTCCCAGGTTACCTCTAGAGAGAAGAAAAAGATGGCAGAGAGGAGGGGCTTTAAGCTATATCTATAATGGTTTCTCTCTTATTCTGGGTGGTGGGAGCCCAGATACCCACTGTATTAAATATTATCCTCTCTACTGTTTTTTTGCTATGTCAAAATATTTCATAATTTAAAAAGGAGGAACATAAAATAAAATACAAAGCATGATAGAAAACAAGCAGAGCTACTTGTAAATACCAGAGACTGGGCCCACCAGGAAGGAAATGGAGAGGGTGCTCCTGGATGACTGGCCCCACCTCAAGTAGCATGGGGGCTCCAGGAAGTGGCGTTGAGCTCACACCCTTTATCTGATGTGGGTGTTTGATGGGTGTGACAATGGCTGACCAGAGTCCTGGGGACTGTGGAAAACTTGTCCTACACCATAGTTCAGACACCTGCCAGAGATCATGGAAAGCCTGAAGTCTTCCCTGGACCATCCCAGCTGCAGAGAATCTCCACCAGTCATTTATTCAAGATTATGACAAGTATTTATTGACTACTCACTATGTGCTAAAGAAACTAGAGAAACAATAGTGAATGAAATGGACTTGGTTCCTGCCATCATCGAGATGACAAGCTGGAGGAGGAGATGGGCCTTAATCTCATGATCACAGAGAGAAGTATGTGTCTCCAGGTTGTGACAAGTGCTGTGAAGGAAAACCACAGGGTGCTAAGGGAAGATGCAAGTCACCCAGCTGGAGTTTGGAGTCAGGAAAGTTGGTGGAGGGAGAAGCATTGAAGTTTGTAGGTTGAGAAGGGGGCTACCCAGCAAAGAGCAGAGTCAGAGGGGAGGAGAAACCTCGCACTTTCCCCCAGGATCCTGGGGGTCCTGGGGTTGGGGTGATGGGGCTGGGGCATAGTCACAAAGGGGCATAGCAAGACTGTGCCGGGCCTCCTGGCACACCGAAAGAGCCTCAGCCTGAGAGCAATAAAAAGGCATTGAATCATTCTGACATAAGCAGATTGCATCTTTAGAAGTTCACTCTGTTGACAACACCAAGCACTGACCAGGCTGCAGAGCACCTAGAACACTCCTCCACTGATGGTGGGAATGCAAAACACTACAGCCACTCTGGAAAACAGCTCGACACTTTCTTATAAAGTTAAACATGCATATGACCCAGCAGGAGTGAAAGCTTATGTTCACACAAAATCCTGGACGTTATTGTTTTGTTCATAATCACTAAGCACTGGAAGCAATCCAGATGTCCTTGGATTGGTGAATAGATAAACAATCTGGGTACATACACATAGAGCAAATAAAATACAATAAAAAATCAGTCTCCTGCTATAGACAACAACATGAATATATCTCACACATTTTGCTAGATGAAAGGAATGGGATGCACAGGGCTTCCTTCTGTTTGACTCCATTCATGTGACATTGTGGAAAAGGCAGAAAACAGACCAGTGGTTTCCAGGGGCTGAGGCTGTGGGGAAGAGGTGATTACAAAGGGGCACTGGGGAATATTTTGGAGCTGTTCTCTATCTCGACTGTGGTAGGAGCTACCTGGTAGTATGCATTTATTGAAACTTACAGAACCGCATGCCCCAAAGGGTGAATTTTACTGTTTATGAATCATGCCTCAATTTAAAAAAAGAAATAAATTTAAAAAATCACTTTGGCTGCTCAAGGAGAAGTGATTAGAGACAGCTCTGGTCAATATGGTGGCCTGAATTCCCATTTGGAACTCTGCTCCCACATCAAACACCTAGAGTGCTAGATAAAGACATCCTCTTCCCATCTCTGAGGAATACAGAGCTGAAATTGAGAGCAAGAAAGGAAGAGTCTCAGGTGTCTGAGTTAAAGGTGTTGAAAGTCGGGGAGGTTACCAAGAGCTGACGCTGTGGGTCTCATGGGGATACCTAAAGACATCCCAGCGTTTCTCACTGCTAGTTACCAGACCTGCAGGGGCTGCTGGTTCAATCCTAGCCACTCGAGAGGCAGAGATTTAGGGTCTTCCCAGAACCACCTTGGGACCTATGCTTGGTGAAAGAATGTGTGTGCAAAGAAAGCCTGCCCTGAACAACTTGCTTTCTTGTCGGGAAAAGGCTATCTGGACACCTTGGTGAGATGCCATGAGATACACTCAACATGCATTACTTCCAAGTAGCAGGAATAGTCGCATACCAGTTCACAAGACTCACAAATGCAGCTTGAGAGGCTGGGTGCACGACAAGGATAGGAGAATGTGTCCTGGCATGGCCACCTGCTTGTCTGTAGATGGAAATTACCCATCGAACA
Source organism: Homo sapiens (assembly GCF_000001405.40). Taxonomy (NCBI): domain Eukaryota; kingdom Metazoa; phylum Chordata; class Mammalia; order Primates; family Hominidae; genus Homo; species Homo sapiens. Next base: position 45,305,030 of record NC_000011.10, on the reverse strand, counting down.
CATCAGCCTTGTAAAAAAGCCCACCCACTTGCCAGAATGAGGGTCCAAGAAAGAGAATGAAAGAGAATGAGTCCACTGATTTTGCCATTGTTGGCTCTAGAGCATAAGAGAGGCCCCTGGGGCCCCACAGGAGTCACCTTGACTGGCTTTGAGAATGAAACCAAAAGCTGGGGTTCTAGAGAGCAGGGCTGTTGCATGTGGTGGAGGCAGGCTCTGAACTTCAGGCACAGCTCCTTTCATACCCCGTGATGTGGGTGGTACCCTTGGAGCAATGTTGGGGCCCTGCACCTGCGGGTACCTCTGCTTCTGCAGAGCTCCTGGCTCCTCTGGACTGGGCGTACAACTCGTGGCGGGCACACACTGACCTCTGCGGACTTCATGTCTCACTGCTGTGAAGACCCGTAGGGTTTCAGGTGGAACTGCCTCCCCAGTCCCTGAGCTTCCTGCCTCCCCTCTGGCTATGACACAAGCACAGCCATCTGGCCATCCATTTATCCACAAAACCCCGAGGTGCCCTTAGTCCCTGGGGTGACAGGGCAGATGCAGGGCAGTTGTGCCCACACCTGAGTCCCACATGTGAAGTCGGGAGGCCTGACTCTGCAAGCAGTTCTAGACTGCAAGTGATGAAAGGGGGCTTAAGCCTGTCAAGGCCAACCTCTCTCCTGGAAGAAACCCTGGTGCAGCTTCCTCACAGGTGCTTATGGTCGTGTCTGCTGCTCCCGTCTGCTCGCCACTCCTTGTCCCTTCTGACTAGTGAAGGCAAAAAACATGGGTTTGGTTCTGCCACCAGCCCGCGTCTTTCATGAGGAGGCCAACTGCACCTCTGCCTCCCTCAGGCCCCTGTGATCAGTCCAAGGGGCAGATGCACCACCCAAGCTGGGCCAATCGGGCACCCCCCCAGAATTTTATATTTATCAATGTTGGAAAAGAGGAGAACTTTCTCTCTAGTTAAACCATAAGCTTCAGGATAGGCCCCAGGAGCTGCCGGAGGATACTGAAGGAACAAGAGGTCAAGATGAAACATACAGAGACGGAGAGAAAGGAACTTGGCCAAGCTTGAGTCCTGCATCCAGCGGACCTTGGGATCATCTGGCCCTCACCTTTCCTTGGTTTGGGTGGGTGTGCTAACAATTTTTCTGGATTGCTTAAACTAGGTTAAGTTGGGTTTCTGTCCCTTGTCTCGTAAAACAACAGGGAACTCACTGCCCACAGGTAGACAGTGTCCTGTTAGATGGCTGCTCAGATTGTAGGAAATTTCCTCAGGCTGAATGAGGCAGAATCTGCCTCCCTCATCACTTTCTCCCAACCCCTCTGGAGGCGAATGGAGAAAATCTTATCTATCTCTCACCCTCGGGAAAGGCTGACACAGACAGCTGCAGGAGCATCCCAGTGGACACAGGGACCCTGAAAGTCCACGTGGCTCCAACTGTCTGGAGCACTAGGCCCCCAGCTTCCTCTTCTTCCCACTCTGCAAGCCTAATTCTCAATGTTCCTCATGTCCTCTGGCTTCCGCTACCTGCCTTCTCATTACTGTCAGGACACTGGCTGGTGCTATGTGTGCAAAAAGATATTGGTGGCAGGTCTCCGAGGGTCTGCAAGAATTCAAAGATGATTTTGCTCATCCCAGCTGCCCAGGTAGGAGGCTCTATAGGCCTATCACACACCTACTGCCCCATTCCCCTACATTGTCCAGTTACCTCTACCGCTAGTATTACTGGCTACTACTGTTTGAGTGCTAACCACAGGATACGTCATGTGCTAAGAGTTTTTCATATATTTTCTCCTTTGATCCTGACAACAATTTTGTGAAATAGATATTATTCCATTCTATAGATGAGGAAACTGAGGTTCAAAGAAAAGCTTCTTGCTAGGGTCCCATAGCTGGTAAGGGGTGGAGATGGACTTAATCCAGGTCTGCCTGACTCCAAAGCCAAAGTGCTCCAAACTGCTCCATTGGGCTCTGGGCAGTGATGGGATGAGGGCCATCTCCAGGTTCAGAAACCTTTCCAGTTCAGACTCTTCCCTGCTTCTCTTCCTCCTTGTCTTTTGTCCTTTCTCCATCTGTTTCTTCCTCAGAAAGGCACGGAGCCCTTGGTCCAGGCCTGGCCCTGTGTGAGGTACACAGAGATGCAGAGATGAACATGACATGCTCACCGCCTGTAAGGTACCCTCCATCCAGCAGCAGGAGACAGGTAAACCACAGGAACCTAAATCAGGCCTCTGGTGAGGCAGGAATATAGGGTCTGGAGGCAGGGAACCTAAGGCCGATTCACACCTTCCTAGAACTAAATCGAAGGGAAAACCCCAACGTTCCACACCTAAGTAACGAAAGGACTGGAGGCTACTCTCTGTGCAAACCACCCCCTAACCTTTTCTGCGTTGCAGATGGAAAACTGAAAGGACCTCTAATTGGTTGCTTTCCTCAGCCAGTCAGACTGATTGCGGGCCAAGTCTTTCTTTGCATGGAAGTGCAACGTTGTAATTTCACTTTAGCCTCTGATTGGTTGCTTCCCACAACCAGTCAAAGGCTAAATACGCTGGTATAGAGTGTAACCTTTGTAACTTCACTTCAGCCTCTGATTGGTTGCAAGCCAACTAATCGGACTGATTGTGAGCCACTACTTCATTTACATGGGGTGTACACGAAGTGGCCAATGGGAAACCTCTAAAGGGTATTTAAACCCCAGAAAATTTTATAACAGGGCTCTTGAGCCTCTATGTTCAGCCCGAAAGTGGAGCCCCAGCTTCTGAGCCCTTTCACAGCAATGGCAATGGGCCCTCCTAGACTGAGGCCATCAGCTGCACCCTCGGCAAGGCCTAGTCCATTGGGAGGAGGTGTTTACTGGGGTCGGGGCTCCTGCTCTCCCTTTGCCCTGAGATGGGCCCCTTGAGCTTCGTGTGCTCAGGGAGAAGATTGATGCTCCACTTTTAGGGCCAGGCACATCAGGCCTTTGGGACCACTGGCTCCCAGCCCAGACCCTTCGCCTTTCCTGGGGTACAGGGCTGCTGCTGCAGCCATTGCTCAGTGGCAAAGCCAGGCCTTTGGAGGCCCCAGGTGGGGAGCAGGTCAGAGGAACTACTGAGGCAAAAAGGAGGGGAGGAAAGAACTGTCCAGGAGGCCTTGGCTTCATGCTCATTAACCAGCTCCACAGGTGCTGCGAATGGAGCCTGGTGACCAGGGGGTGTTTACGGGCTGCTGCAGATGGTTATTTTATGGCTGGGGGTGCAGGCAGGAAATTGGGGTTTTATGGCTTACTAAACATCAATAACAATTAAGCTCAGTTAGAGACTCCACTGCCCTCCATAGGCCAAAGTACTAAACAAATATTAGGTAAGGAAGTCATCCATTTCACCTGCCTCCCAACGAAGTGTCTCCACCACACACTCTGACCTAAGTCCCTTCCTAATTGCAGGAGTGGCAAGGCCTAAGTTAGGTTCATTTGGTTTTGTTGGTTTTTGCTTTCCAAGGAAGTGAGGATTTAGTGATTCTTTTGCTTAGGAAAAAAAGATGAGGAAAGATATGCCCCACTAAAGGGGTTAAATAAAAGAATGGATTATTACAATATCAATTGTTTAAATTTTATAGGTATATAGGAAGGGATTTATTAGGGGAATTGGCTCATATGATTATGGAGACTGAGAAGACCCACGACAGGCCACTTGCAAGCTGGAGAACCAGGGAAGGCAGCAGGGTGGTTCTGTCCAAGACCAAAGGCCTCAGAACCAGGGAAGCCAATGGATGTGGGGCCAGAGTCAGGGAGTTGCTGGAATTTGCTGATGTGGACCTTCTTCTCAAAATTGCAGAAATGCTGGGACTGGGACATAGCATTTTCCAGGGCAGGGAATGATGACCTTAAAAAAGGAGATGCAAGGGAATTGCATTATTGGCCCTGAAATAAGAACTATTTTGTTGTCAACAGGCCCTCAAAGGATTTACTCTAAGTGCTTTGCAGCCCCCACCAAAATGACTCAAAATTGCTGATGACAAACTATCCTGGCTGAGTCAGGTACAAACAAAGTACCTGACTCCCAGATACCTGTGGTCCGGAGGGCTCCCATGGTCTCTGACTCCAAGAGACATTGAGGGGAGTATCCACTCTTGGCGGCTGCTGGCCGAGTTTTCTGATTGCTTTCCTGGAATGGTATGCCTGGTGTGTACTGCATGATCCTGCAATCCACCATCCAGCCCCCAGAGAGGCCCTGTATCCTGGATCTCACCCAGCCTTGGGACCCTCTCTCCAAGGTTCAGTGATTCTTCAGGGAGGGAAACAGATCCACAGACAAACCCTGTGCTCACCCAGCTCCATGGATGTCTCTACCTTCGAAGAATCTTGATTATCACTCATTCATGTCAATCACTCATTCATTCAGCAAGTATTTCTTGAGGACCAAGCACTCTGCTATGGTCAGGGGATACAGCAGTGAACAGAAGAATAATGGACACTGCTCTCGTGGGGCTTCTTTTCTAACCAGGGTAGACTTTCTTAACCTTGGCACTACTGACATTTGGGGGTGGATGATTCTGTGCTGGTTTGAAGACGCTGTCTTGTGCACTGTAGAATGTTTAGCAGCATCTCTGTCCTTCGCCAACTAGATGCCAGTGATAACTCCCCCTCTCTTAGTTTTGGCAATCAAAATTCTTTCCAGATGTTGTCAAATGTCCCCTGGAGAGCAGCATTATCCCTAGGTGAGAACCTCTGAACCAGGAGACACACGCATGCACGCACACACCCCTTAACATACAGTTAACAGGGAGCTCACTGAAGGGAGTGCCTTGGACAAGCTCTGGGCTCCTGTATTTACCATCAGGACCCCACCTAACTAGGGCCAATATTATTTTGTTGCCAGGCAAGTTAGATGACCTAACTTATTCCTTATAACATAGCTATTCCCTTCTGCCCCCCTCCCATAGTACAGATGAGGAAACTGAGACTTAAAAGAAATCCAGCAAATTGTCATTGCTATTAAGTGGAGTGGCTGGCATTGGAACCCAGGCAGTCGGAAGCCAGACTCAGCCCTATTAGCCAGGATGCACGCTATAACTCTGTAGGTGTGTTTGCCTCACCTGTGCCTCCAGAATGCCAATCAAGAAGATGTAATGAGATGCTTCATTGGGAAGCATGGGGAGCTATCTAGAGAGATATGCAATTTAAAGCTGAGCATCTCAAACAGGGGTGCTGGGCCTGCAACAGGAACCTTAGAAACAAACCTAGGACCAATTTTTGTTTTTCCTCCTTGTGTGACTTAAAACACTTTATTTCAGGGCTGATAAAATCTATGGTGGAAGCCGGGCGCGATGGCTCACGCCTGTAATCCCAGCACTTTGGGAGGCCGAGGCGGGTGGATCACGAAGTCAAGATATCAAGACCATCCTGGCCAACATGGTGAAACCCTGTCTCTATTAAAAATACAAAAATTAGAATTAAAAGGAATATTAAATAATGACAAGTGCTAAGGGTTTGAAAAAGTAAGGCGATGGGGAACAGGGAGTTATGGGGCAATGGGTGGAGAGCTGGTAATTTTACATAAAGGGCAAAGAAGGCCTCATAGGGAGAGGTAAAGGTCTGGGAGTCAGCCAGGCATGGTGGCTCATGCCTGTAATCCCAGCAGTTTGGGAGGCCAAGGTGGGTGGATCACCTGAGGTCAGGAGTTCAAGGTCAACCTGGCCAATATGGTGAAACCCTATCTCTACTATAAAAATACAAAATTAGCTGGGGGTTGTGGCAGGCGCCTGTAATCCCAGCTACTTGGGAGGCTGAGGCAGGAGAATCACTTGAACCGTGGAGGCAGAGGTTGCAGTGAGCCGAGATTGCACCACTGCACTCTAGCCTGGCGACAGAGCGAGAAGCTGTCTCGAAAAAAAATCTATGGTGGAGGAGAATACAAAATCAGACTCATTTTGTTAAAATGGTAAAACTACAGAGACTTGCAAGAAAGTGCATGTTCACCACTATCACTTCATGCCCTCAGGCCCTTACTAGATATGGTGGGAAAGGCGGAAAAACTCTGATTAACAACAACAATAACGAGTATTCATAGGCCCTTTCACATGCAATGGCTGCTGTTCTAAGCACTTTGCCTGTGTTAACTCAATCCTTACAAAAACCCTATGGGGTTAATTAAGGCAACTGGGGCCCCTAGAGGGGAAGTAACTTTGCCGAGGTCCCATGCGAGGCTTGTCTGCAGAGCCAGGGCTGGTTCAGGCTCACCTGCACACCACAGAGCCTCGGAGTTCAGTGGGGGGAGTTTCTGCAGGGCAGGTAGGTGTCGCTAGAAAGTTGGTTCCGGGGAAGCAAAAAAAGAACTCAAGGCCCTGCCCTCCTCTTGAGGCACAGCCAAATTATTGATGCTTCTCAAACTGTGCTCCATGGCCCATCCACACCAGCAGCATGTGGGAAGTTTGTTAAAAAACGTCGATTTCCCATCTTAATTTAAAGACAAAACAAAAAGCAAAAAAACCCCTCCTCATTTATTTATTAAAATAAGAAGTCTAACAGAGCCAAAGGCTTTTCTCCCTGATCATGTATGTGAGAGAGTCCAATAGTCCTGCCCTGATTTGACAGAGCATCTTACTATATATATCTATATCTATATATCTATCTATATATATATAATGAGACGGAGTTTTGCTCTTGTAGTCTGGGCTGGAGTGCAATGGCACGATCTTGGCTCACTGCAACCTCCTGGGTTCAAGTGATTCTCCTGCCTCAGCCTCCTGAGTAGCTGGGAGTAAAGGTGCCTGCCACCATGCCCAACTAATTTTTGTATTTTTAGTAGAGACGGGGTTTCACCACATTGGCCAGACTGGTCTTGAACTCCTGACCTCAGGTGATCTGCCTGCCTCAGCCTCCCAAAGTGTTGGGGTTACAGACGTGAGCCACCACGCCCATCCAATATTTATACTTTTTAAGAATACCAAGATGTCCTTTATAGCATTATTGCTAGGGAAATGGCTGGTCAGAATTGCAGGTTTTTCTTTGAGGGTTATTTTCCCAGGACATAGCAATAATCTCTAAAGTCTTAGGAATTTTATAAGACCCTTTCATTCAGATTATTTTCCTGCAGATAGATTTATATCAACAGAAGACAGAATAAACTAGCAACAGGGACATAAATATTGACACGTTTTGGTAATGGATGTATTGACTGTCTCAAAACTTAGTGGTTTACAACTATAATGTGTAATTACCTCATGATTTTGAGGATTGACTGGGCTCATCTGGGCAGTTTTCATTTGGAGTCTCTCAGACAGTTGTATTCAAATAGTGGCAGGGGTTGGTGTCATCTGAAGGCTAGAGTGGGCTGTATGTACCAGATGGCTCATTCATAAGGCAGTTAGTGGGGGCTGTTGGCTAGAAGTTCAGCTGAGGCTGTCAACTGAAGCTTCTATACAATACCTCACCATGTACTTGGCATTCTGAGAACATAGAAGCTGAGTTCCTGCAATCAACAAAATGAAGACACAACCCACAGAATGGGAGAAGATAGTTGCAAACTACCCATCTGACAAGGGGTTAATAACCAGAATATATAAGGAGCTCAAACAACTCTGTAGGAAAAAAACAAAAAACAAAAAACAAAACAAAACAAAACACCAAAAGCCTAATACTCTGATCAAACAATGGGCAAAAATTTGAATAGACATTTTAGACATTTTTCAAAAGAAGGCATACAAATGGCATTCAGGCATATGAAAAGGCACTCAACATCACTGATCATCAGAGAAATGTAAACCAAAACTACAATGGGATATCATCTCACCCCAGTTACAATGGCTTATATCCAAAAGACAGGCAATAACAAATGCTGGTGAGGATGTGGAGAAAGGGAACCCTTCTACACTGTTGATGGGGATGTAAATTAGTACAACCACTATGGAGAACAGTTTGGAGGTGTCTTAAAAAACTAAAAATTGAGCTATCATATGATCCAGCAATCCCACTGCTGGGTATATATCCAAAAGGAAATGAGTATATGGAAGAGATATCTGCACTCCTATGTTTGTTGCAGCACTGTTCACAGCACTAAGATTTGGAAGCAACCTAAGGATCCATCAACAGATGAATGGATAAAGAAAATGTGGTACATATACACAATGCAGTACTATTCAGCCATAAAAAAGAATGAGATCCTGTCATTTACATGGATGGAACTGGAGATCATTATGGTTAAGTGAAATAAACCAGGCACAGAAAGACAAACATGGCATGTTTTCATTTATTTGTGGTATCCAAAAATCAAAACAATTGAACTCATGGAGATAGAGTAAAAGGATTGTTACCAGAGGCTTGGAAGGGTAGTGGGGGATTAAGGAGGAGATGGGGATGGTTAATGGGTACATAAAAAGTAGAAAGAATGAATAAGACCTACTATCTGATAGCACAACAGGGTGAGTATAGTGAATAATAACTTAATAGCACATTTTAAAATAACTTACGGAACATAATTGGATTGTTTCTAACTGAAAGCATAAATGCTTGATGGGATGAATACCCCATTCTCCATGATGTTCTTATTTCATATTGCATGCTTATATTATATCAAAACATCTTATTTACTCCATAAATATATACACCTAATATTTACCCACAAAAAAATAAAAATAAAAATAAAAATTTTAAAAAAGAAGCTGAACTCTGAGAAAGAACACACAGAGTGAGGGTGCCAGTGGGGTCAGGCAGGCAGAAGTTGAGAGGCTTCCTATGAACTAGTTTAGAAAGTTTCAGAACGTCACTTCTACCACACTCTGTTGGCCAAGCAAATCACCAAGGCCAGTTCGCACCAAAAGTGAGGGAAATTGGGCACTGCCTCTCCATGTAAAGGGAGTGAAGGAATCCACGGCCATCCCTGAAGAGAGTCAGCCACATTCCACATGTCTCTATCTTGCACAGAAACTAAGATGGATGTTCTCACAAATGATCTCAGTTTTACACTGCATCTAATCAGATTGTTTGCAAAAATAAAAAATGAAAAGAACTTACTCTCACTGTAGCTGTCAAAGAGAGGGAATGTTGCCTTTGTTCATTCCTGAGACGTTTATGTTAATTATGAACACTTGAAAGTTTGAGGCCAAGACTTGAAATGTCATTAGTGTTATGAGCAATAAATAAATAACTCAGTTTTTATGACAGAACTGGAGCAAAGGATGAAGGTTCAGATTTTATTAATCTTCAACACTAGACCCATGGGTGATCCCTGAATCAGCCTCTCTTGAGTTGGGGCCTGGAAATCAGCATTTTGCAGACCACTCCAAGTAATGTTTATTCATGGTGTTGAATCTCTTCCTAATTAGAATTAACTTCCAGGCCGGTTGATTAACATAAAGTGTAATGATGATATGGATTACAATAAACATCTTGTCATTTATCTAGCACTTAAGCAATCTTCAAAGTACTTCTCACTGATTATTTGATTCTGTTTTCACAATAATTCCCCAACTGCCTCTGGTATCTGCTCCATGACACCACATTGGCCCTGGCTTTGCCTATAAAGTTCCACAAATTCACCAGTTTGATTTTGGGTCTGAGATTCCTTCTCCAACATGCTATTAAGTCTTTGTCAAAAGTCTCCCAAATTCCTCCTGCTCCATCTGGAAGCCCACCCTGATTTGAGTAAGGTGAAAAGAGCTCACTTTCCCCTTGGGCCCTTCACTAACCAGCTGAGAAATAAACCCATGAATGGCTTGGGAAGTAGCAGAGAGCCTGAAGTGAACCCTAGACAGAGTCAGGAGGCCTGGGAGCCAGCTCAGAAATCTCCTCTCTTGACCTTGGTGTTCTCATCTGTAAAACGAGGCTGTAGATCACCATCGGTGGTCTCACACTGCTTTGGGGGTGGCTCTGACTGTCCCTAGAGGCTGATGGTGTGTACAGTGGGGAGGAGGGCTCGGGGATGCAGTGATCCCAGGGGATTCTTTCCCCCACCTTCTTTCCATCACAGCACCCTGTCTTTTATTCTGAATTCCCACATAAAACTATAGCGGAGTTTTCAAATAACAATGAAAAGTGCCTCTCCTGGACTATAGGACCTTGAGGTTTCCTTTCAGCCCTAACCCTTCAAAATAGTGGTAATAATTTCCAATAGTACAGTGCCAACCACATGCCAGGCATTGTGTGAACCACATCATGCCCATTGTATCACTTCATTCTCTCCATTTAATGGATGGCAAAACTGAGCCCCACCAAGATAAAGTGCATTGTCAGAGGCCACCCAGCTGGTTCCTTTGTGGAACTCGAATTCACTGGAGGGTAGACTGATCTGGCTTAACCACGACACAGTGAGAGTTTCCAGCTTGCCTGCCACTAGCGCAGGCTATGACACAGGATAGAGTGGCCAGGGGCTCTGGCCACGGCTCCTCCCATTTCAGCCCTGGAGCAGTTTACACAGTGCCAGGGGTTTCTGGACTCTCCCTTTGCCCCCCCACCCCACCACCACAAGGTATGGGGAGAAGGGGAGCAGTGGTGTGAGCTTGCAAAGGGGCTGTGTGTGAAGGTGCAGTGAAGCCTCAGGGTTTGGGTTAGGGCCCACAGGGCAGGGCTGTGGGTCAGGGACAGGGCTCCTGTCTGTCCACTTGACATATGTATTGAAGTGCTGTGATGTGCCAGGCACTGCTCTAGGGCTGGAGATACACTGCTAGACAACTCAGGCCCTACGCCTGCCTTCCTAGGGCCTCTATTCCAGAAGAGGAACTCAGATCATCAGCAAGATAAATTAGACAGGTAAGGAGAATTAGAAGGAATATTAAATAATGACACGTGCTAAGGGTTTGAAAAAGTAAGGCGATGGGGAACAGGGAGCGATGGGACAATGGGTGGAGAGCTGGTAATTTTACATAAAGGGCAAAGAAGGCCTCATAGGGAGAGGTAAAGGTCTGGGAGTCATCCGGGCATGGTGGCTCACGCCTATAATCCCAGCAGTTTGGGAGGCCAAGGTGGGTGGATCACCTGAGGTCAGGAGTTCAAGGTCAACCTGGCCAATATGGTGAAACCCTGTCTCTACTGAAAATACAAAATTAGCTGGGGGTGGTGGCAGGCGCCTGTAATCCCAGTTACTTGGGAGGCTAAGGCGGGAGGTTTGCTTGAACCCAGGAGGTGGAGGTTGCAGTGAGCCAAGATCGTGCCACTGCACTCACTCCAGCCTGGGCAATAAAGCCAGACTCCGTCTCAAAAGGAAAAAAAAAAAAAAAAAAAAAAAAAAAGGACTGGGAGTCAAGACCTAGGGGAGGATTCATTTCCCTCCACATCCTCCGGGTGGCAGCATCTTCCAATTCGTGGGGCAGTGCTGGTGGTTCCTCCTCCCCGCCATAGAGTATTCTTGCTCAGTCTATCTAAAAATGCCGTTTAAAATGGGGGAATCCTAGAAACAAAACATGAAGAATTTGGGGGATGTGACTATTATTATATTTTTTGATCTAGGCGCTGGGTAAACAGATGAGTTCACATTTTGAAAATCCACCATGCTATGCTTATGACCTATGCACTTTTCATCTGTAGGTTATACTTCTGTAAGTTCAAAATGACACACACTTTAAACATTGTATTTTAATCTAAATCATAGTTTGCATTAGTTTCCCCAAATTTTGATGATTAGACTCTGTGTCAAAACGTTTTAAATTTCTAAATACATTAGTACAGACAAAATGCTCAGAGCCAAGCCTGATGTGTAGGAAGCACTTAATAAACGTTAGCACTGTTACCTTGTGTGCATATCCATGATGCCTCATTTATGATTTCCAGTCCTGCATTCTCTGCAGTAGAGGAAGAACTTGGAGACACTTTCCTGGCAATCTGATGGCAGCGTCCTTCTAGAATTTTGTGAGTTGTCCCAACCTTTTACAGATAACTTGCTCATATCTATTTTAACAGCAGTTCTAAAAGCAACTTACCCTAATGGGTCTTTGCAAAGCACTCACCTTAGTTCTCACAGAACTAACTTTCCTTTATACTTCTATGTCATTAGTTTACATATCAGTTAATTAAAGTCTATAAATCAATAATGAGATCAACTGGCATAAAAAGATACTGAGACAGACACAACTAACTCTTTGAGTGAGTAGACGACTCCATTGGAGGGGGAAAAAGAGCAATGAGAGAAGAGGCTGAGGGCATCAGGCAGCAAGTTCTCCAGAAGGAGTGGATAGCTTGGGCCAATCTGGAAAGTTGGTTGAGTGGAGGTTGGTTCAGAGAACTAATTTTGTACCCTTCTCAAGTGTTGGAGTCTGTAAGATTGATTCTTGTACAATTGTTAATGAGCTGGTGTATCTATTAGGCATTGCTGGAAGTACTGGTAACACTGCCTTTGGGAACCAGGAATGATAATCCAAGCCATTTGTTGTGCAGCTTCCATGTGCCAGGCCCTACGCTTACAGAAATTAGCGCTACGTATTTTCACAGCAATCCTGTCAAGGAGACTATCATCTCCCCATTTGTATCAGCCCTTGACACATAGCACTCTAAAATTTAGTGGCTTAAAATGACTTATAATTTTAATTTAGCTCATTTTTCTGTGGGTTGGCTCTTTGGCTGGGCTCAGCGGGGTGGGTTTTCTAGTTTTATCCGGATTCAGTCATGAGCTCTGATTCCGGGAACTGGCTTGCGTTGGGGTCATGGGAATAACAAGCTCACTTAATCTCTCATCCTCCTACAAGATAGTTTGGGCTTCTTTACATGGTGGCTGGGCAGGATTCTATGATGGAGAATGGAATCTTCCAGGATCTCTCAAGACCTAGGCTTAGAATTTGGCACGATGTGACTTCCACCACAGTCAATTAGCCAAAACAAATCACAAGGCCAGCCCAGATTAAGAAGTGGATCAATAGACTCAACCTCTTTGCAAAGTCACATTGCAAAAGGGTGTGGACACAGGAAAGGGAATAATTGCAACCACATTTCCAAATCATTTATCACCCACTTTCTGCAAATAAATGAAAGTTTAATCAGTTTAAGCTAATTCGTCCATCCAGAGACTCCCAGCTAATAAGCAATAGAGCTAGAATAACACATACCTGTGGGACTTCAATACCCACTATTTTCACTAAGCCAAGATGCTTTATTAAGAAATTAGAGGGTCAGGAACAAATGAGATCATTTGAATTTTAAAATTAACATTAATTGAGAATCCTGTTATTTGTACAGCACTACGCTTTAGGCCATCCTCACAACATCCCTATAAAGTAGAGATGACTGCCCCTATTTTACCAATAAGAAAAGTAAGGCTCCAAAATATCAAGGTTACTTTGCCAATGAATCACACTGCTTAGTACACACAAAGACAAAGGATTTGAACCCATTTCTTCTTATTTCAAGTCCACTCTTCTTTCAACCACTCTAGAAACTTCTAATCTGCGGTTCAAGGCATCATATGATCCTTGAACAATTTAGAGTTACATACGAAATTATATATATATAACATTCAGACATTCTTCTGGAAAAGAGAATTGCTTTTATTATATTCACATGAGCCCCACCAGGTTAAGCACCTCATTTCTGAAAAAAAAAAAAAAAAAAAATGCTAACCTTCCTTCTCATATGGCAGGCAAAATCCTTCAGACGATGTCTTGTAATTGTTGTACACTCCAGAAGCCTATAACCAACTGGAGCCTTTAGATTAGCTTCAGAATAAATGGAAGGGAATCAAGGAGCCATGCCCATGAGCACTAGAAAGTGTGGCTTTATCTTGTGCTGAGATGGAATTAGGATTTGAAAGAATCCTGCATTGTTGAAAAGTCCATTCCAGGGCAGCTGATTACCTAGTGGTTAATACAGTAACACTTTAATTTGCTGCAACACCAGAAGAGTTTCCTGCTATTCAAAGACTTGGATTTCTGGATCAGGCCTCCCCAGTCTCTTTTTCCCCTTTCTCCTTTGTGCCTTAAGATACAGCCCAGAATTGCTCAGAATCAGCAACGGGAGTTCTGGGAGCGGACCTCACACCTGGGTCTGGACTGAGCTGCGCTACTTACTCTCCTCACTGTCAGTATCTCTTTTCTCCTGGGCTCTGCAAGACCTGCTGTGGGGCTCAGAATTTCCACCCCTTATCCCAGGCAACTTCCTCCTGCACATCTCACCTTTGGCAAGGGACTTGGGCTTGGGGAACACCCAGTCAGTCATGGTCCAGCTTGGAGAACCTGCAAAGTCATCAAATGAGAGAGCTAGCAGCACAGAGATGAAAACTGGGGGCCAGAGAGGAAAAGTAACTTGCCCACACTGTACCTGCCCTCTCCTTCTGCTGTCAACAATTTCAGCCTGCCATGAACTCCTCATTCCTGAAGGGAAGCATGGCCTCTCTCCCTGGGTGCCCGCTATGCCTTCCTCTTTAGTCCACCAGCACCCACTTTGTCACTTTGTTCCTCCCCAATCCTTCCAACACTTTAGCCAGAGGAATCTTTTTTTTTTTTTTAGAGACAGGGTTTCCCCATGTTACCCAGGGTGATACTGAACTCCTGGACTCAAGCAATCTGCCCACCTCAGCCTCCCAAAGTGCTGGGATTATAGACATGAGCCACTGCACCTGGCCAGGAATCTTTTAAAAACACAATTCTGATTATATCACACTCCTTTGCCTAAAAACATGCAATGGCTTTCCACTATGGCCTCTGAGCCCTGTTGTCTGGCCCCTGTTTCTTCCTTCAGGCTCAGTCACACTCTCCTAGTTGTGTGCTGAAACTGGCTCCTCCAAGCTCACAAGAGCCAATGGGAAATATTCAGGAATTTGTTGGTAGCTGGAAATCGACCATGGTGGGGTTACTTTATACCAGAAAAATCAACAAATGCTAAAAATCCTATTTTTTTTTTCTGGAGAGCTGATTGGTCAGTCCACCGCTGCTCCATCCCCACTGTGCTGTTCCATCACAGGACCGCTGAACATGCTGTTGTTCTGCCTGGCACGCTCTCCCCTCTTTCTTTGCTGAGTTAACTCTATTCTTCAACACCTCAGCTCAATTCTTACTTCTTCCAGGAAGCCTTCTGTGATATTTCTGAACAAGTCAAGTCTCTAACATTCACCTTTTCTTCTTAGCCTGTATCACATTTGTAATTTGACACGTGTGATGAATGATGAGCACCCGTCTTCCCCATGGGAATATAAACTTTCCATGGCAAGAGAGACCATGCCTGGTTTTACTCACTCTCTTTGCTGTATCACCTGGCACAGTACCTGGTCATAGAAACTCACATCTGCTGAATGAGTGAATAAATTAGAGAAATATACACTAGACAAGGCTCTGGCTTCTGTGGCAGGAGTACTTTTGCTCACACATCTCCACATTCTCCTCTGCATTTCCCAGCCTCTCTTGCTGTTACATTTGTCCTGTTACCAAATTCTGGCCAGTGGAATGGGGTGCTCTGTGTCCTCCATTTCCAGCCATGTCCTCTAGAATGCCACAAGTAGTCCTCAAGTCTCTTTCTCTTCCCTGCATGGCTGGAAGTGAAGGAATCACAAGACAGAAGCAGCCCAGATTCCTGAGTCACCAACTGGAGAAGAGCTGACCAAATGAGTCATCTGACCCTCCTTCAATTGAGAAAGGAGGGAGATGTACGCTTTTATTGAGTTCATCTCTGACATTTTGAGTTATTTGTTACTGCAGCAGAATCCAGTTTACCCTGACCTAAAACACCATCCCAGTTGTCATTAACTCCTACTCTTTGGGCAAGCCATGATGTCTCTGAATCTCCGTTTCCTTATTGGTAAAATAAAAGGATTCCACAGGTGATATCTGAAATCGTTGCAATGTTAAAATTCAGTTATTCCGCTGGTATATTTTCCTCCCTCCTGCATAGCACCATATGTAGACACCACAAATGTTTGCTAAATAAGAGAACCTCCTATATTTGAAATCCTTTTCTCCAGATAAAAGCATTTTAGTACCTTAGAAGTTCAGAGTGATTATTCAGAATATTTAAACATCTAACATGTACAATATTGATCAAAATAACAATGGGAACATTTCATCAAGAGGCTGGGGAACCTTCAAAGATCCATCCCTCAGCCTCGTAGATGCCTCCTAAGCATCTTGCTCTGTCTGCTCTTAGAAATGTGGCCTCAGCACTTCCAATTATTTGTGGGTCCCAGCCTCAGACTGTCTTAACTGATCCACTCAGCTGACTCAGTTAACTGCCTTTCCCAATAGGCATACTCTCATTTTTCAAAGGAACCTAGTGATGCCTTTTTTCTGTGGGTTGTCATTAAAGGCCACTGTCTGCATATCAGTAGCCAAGAAGCAAACATCGTATCTTTGATGAGATATATGAGGGTGACTGGTTGGGTAGCAAAGGTAGCCCAGAGTCCTGATCACTCAACTGGGCTTTGGATCCCCTGGGGTCTATTCCTAGCTCTGCCATAGGTTCACTGTGTGTGAAAGAGGCACAAGGCAAGCTCTTCTTCTTGGGCTGGGGTCCCTCTTCCTGTTATAAATGAAGGCCACTGCAGCTGCTGTCATCCCAGTAACCATAGTAACAATGGATCATGTGACAGGTGTCTGATTCCCCATCAGACATTTTCTGATATTAAGTGTTCTTCATCCTTCCCCTTTAACCCCACCCCAGATCCTGTTATGAGTAGTGGCATTGATGGTCTCCCAGGGCAGCCGTTTGAGCATGGGAGACCTGGAGCTGACAGCATTAATTAAACCTCTATTTCCACAAAACATTTTGCATTGCCAGGCCCGGAGCCAAGAAAACCTCCCAGGGCAGCTCTTATGTGAGAGATTGCTAAGGCTGTCACCAGGGACTGCAGTGCTTCAGCTCTACAGTTTGCAGCAAATGGGGATCAGTAGGAAAATGTGCCTGGCATACAGCAGGCACACAATAAATACTTGTGGAAAAGTCAGTTTACTAAAATGGAGCTCATATCACAAATGGGATTCCTTCAAAACACTGGAAATTCTGCATAAGATGATCATATGAATTATTCCACGGTTACTGAGTGCCTGCTATATGCACCCATGGGTGATAACATGGAGACTCTAAAGATGTTAGCTTGTTGAAGGAATCCCAAGTCCATGGGGTGGCTGAGGCTCAGGGGCACATTGGGAAGTGTGTAGAGAGGAGTCTGGAAGGCTTAGCAGGGACCACATCACAAAGGGATTTGGATAAAGGTTGAGTCTCTTGGGTTTATTCTTGGAGAACCTTTGAGAGCTGTGAGTGACATGATCAGCTTTGTATTTTGGACACCTCCTTTTGATGTCACTGAAGGAAAGAACTAGAGGGAGACTATTGTTTTGATCAAATAGTGTTCTAGAATTTCTGAACCCAGGCCTTAAGACAACTGGCAGCTTCTGCTTCATTCCTCTTAGAATCCAGCCAGCATGCTGTGAGCAGCTCCAGCACCATGGAGAGGTGACATAGAGGACAACCAAAATGCACCAGCTGACAGCCCCATTGTGATCCCAGTGGCAGCCAGCACCTACTGCTCACCACGTGAGTTCACCATTGCACCATCTGCAATGGTGTCTGGAGAGCTGATGTCCCAGTCCAGCTGAACCCCTAGATGACTGCAGTCCCAGAAGACAACATGTTGAGCAGGAAAACCACCCAACTGAGCCCAGCCAACCCATGAAATCATGACAAGTAACACAATAACTGGTCTAAGCCAGTAAGTCATCGGTGGGTTTTTATGCAAGTGTAGATAGCTGAAAAACTGGAGGACGGGTGGGTTCCCAGGTGGTGGTCACAGCTACAGCTCAGAGGAAAAGGTCTGGCTGGAGAGGCTATAGATTTAGGAGACATTGGCTCATAGAAATGTGAAAGCTCTGTTGTGGATGAAATCACCTACATCCCTTTTCACACATGCCCAGCACACCTAGAGCACAGCCAACCCACAGCAAATATCTGCTGAATTAAATTCAACACTCCATATAATGAAGAACACTAAAAAGCCACTGTTTTCTTGAGCTAAGACAGTCCTCATGCCCGGAATTCTAATTTCCCCTTGTTCTAAGCATAGTTTTATGCTCACCCTCTCTGAATCAAGTGTGTACTCCTAGCTGCTGCATTTTATCTTCTTTATCCTCCTAAGACAAGTCCGTTTGAGTGTGGACTTGGAATCTGCAAACATAAGCTTGGGTTCAGGGTGATGATTTTTCTACCTGTGCACCTCTCTTCTGAGCCTCGGCTTCCTCAACTATATATAAAGGTGCGAATACCTGCTGATTAGGTAATAAAGGTGAACTCTTGGGCAACCCTTAAGGGGATGCAGCTGTATTGTCCATCTTCAGCAGGACACAGGTACAGCCTCAACCCAAACATCCCATCTGTTCCCTCTACCTGTGGCCTGTTCCTCTTCCCTGTAAGAACCATCTCCCAGGTTGGGGAGCTGGGAAATCTCCAGCTTTGTGTTTGAAAAAGCTCCCGGAAGACCCAATTTTACAGCCAGCTTGGCCAGCTGCTGGGGTAGAAGGGTGAGCAAGGAGCTAGTAGTCTGGGAAAGTGACTCCTAGAGTCGCAGATCTGGTTGGAGCCCAGGTTTGTCCTCTAACACAGTGTGACCTCCGCAAGCTCCAGCACTTCTTGGGCCCAGTTGTCCCCTGTTGTACACAAAGCATTAAGAATGGCCTGAAACAACCCCAAGGCTCCTTCCACCTGGAAGGCTCCGGCTCCTGTTGGGGTGGGGGTCCGGTCACGTGTTGGCGGGGAGGGGGTTGCCGGTTGACGTGGCTGCGGGTCCAGCCTCCTCTGACGTCCTCGCAGCCGTCCTCCCTCCCTCCGTCCCCGCCCCTCTGGCGGCGGGAGAGCTGCTGGCTCGCCCGGATCCCGGGAGCTGCCTGGAGGCGGGCCCGGCCCGGGGAAGGTGAGCGGCTGCGGGACCCAGCCCCTCGCCGGGAGCGGGCACCATGGTGCTGTCGGTGCCTGTGATCGCGCTGGGCGCCACGCTGGGCACAGCCACCAGCATCCTCGCGTTGTGCGGGGTCACCTGCCTGTGTCGGCACATGCACCCCAAGAAGGGGCTGCTGCCGCGGGACCAGGACCCCGACCTGGAGAAGGCGAAGCCCAGCTTGCTCGGGTCTGCACAACAGGTGAGCGGGGGCGGCGCGCAGGCCCTTCCCGGGCAAGGCGGGGTTGCCGGGCAGCTGCAGAGGGGGAACTGGGGTGGGAGGCGGTCGTGGATCTTTGCGCGACAAAGCTTGGCGGGGAGGGGACAGCAGACGCGTTGGAGGACAGGTCAAGGAGTCAAAAAGGTAGGGGGATGGGGGAGGCTAGGGGATGGGGGAGACGAGACCTGAAGGAGAATTAGGGAGCGGCGAGCTTGTGGGGACTGAGAGAAGAATGGGGGCCAGCAGCGAGACCTAAAGGGAGGGGACAGGAAAGGGGACCTGGATAAGAATTAGGGCTGGGAAGGGTAAGAGGAGAGGGAGGCTGGGAGGGGAATCGCCAGGGTTAGGGAAGACCCTGAGAGGTACCAGAGAATGAGGAGTTTGCAGAATTGGGAAGAAGACTGGGGTCTGTGAGAGGGAGATGGGTGGTGGTTGTGGAGCCAGGGTAGGGCAAGTCCTGCCAGAGCTGAGAAGAGGTAATGCCTGCAAAGCCAGAGGGGAGGTGGCCGCGGTCCCGCAGGAGCTGGGAAGCTAGCTAGCGGGGTCTAGAGAGCTGAATCCGGGAGGAACCTGAAGGACTCTTCCCCACCCCCTAGCAGCTCTGAGCTCCAGCCAGTCAGAGGGGGTTGGTATGGCCTCCCCCAAGATGTCTCTGCAGACGTCCCTGGAGACAGGAGGGCTTTTATCCCATGCATT
This sequence comes from Homo sapiens, assembly GCF_000001405.40. NCBI lineage: Eukaryota > Metazoa > Chordata > Mammalia > Primates > Hominidae > Homo > Homo sapiens. Next base: position 45,285,310 of record NC_000011.10, on the reverse strand, counting down.
TGCTCATGGCCAGAGCCCCTTCGTGCAGGAAATAGCCCGTGCTCCCATTGTAAAGAGCAGCAGAAGGGGTCTGGGGAAGCAGTTTGGAAGGATTTCCCTGCATAGGCTGTGACCTCCAGGATGCATTTCCAAAGTACAGAATGCAGAATGTTCTCTGGAGAACCAGGAGGCAAAGAGTCCTGCTAGAGTGATTTGAGGAAGGATGGCCCTGGGGCAGGGGCATGACTTAAAGGACCTCCTAAAGGCCCTCTAGATCCCTTATAGACTGTATGGTTCCAGGAGTGGCACTAAAATGCTGTGACTCCATCTTCCTTTTTCCAATCAATAATTCAAAAGCTCAGAGGACCCAGTTGTGTGGGGCCTGTGTCAGTCACTGTACAGTGAGAGTGGAAAGGAAATGGCTGCTGTCCTTGAGGCACTTATAATCCAAGAACAGTGACATTGACAGTGGCTAAATAGGAGCCGGCTGCACAGCAGAATGTGGGACTTGGGACGATCTGGAAAAGGGGAATAGTGGGCTTTCCACTGGCCAGGTGTTGGGAGTCCTTCTCCACAAGTCGTGGTCGGCCGCCTCTCAACCTTCTTTCCTGCCCAACACACTTGAGGAACAGCCACTCTTCTGCCTTTCAGTGATGTCTCTCCAGGCACCGCCCCCTCCCCTTCCTAGAGAGAACCACTGGGAAACTAGTTGGTGTAAATGACCTCTAGGGTCTCTTCCAACTCTTTGTCTTATTGATGACCAGTAGCCCACAGAACGGCTGATCATCTGTTAAAGAAAAACCAGGTTGTGTCTCTCCCCTGCTTCAAATCCTCCACAACTTCTCACTGAGCTTGGAAGAGGTCATAGCAAACCATGACATAGCATACACTGTGTGCCAGGCGCACTGTTCAGAGTACACTAATTAATGTGTTTCTTGACCCAGTGAGGGAGCCATAGAATGATCCTAACTTAAAGATGAGGAAACTGAGGCTTAGAGAAGGTAACTGACTTGCCTAGAGCTGCACAGCTAGAGAAGTTTTAGAGCCAGACTCTAGCTGAGCTTGTCTGATTCTGGTGGCCACACTATTAGCCACTCCTCTCCACCCACTCACCTGCTTTAACATGGAAGGTGCCTGCCTCTCCAGCCAAGCTCATGCCAGTTTCTTTCTTCATCAGCAGTCTTGGCTTCCCTGGATTTACGATCATTCTTTTAAAACACCAAGCCCTTTTCTGCCCCTTCATTTTTCTCTGGCCTTTCATACAAATGGCTCCTTCTCATCCTTCAGGTCTTTTTCCATTTAAAGTCTCAGGGAGGATTTTGCCTACTGACACATAAAACAAAACACCCTCTTCCTGTTATTCTCTCCCATATTGTTTCTAACAAATCCTTTTATGGCACTCTTTACATTAGGATGCAATCTTTCATATTCACTTACTGGTGTATAATATTTATTCCCAGCACCCTCTCAGTGCCTGGAAAGTAGTAGGTGTCCAATAAGAAATTGTAGATGAATAAAGTCATCTCAGGGGTCATCCAATGGGGATTATCATCTTCAAATACTGGTGCATGCACCATGTCTTTGTAACCATGTGCAAGCTCAATAGGGGCACAATAAATATTTGTTGATACATGATACCTGCCCATCCACATTCCCTTACCTGGTTCCCTCAGTGACAAAGATGTGGGCAACTTGGGGCTGAATCTATGGGTGTGAATGTGTTGAAGCTGAGATCTCACAATGACTTGGTTGCTGTTGTTCTCAGATTCATTCAGCCACTGGCCCAGATGAAGTAAATAGAGAAAAGACAACCAATTGACATTTCAAAGCAAGTAAAGAGGGTGGCAACCATTAGCGGTGACAGATGACAGGAGGGTGATGTACATGGCACCTATTGACAAGTAGGACAAGAGCCAGGGAAGCTCTCTGAGGATGTTCCTTGAGGAAAGAAGGTATGGAGGCTGGAAAATAGGGGTCTAGATGACTGTAATCACAACAGAGGTGTCCAAGGCCTAATAGCCAGTGTCTCTGTAACTCACTAGTTTTGGCTGCTGAAAAAATTCTTTGGGTTTGGAGGCTATTCCTAGAAATCTGATTTCTGACCCTGAATGGCTGGATGAAGTTGAAGTTTGTAGTGATTTTGAAAAGAAATTTGGAGTTTTCCCAGGAGTTTTGTTTATTTTTTACATAAGGTCTGACTCCATCACACAGGCTGGAGTGCAGTGGTGTGATCACGGCTCACTGAAGTCTTGACTTCCTGGGCTCAGGTGATCCTCCCACCTCAGCCTCCCATGTAGCTGGGAATACAGGCACGTGCCACCACGCCTGACTAATTTTTTTTATGTTTTGTAGAGACAAGGCTCACCATGTTGCCTAGGCTGGTCTCAAACTCCTGGGTTCAAGCAATTTGCCTGCCTCAGCCTCTCAAACTGTTAGGGTTACAGGCATGAACCACTGTGCTTTGCCCCCAGGGGTTCTTAATCTGGGTCCACAAACCTCCCACCAAAGGGTCTGTAGATAGCATTAAAAGGTTTGTGGTCTTGGATAGGAAAAAAATGACATCATTATTTTCACTTACCTCTAACTGAAGCAGTATTTTCTGTAATTAGGAATAGCAACAAAAACCATAGCGTATCATCCATACCTGTGACTTTGTCCCCAAGGGAAATCACAGATAGCTTGGTAGCACATTACAGCTGTTGCAGATGGTTCACATTAGATTTACACTCATCTCTCATTCTAAATTATGGTACTTATTAAATCTCCTGCTAGACTCTGTTATTTAATGAATTAATAAAGAAGCAAACATATAGCTACTTCACAATTTGGTTTTATTAGACAGTGCTTTGCAGCCCTTTGTCTTTTATTTTCTGCTTTTTCCAACAATTCAGAGGAAGTGTCCCTAGGCAGCCCTCGGCCATTCATTACCTCTCATGCTTCCAGCTGTTTTCAAGTCACAGTTCTTTGCTTTTCTGAAATATACACTCTGGACCCTTTATCCTGCCTTCTTAGACAGTGCCTCACTCTTAATGTGCAGCCCTTCCAGGTATGCAAGGAATTCAGTTTTACTACGCCGCCCACTCCTGGCCTGGCAGGTCACCTGGGACCTCTCTGTCATCAGCCTACCTCTAGAAGCTTGATTATTAGGCAGTGACCTGGCAGCTTGAGCAAGGAGAAAGAGCCAGGGAGGCAAAGCGAGAATGATGGTTTCTCCTTCACCATTACTTCTGAATCTATTAGTGAGCGGCGGCCAGACCCATGGGTTCCTGCCTCTGAATTTCCTCATCACCCTTGTCTGCACAGGCTGCCACTCAGCCCACTTCTGGGACCTTTCATAGAAAGTCCTCCTTTCGCCCAACCTAAAGAATTGGGAGTAAGAAAGGAGAACTGCTCTTTTCCCCTTGCCCCACGGCTCAGTCCTGTACCCCTACCATTTGGCAGGCACCCGCCTCCTGTTTTCAGAAAGCCTTCTTTTTCATGGCCTAGTTTTCTCCCAACACAGTGTTTACCTTGCTGTGCACTTAAGTGAGTCTTTTCAAATGCCAGAGAGGTCCCCTGGGTGACCCCAGTGCTGTACCTTTGAAGCTAACACATGGCCAAAGGCTTTATTGAAATTGCTTGGCCCTCAGCAGGAGTTCCCACACCAATTTTTTTTTTTTTTTTTTGAGGCAGAGTCTCACTCTGTCGCCCAGGATGGAGTACAGTGGCATGATCTCGGCTCACTGCAACCTCCACCTCCTGGGCTCAAGTGATTCTCCTGCCTCAGCCTCCTGAGTAGCTGAGATTATAGGTGTGCACCACAACGCCTAGCAATTTTTTTGTATTTTTGGTAGAGGTGAGGCTTTGCCATGTTGGCTAGGCTGGTCTCAAATTCCTGAGCTCATGTCATCTTCCCACCTCGGCCTCCCAAAGTGCTGGGGTTACAGGTGTGAGCCACTGCGTCTGGCCCCCAGGCCCCTTCTGTCCATATCCCCAGCCACCCACTGTCACATGTGATCAAACTCTACAATCCCATCCTCTTTCCAGCAGAGTCGGGATCACTGAAGTGGCTTTCAGTGGAACTCTAGTAGATTAGTTCTAAGGTTTTACAAAATAATATAAATAAGTGCTGAATTTCTTTCTTTCTTTTTTTTTTTGAGACAGAGTCTTGCTCTGTCATCCAGAATGGAGTGCAATGGTGCAATCTCAGCTGACTGCAACCTCTGCCTCCTGGGTTCAAGCAATTCTCTTGCCTCAGCCTTCCAAGTAGCTGGGATTACAGGCACCTACCACCATGCCCGGCTAATCTTTTGTATTTTTAGTAGAGATGGGGTTTCACCATGTTGGCCAGGCTGGTCTCAAACTCCTGACCTCAGGTGATCCGCCCATCTCGGTCTCTCAAAATGCTAGGATTACAGGCGTGAGCCAGCCCTCATGGCCTGAATTTCTATCAAACAATATATGTGTAGTGGAGCCTTCTCCTTAAGATCAGAGAATTTTTCCTTCATTTTCCTTGTATTCTTGACAATGTCTGGTATGGTGCTGAGCACATGGCAGTGTTTTGAATTAAATCATTATCTTGTAACCTAACACTGAATAAGAGAGGGAAGACACAAAGGAGTGCATACTGTTAGGGCTCCACTGACACAGGATTTGAAGCCAGCACAGTTTATTTATGGTGTTACCCTGGGGGACAGGAAATGACTGCAGCGGGTAGGAGAGCTTCTGGGCTTTGTTCATGCTCTGCCTCTTGACGTGGGTGCTGGTTACAGAGGTGTGTTTACTTTGTGAAGATGCATCCAGCTCTACATTTATGATTTATGTACTTTTCTGTCTGCAGTTATACGTCAGTAAGGTTTTTATTAAAAAGTGTCATATTGTGACATGTTTGTGAACATTAATTGAGTACCAGGCCAGTATTTTTTTATTGCCAGGAGGACTTTGGGGCCATATTCAAGAGACATGAGCCTCCTTTTTGTGTTTTTTTTAATAAATTGCTTCTTCGGCCCTGTTTGCTTTCTGCTGTTTCTCCCATGGCCACCTCCTGTGTGCTGCATAAAGGATTCCCCCTGGGGATTGGGACGTTAAGACCATCAGTGTGGTCCTATTAGGCCTCCTACCTCTTCTCCTCTTCCTTAGTCCTCTAGAGCAACGCCTTCTCTGATTGTTTCTTTTAATTCACACATGTAAGAGTGAGGATGGACAGATGCTGCATTTCATTAGTTAAATAGTTCATTCATCAAAGATTAATGAGCACATGCTAGGCCTTGGGATATGGCAATGGAAAGACAGACATATGCTTTTCTTGATAAATGGGGAGACAGACAATAAAACAAGCAATTGCCATGATCAGGGAAGCACAGGGTGCCATGGGAAACCCAGGGTGGGGGATATTACTTCCGTCTTCAGCCTAAAGTAGAATTTTCTCCAGTGCAGGTTGTTTTTTCTCCTGAAGTCTCCCCTGTACCTTAATGATGATAGGACGCCCCATGAATTGCTAACCCCACTCCTGGAACTGATTCAACTCTGGAAGGCTGTAAGGTCTGACCTCCATGGATTCTCAGACTTTTACAGGACTCATTTTCTAGCTTACTATTAGCTCATCTCTTGCCTGGTGAACTCACCCATTCATATAAACCACCACCACCACAATGAAGTATTTCCATACAGTAATAAATAATAGTGATAGAATAGCTAACATTTATCAAGTTCTTTATATGTGCCAATCACTGTTCTAAGCATTTTAACCATATTAAAATGTTTTTTGAGACACAGTCTCACTTTGCCACCCAGGCTGGAGTGCAGTGGCGTGGTCATGGCTCACTGCTGCCTCGATCTTCTGAGCTCAAGTGATCCTCCCACCTCAGCCTCCCAAGTAGCTGGGAATACAGTCATGTGCCACCGTACCTGGCTAATTTCTTTTAAATTTATTTTTTGTAGAGAGGGTCTCACTATGTTGCCCAGGCTGGTCTTGCACTCTTGGGCTCAGGCCATCCTCCTGACTTGTCCTCCTAAAGTGCTAGAATTACAGGTGTGATCCACTGCACATGGCCATAACCATATTAATTTTAATTATCACAATAGCCCTATGAAATATGCATAATTATTATTTTTCATTTTGCAGAAGAAAAGTAAAACACAGAAAGCTTAAGTAACATATTCAGTGGGAGAGCTGGGAATCAAATTTACAAAATTTGGCTTCAGAGCCCACACTTTTGACGACTAGGTTGAAGATTAGCAGAAAAAAGTAGTCAAAATTTTATTTGAGCCATTGTGTTTCCCCAGATATGGCATAAAAGTGTCTATAAATACACATCTTTGTAGGTCAACTTCAGAAACCTTTCCCAATGCTTTCGATTGCTTTGCTGCCGCCATCACACTTCAGGCATTGGGTGCAGCCCAGGGCCCTCCACAGAAATTTTACACAGTAAACATGTTTGGGCTGGTTGCTTAGCAACGTGGAAGACAGTATGAATTTTTCATCAAGAAATTAGCATAGATTCTTTCAGGGAGATGAGCACATACCCGCTGGAAATACTCTTCAAAGCACTCACATGTGGACCCCTAAGCCTGTGTCCCTCAGTCTTTTTTCCAGTGACAGGTCTGACCTGTCCCATCTCCCTTCCTCCCCTAGTTCCTTCTTTGGGTACAGTTTGTAGATAATTCAGATACATGGCTCTTCTCTTCATGGAATTGATGATTCACTAGCACCTTTTGTTAATTCTAGCAGAAAACAGTGCTGCATCCTTTCCAGATTTTCAGATACTAGTCAAGTTGTGAGGAGGTACCTGGGGCACAGGAGGAGGGATAGAGAGGCCATTGGATCATGACGAAGGAAACACCTGAAAGACAAACCAGAGGGGGCCCAAGCAAAGGCAGAAGGAAGAGAAGAGACCAGCAGGAGAGGGAAGCATCAGACCCAGAAGACAAAGAGGAGAAAAAATAAGACACAACCATTCCAGGATCAAAGACCTACGAGAGCAATCCGAATATGTGGAGACAGTCCCTTTGTTGTCCACACTGACCTACAATCTCCCAATAACCAGCAGCAGTTCACCTCCCGCTTCCACCTTCTTCTTACTGTATTCAGTACTCCCAGGGCTTATTTCTTGCTAAGAAACAAAGGGAAAATCTGCTCTGAGGATGGAGGAGAATAGCTTCATAGAAGCAAGTTTTAAGAACTAAGAGATTCTATACGTATGTATCAGAATCAACACACGTGCACACAAAGGGTCCCCTATAACTAATTTGATAAGAAATAATGGAACTAATAGAGTTATAAAGGAAAACAGGTGAAAAAGGTGGGTTCCTCCCTCTTTCTTCCTTGGTTGTGTTTATTGAATAACTGTGTGCCAGGTACTGTGCTAGGAAGTGAGGATACAGTGGTAACTACCCTCTTCCCAATGACACAGTGACCCATCTTCAGCTCTCACAAAGCTTATGGTATAATGGGGCAAACCAGAGTTTATAGAAGAAGAGGGCAAATAAATGAAAATGTGTGCTGGTGGTAGGTAACCTGAACAGAAGGTTCTGTTGCTTTGTAAGTGTAAGATGAAGAGCTTTTACAAGAGTACCTTACAAGATGAAAGCTTTCCTAAAGAGTGATGGCCAAACTGCGAGCTAGAGTTGGAGAAGATCTTAACCAGGGCAAAAGGGAAGGATGTTGGGGGCTCCACACAGAGAAATGAGCCTGTGCAAAGGTCCTGTGGCAGGAGGAAGCCTAACATTTACGAGGGCCTGGGGAAAAGCCAGTGTGGCTGAAGAGTAGAGAGAAAGGGAGATCCTGGTGAACAATGAGGCTGGGGAAATAGGAAGGGGCCTGGATGAGCAGGGCATTGTAGACCATAGACAGATTTATTTATTCATGCATTCATAAATCAAACATTTATTAATGTCTCCAGGAGGGGCATTGAGCTACGTACTGATAAGGTGAAGGTTACCATTATTTTCAAAGCTTTTTTTATTCAGGTGAAATTCACATGACATTAATCACTTTAAAGTGTAGGATCAATGCCATTTAGTATATTCACATTGTTGTGCAGCCACTACCTCCACCTAGTTCTAAAACATTTTCCTCACCTCAGAAGAAAACCCCTCATCCATTAAACAGTCACTATTCCGCCCTCCTCCAATCTGTTTTTTGTCTTTATGGATTTGCCTATTCTGGACACTGCATATAAATAAAATCATATGATATGTGGTCTTTTGTGACTGGCTTCTTTCACTTAGCATCATGTTTTCAAGGTTCATCCACATCATAGAATGTATCAGTACTTTATTTTTTATGGCTGAAAAATATTCTGTTGTATGGGTACATGGCATTTTGTTTATCCATTCACCCATTGATGGACATTTGGATTGGTTCTACCTTTTGGCCATTGTGAATAGTACTGCTAAGTACATTCCTGTAGAAATATTTGAGTAACTGTTTTCAATTCTTTCAAGTATATACCTAGGAGTGAGATTGCTGGGTCATATGGTAATTCTATATTTAACATTTTGAGGAATCGCTAAACTGCTTTCCACAACAACTGCACCATTTTAATCTCCACCAGCAATGTATGACAGTTCCCATTTCTCCACCTCCTTGCTAGCAGTTGGTATTTTAATTTTTATTTATTTTATTTATTTTTTTTTTTTAAAAAGTCATCCTACTGGGTGCAAAGTAGTATCTCTTTGCGGTATTTTCTGAGCTTTTAATATCTAAAAAAAAACCCCAAATTCTCACTTTTAAAATATTCATCAGTAGCTGGCAAGTTTTTTTAAAAAAATTTTTATTATAAGTTCTGGGATACATGTGCAGAACGTGCAGGTTTGTTACATAGATATACATGTGCCATGATGGTTTGCTGCACTCATCAACCTGTCATCTACCTTGGGTATTTCTCCTAATGCTATCCCTCCCCTAGTCCCCCACCCACTGACAGGTCCCGGTGTGTAATGTTCCTCTCTCTGTGTCCATGTGTTCTCATTGTTCAACTCTCACTTATGAGTGAGAACATGTGGTGTTTGGTTTTCAGTTCCTGTGTTAGTTTGCTGAGAATGATAGTTTCCAGCTTCATCCATATCCCTGCAAAGGACATGAACTCATCCTTTTTTATGGCTACATAGTATTCCATGGTGTATATGTGCCACATATTCTTTATTCAGTCTATCATTGCTGAGCATTGGGTTGGTTCCAAGTCTTTGCTACTGTGAACAGTGCTGCAATAAACATACATGTACACGTGTCTTTATAGAAGAATGATTTACAATCCTTTGGGTATATATCCAAAAACCACAGTAGCTGGCGAGTTTTCAACAAACATTTGCTGTCTGTATTGAGCAACTATTAAAATGAGTCCACATGGGCAACCCGTAAAAACATTTCATTGTTCATGAGTCTCGTGAGAGGAATGGAGTGTGTGTGCAGTAGTCCTGGCTGCCCTGTTCTTCCAGCAAGTTTGCACCTGCTGCTCTGTCTGTCAAATATGTTATTATTGTCATCTTTCCCATTCTGTTCCCCCAAGCTTTAGCCCCTCATGGGTCCCACTAAAATTCCCCCCAATACCCAGGCCCTGCAAACCCCATCTAATTGAGGCAGTATTTAGGGTCTTTCAATATTTCCTTACCAGGCCAGTGTGATGCCTGGAGGAGCCTTGCCCCTCTCCAGGGCCAGTTGCTGCCCACACAATGAACCTTCAGGAGGAGTTCAATAAGTCCCAATTCATTAGATAAAGGGTGCTGTAATTGCCTTATGTTATAGAAAAGTCCTGGGAGATTTTTACACACTGCTTAAGAATGTTACAATGATATTTGGGGAAGTTGATTGTGGTTTTGGGGTAGACTTGGAATGCATTATAATTTTTCCCTTAAAATAATGGAGTACCAGTGCCTGCTTTCTGAAATCTGCTAATCACCATGTTTTTAGGAACAGATCAGAGTCAAATAATGAGGGGGAGTTGCATATATGAATATGAATGAAAACAAGCGTAAAGGAGAGAGGGGTCCTGTGAGAATTCTGCGAAATTGAGTCAGTCCATCTGGCATAGACCCTAGAATATTTTGACATATTTCATTGATTCCTCTCCCTATCCCCACCTCCACTCATTAAGTCCAAGACATGCTTTTTCTGTCACAGAAAGTTGAGCAGGACTTAGCACATGGCAAAGAGAAGTGAGGAGACATGTTGAATGACTGAATACATTGATGAATGGATGGGTAGACAAATGAGGAGGTAGGGATCTGTGGGGCTGCCACCTCTGCTTGTAGCCAAAATGAAAACCACAGGCACAGAGAAGCAGGGGAGGGTGCTGAGTCCACCGAAGGATCTCTATGCTTGCCTTTAGTGATATATCAAGAAATCAAGACCAGCAGGAAGCATGTGGCAACTTCACTTTTTACAGGTTTCTCTCCTTTCAGGTCTCTGTTCATCTGGCTAACGTTAGAGAGAGTTTTTTAAATCTTCACCTGCAAGGCCAATGAGGTAATACCCAGGGAGATGTTTTATTTGGAAGAGCATTATAAACCACACAGGTTGGACTCTCTGGTAAGAACAGCACGATGTAAAGGCTGTAGGTTTATTGAGGCAGGATTGCAAAGACTTTGCTTTTCAAATAGAATTAAGAAGGATGTTTTGGAAAAGATGGTGTTTGAAGATGCAGATAAGGTTGGGTAAAAGCGGTTTGGTAAGGCAACTGGAAGAGTTGATTGAAACAGCTGCAAGTGTAGAATATCTTCTGTTAGCTTTAAGCTTATTCTGCATTTCTGAATGCCCCCTGCACCCTGCTTCTCAGAGCATATCGCGGAGCATCTTAAAATACACTTTGATTTCCAGCACAGTCACTTCACATAGAGGAAAGGGGAAGCTATCAGAGAGGAATACAGTGAAGGCAGTGATGTGACATGAGGAGAAAATATTCACATGATTTGGAGGGTTTCTTTGCACATTCTTTGCAATGCATCATCTAATGATCTCGTCTCTTACTTACTAACAAATGGAGCAGATTCTTTAAGTGGCAACATGACTATCACCCTTTGCAAAACAGCCTCCATACAAAACACATAGAGACAAAGAACAGAAAGGAATGAACGTGAGGTTAGGTGCCTAGCCTAATCCCACCACATTGTAGCCTTGCATTTGATTTTTGGGTACCCATTGGAGTTAATTTTAGGTAACAATCTTTGAGACTACTCGAAAGAAAAAATTAACTCAGAATGAAAATGTTCACTTTTATAATCAAGATGCTGAGCTAAAATGGGAATCAAATGAGACTCAAAAACCTGAATTTGAATTCAGACTCCACCATCTCCTAGCCAAATCACCACAGCCATTCTGAATCCCACTTTGCTCATTCATGAAACAGGGATTCTACAAGGTTCTCTAAGGTTATATGGAAGAATGAATGAGATGACACGTATGAAAGCACCCAACGGATTCAGCACTTGCCTTTGATCAAAGGATATTTTTAAGAATCTGTTAATTATTTTCTTATTTATCCTTTACCAAAGCAATGACTTGTCTATTCACCATGCGGGAAAGAAAAAATTCATTAACAGTATTCCAGACGTGATAAATGAAACGTGTCTGTTAGAATGAAAAGGGGAACATGAACATTCCACTTCTAGGATGATTATTCATTCAATAAATATGTCTTGCATACCTGCTATGTGCAAGGCACTGAGTTAGTCCTCGGGACAGTGCAGTGACAAGGCAGAACCCATCCCTGACCTCATGTCGTTAATATTCTAGAGGGAGAGATGTTCATCACACAGTTATACACAGAATGTAGTAAGTGCTAGAAGTCATCTCCTTGTGCCTCCAGAACCCCCTAAATGCTCCCCCGTCAACCCCAAACCTACTTCTTCCCCACCCCCTGCTCCAAGCCTATCCCCATTTTCTCCCCCTCCACACCCTGGCCCCAGAAGGCCCCCACCTATCAGCTGCATTGACCAACTCCTCTGCCTTTTGGCATCAGGTGGAGTTGGCCCAAAGGAGATCTGAGGACAAGAGGAGTGTGAGGGGCCTTCATCACCCCTGCTCCCTCCCTGCTAGGTGCCTGGGGGCTGGCTACATCCTCAGCTGAAAGGCTCAGATCCTGTCAGGCCACTGTCTCCCTTCGGCACCCTGTCCTGTTTCCAGTGACCTCTCCTGCTTCTTGCCCCTTCAGGCCTAGGGATGGTAAGAGTGCCCAGCTCTCCCAGTCCCTACATACTCGCCATTCCTTGTTGCTTTCCTTAACCCTCCATACATTTGTAAATACCTGCTTTATGAAACTCTCCTCAATTACCCAGTTATAATGTGCCATCTCTTCCTGCAAAAACCCTTATTGATAGCATACTCAAACCATGTTAGCTATTATTACCAACCCTAATGATTAATAATAATAAAGGAAGAGTCTGTGAGTCAGAGGAAGTGTGCCAATGAAATTGGCAAAACTCAGGACCAACAGTGATAACACCCTCTATTTGCACAAGGTTCTATTGTTCAGAAGCCACTTTCGTTTTCCCATTTGATTCAGCATCTAGCCTGATGCTTTGTGCGTCTTGAAGCCTTTAATATCTGCTTGCCAAACAGACACACCTGCAGGTAGGAAGCTCTGGGGCTGTTATTCTCATTTCAAAAAGCCTGGAGTGAGCTGAGGAAAAATAGTTCTCATTTATAGTAATTTGGAGCCAGGTACTCTGATATCACTGACCTTCCATGATCAAATCATATTTTGGGACATTTTGTAGACTGTTTGATTGTCAGCCCATGTAACACAGAAGGAAATCTATTAGGTTTGCATCTCATTTAAAAGAAGGAACAGCTAGATCTATGGATGATACTGACTGGCTTTGAATCTGCCAAAATGTCAGCTGGTGGAAGAATGTTAGAAGCAGCACCTTAATGGCCATCCCTTGAAATCTGCTTCCTGACTAGTCATGAAATTCACACAGAAGAATCACTTTGTCGCCCAAACATGGCAGAGACTGCAGACATCCAGTGACACACAGGGGTTCTGCTTTTTTCTTTCTTTCTTTCTTTCTTGTTATACTTTAATTTCTGGGATACATGCGCAGGACATGCAGGTTTGTTACATAGGTATACACATGCCACAGTGGTTTGCTGCACCCATCAACTCATCACCTATATTAGATATTTCTCCTAATGCTATCCCTCCCCAACCACCCCACCCCTGACAGACCCTGGTGTGTGATGTTCCCCTCCCTGTGTCCATGTGTTCTCATTGTTCAACTTCCACTTATGGGTGAGAACATGCAGTGCTTGGTTTTCTGTTCTTGTGTTAGTTTGCTGAGAATGATGGTTCCCAGCTTCATCCACGTCCCTGCAAAGGACATGATCTCATTCCTTTTTTATGGCTGCATAGTATTCCATGCTGTATATGTGCCACATATTCTTTATTCAGTCTACCATTCATGGGCACTTGGGTTGATTCCAAGTCTTTGCTATTGTGAACAGTGCTGCAATAAACATACATGTGCAGGTGTCTTTTTTGGAAAGGGAAGCCTGAGAAGTTATAGTTGAAGTGTATTTTTCTTGAGGCAGCTCTCACTCTTGGATTCCTCCCTTTCCCCAGCACATGGTTCCCCCAACCTGGGTTACCCTCACTGTGTCTCTGTGTCTCCAGGTTGGTTTTCTCACCTAGTTTCCTCCACATCCGTCCATCCCTCCTGTATGAACCTGCTGGTTTCATTTACTGAAAACACTGTTTTGCTCATGTCATTCTCCTACTCACAAACTGTCAACGTTTCTCCATTGTTTATAAGATAGAATTCAAGATTTTTTTGCTTGGCATTCAAGGCCCTTTATGACCTAGCCTCACCATTCCTTTCCAACTCCATTTCTCCAACCCCAGCCTTCCTCTCCAGCTGACTCACCATGTCCTAAGCATGCTCCCCTCTGGATGCACACTGCTGCTGTCCTCCCAATTTGAGATGCCTCTCTCTCTCTCTCATTGTTAATCATCCTTGAATGCTGCATTGAAGCCCCTCGTCCAGGAAGCCTTCTCTGATCACATCAACAATGAAGAGTTCCTCCTTAGGTCTTATGTAGCCTACAGTCCAGGTATTTGGCTTTTTAAGACTGTCTTCTATTTTTATCTATCTTTTCATAAGTTTGAATCAGAAATAGCAAATGTCTTTCATCTTCCATATCAATTCCTATTAATGGATAGTAGCTTCCTGGAGCCCTAAGCTGAACAAACACCCTGTGTCTGAGCTCAGCAGGAAAGAATGCTTCGATCAATTAGCTGAATCTGCCTTGAGCACAGGGTAGGAGAATTGTAGCATAAGCACCTAGTATCTCCCCTTTATGGAATATCTCATCTCTACCATGGGATGGTAAACTCTCTGAGGGTGGGGACTTACTCCTGTGTCTCCCATGGTATGTAGGGTGGGTGAACAGGTGATTGGCAGGCAACAAGTATGTTCTGATTTCTGTTTGACAGCAATATAATGTGGAGCGGTTTGACTTAAAACCAATATATAAGGAGAATCTAGTTAAAACAGCCTCTGTCTTGGTTTTGAAATTGCACTTTATATCTCGGCTGTTTTTTCAACTTCCAGGTTAGAGATTGATGTGCTTTTCAAGTGCTGCATATAAGTGGATGGATGTCTTAGATTAGTGGTTCCCTGCACTTTTTTTCTACACTGCATCACCTCTAATGGGTGATAGTCACATGGGTTTGATGGTTTTGTAGATTTACCTCCTTTCTCTTCCATGAAGAAAAGCTTATCAAAATGCAAAAGTGTGAAAGAGGTCTTATTATAAGGATAACCTTGAATATATGTTAATCAATTTTTAAATGGGTACAAACTCAAATTTTTGTACTTTATTATTTATAATATATTGGCACAATAATGGTTATAGCAGTTGGCCTAGTTAATGGTTTCATCAATTGCCTGAACACCATAGAATCATGTAATCCTATAGCTTCTCTGAAAGAACACCCTAATTTCAATGCCAAGGAAACTGACATAAAAACAAACTTTTCAGCCTTTAATACAAAAGTGACTGTCTTGGGAAAAGAACATTAAATTAGAAACACAAATTAGAAACTAAGAAAAAAAAGTCTAAAGGATTCAAATGAACCAATATTAAACAATTGTGTTCCTATCTGACAGAAGTTTTCAATTATGCAGAGCTGAGATGCTTCTATACACAGACTCAGTTTAACAGGAAAAATGTGAGCCCCTAGTAAACCAGTACAGTGGGACAGGAGAGGGGGCAGAAGTGGAAATTTTGGAAAGCAAACTCAAATTTTGGGAGTCACAGAGACCATGCTCTGAGGTGAAACACATTGCTGACAGCCTTGTTGTGGCCACTGGAGATGGGAAAATAAGGGTAGGGTGGCTGGAGTGAAAAGGCTGTGTTCAAGTCCAGATTACTGACCTTTTAAAATACATCAGTTTATGAGTGTTGATGAGATTACAACATGGTCTTGACATTGCCTTTGTTCAGGGCACAAATGAAACACATTTCCCACACAAAGAATGTTTTGACATCTAATGATGTGACACCTGCCAGAAAAGCAAAAACAATGATTCAAACTTTTCCATTTTCAACTGTGTAGTTGTTATCCAGAGACACAACCCCAAGAAACCACAGACAGTATAGTATACAGGTTAGTAGCACTAGCTTTGGGGTGGACAAAGGTTCAAAGCCCAATGTTTTCATATATTAGCTATGTGAGCTTGGATATGTTTCAATCTCTCTGAGCCTCAGTTTCCTCCTCTGTAGTAAAAATAATTAGGTTATTTTTTATTTGTTAATATTAGGGTATATAGAATAGAGAAAATATTAGGCACTTATCTATAGTTGCGTGAAGATTAAATACAATAAAGTTTGTGTTGTGCATTGCAGAGCATCTGTTACATATGAAGTTTACAGAGGTGGTGGCCAAAGGGCTTTGTGATGTGACTGCTGAAATAATGCAGGGGCCACCTACAAGAAGGAAATCTCTAGGTAGGATCTTGCCATCTTGGGGTTTCCAGTCCCACGGAGTTTTTTGTTTGTTTGTTTGTTTGTTTTGTTTTTTTGTTTGTTTTTTTAATAATTGTTTTAAAATTTAGTTTCCGCCAGAAATGTTGGGATTGCAGCAACATTCACCCTCCTCCTCTCATTGGGTTTTAGCTGTATTGCACCTGCGGACTGACTGTACTCTGGACACAGTGCAAACTTTCCTTCTGCCATCTTGGCGGAATGCCCCTCTCCAATTTCTCTACCTGTCAGACTTCAGGGTGCCCAACCCAAAGTCAGCGTCTCTATGAAACCTCCTGCAGCTCTCCCTTCTTCCCTTCCTTCTCCTACCACCCTCCCCTTCTCCAGGTAAAGCTTGGTTTGCTTCTACAGACTCTGCCTGGTGTTTTACTGTTCTCCATCATAGTTATTACTCTAATAATCCCCCTCCTCCCCACTCCCTGCAACCAGCACACATACAGACTGTGCGTCGGGGTAGCAATCAGTGTTGGCCATGCCTTTTATCCCATAAAAGGCTCTTAATGTTGAATGATGATTGATGGAGTGAATGAGTGAATGGCTAGGCTAGGAGGGTAGAGATGGGACATCCTTCCTCCAGCCCCACTGGCTTCTCCTTATATCTACTCAAGACCTGGGAATGACAACAGACCATTGTGTCTTCCCAGGAAGGGAAGGATGGGGCCAAGCTGGAAAGCCTGTGGGCTCCACAGTCATGTGCCTGGGTTCAATTCCCAGTTCTGCATCTTATTAACCATGTGACTTCAGACTTAACCCTTCTGTGCCTCAGTTTCTTCCTCTAAGTGGGGATGACAGTAATGCCTCCTCATGAGGCTGTGAAGTTTAAATGAAACCGAATGGGTAAAATGCTCAGACTTGTATCTGATACATGGTAAAGCTGCATATGATGGGTTTTCTTTTTCTTCAAATTTTAGCTCAGGGACTTTTCCCTGACCCTCAAATTCTTAGTAGAA
Source organism: Homo sapiens (assembly GCF_000001405.40). Classification (NCBI taxonomy): domain Eukaryota; kingdom Metazoa; phylum Chordata; class Mammalia; order Primates; family Hominidae; genus Homo; species Homo sapiens. The sequence continues at coordinate 45,268,420 of NC_000011.10, read as the reverse complement.
ACAACTCCTGCGCCCCACCCCCACCCCCCACCACTCAACCGACCTCATTACCATCTGTCCCGGTCTCGACAGCACTTATTCCTAAGGGAAATAGCTTTTTGGGTCCCCTGGCTTCTTGCTGTCTACCCCACTGGAAATGTCCACTCCATAAGGACAGTGATCAGACAGTGTTGTTCGGGCAGTTGGCCATTGTTGAGAGGTTTAATCATTGTTGAATGACAAACAGCAGATAAAACGTTTGCGTTAGGGCTGGCTGGTATTCCTGTTGTGTCTCATCCTGGCCGGGTTGGGAGGGGCAGCTGCCAGCAGGGCTTACCCACCAACAAATCTCCAAGTCGGTCACATCAAGTACCGGCTGGAGGCAGTGAGTGCCCTGGGCCAACCACAAATGGGCTTTTTTAGATTTCAAAATAATCACAAGGGAAAAGGAGAATAGGAGGAGGTGAGCTACGAGGGAGGCGGATTTGAGAAAGGATTGGGGGCACAGACTCGGAACAAACAGGAGAGGAGGTGTTGGAAGGGATAACAAAAGATGGTACAAGGGTAATGTCGCCATGGAAACACTGCGCCGCCTGGACTGGAAGCCAAGCCTCCTCTTCAAGGTGGATTTCCCCTTTGCAGAGTGAACTGTGTCACCTCTCTCCCACTCCCAGAAATAACTGTGGATTTGCCTAAGGGCACATGGCTTCACAATTCTTCAAGCAGGCAAGACGTAGAGGACCCTGGTGCTGGCAGCTTCCTAGGAGATGGAGGCCTAGCAGGCAAATCAGTGTTGCCGGGGGGAGCTGAGCGGACTCTGAGACAGGAGGCCGTGCCTGTGAGCAGCTTAACATGAGAGAGGGGGTGTCTACCTCTACCCTACCTGGATGTTTGGGGCTCCCCCAAATCAGGGTGTTCCCAAGCAAGGCGTCCTTAGGCTCCACCTAGAACCCACCAAGTCAAACCTCTGGGGGGCCTGGGAATCTGAACTGTGCACTCCCCAAATGAAGCTGATGCACGTCAAAGTGTGGGAATTGGCGCTGACAGTCCCGTTTCCCTGACTGATGGGCATGAAGGGGCAGCATAGTGGGTGGTGGGACCAGGCAGCGTCCTGGGCATCCGCCTTAGGGGCACAGAAACGTGGAGGAATGGTCAAGGCTCACTAGAAATGGGAGGCGGTGGCTGAAGTGGCGGGAAGGCAGCAGGGCCTGGTGGTTCCGCAGGGGATTCTGGGGCGAGTCAGCCTGGGTCTGAATGCACCCTCTACCGCCCCCTAGCGGGCCAAGACTTTTGGCACAGAACTGAACTCTACGGACTCAGTGTCCTCGTCTGTAAAATGAAGTTGACAATATTTGTACTTCCTATAAGGTTATTATGAGGATTTAAGAAGTTTATGTTTGAACAGTGCAGGGCACAGGTAAACAAGGCCACAAGGTGGAAGAGGCTGGGACCCTAAGTTTGAAAATAAACGGCCCTTTTCAGACTGTGAGAAATCAACTTTTATTGTGTTCAGCCTTGAGGTTTAGCAGTTGGCCTTCCTTGATGAATACAAGTCTGTTAATAAGTGACTGGCTAGCCATGAAGGTTCAGTTAGTTGTCAGTATCTGCTAGGACACAATTGGTTGGGTGTGCCTTCCTCTACAGAAGGAATGGGCACAGATCAAACCTTTGGACTGGTTAAGAGCTGTGCCCCACATTTTCTCCAGGAAAATTTTCTCTGCAGTTGGAAGTGAAATTTTGATAAACTTCTAAGCTATCTTCAAAGGATAGCGAGGCTGTTCCCACTCAGCCTCTAGGAGTTGGTCCTTCTCTGGAGGCAAAATGAGCAAAATGAGGATCTCTCTCAGTTTCTTACAGCTTGATGTAATGGACTTAATGCCTGTTGTCCAGACATTAGGATGTGTGTATGTGTGTGTGTGTGTGTGTGTGTGTGTGTGTATTTGAGAGGGAGTGGAAGGATTATGGTACCAGACCTAGAAGTCATAAAATAAACAAAAGAAACTTTTCCTTGCTGGTAGTAATTTAAAACATTTTAATACTAAAACAATCATATGGAATCAAATACAAAGACTCATATGAATTTGTAAGATAGAATTGGAGATTTGGAGAAAGATCCCCAATTGCTCCTGACTGCTTCCTCTTCCCTAGAGTACGTGTCAGCTTCTGCCTCTGAGGCTATTTGGAAAGAAAGTTTGAGAAATACTGGTTTAGAGACCAGTGGATCCTAAATGTAGGTCCACAGCCAAGTTCTGGGCTGATTGTGTGCAGGAATCACTCAGCAAACTTGCTGAGCATACAGATTCTTCAACCACCCCAGAAAGCCCAATTCAGCATGTTACTCAGAGGTGCATGTGTGTACAAGTATCTATCTCTCTCTCTATTTTTATTGTGATGTAATTTGCATACAGTGAAATATACACATCCTAAGTTTACAGCTTAATGAATTTTGACAAATATGTATCCCTCAGGCTGTAACCCATACCCCTCACATGCCTCTTCCCAGTCCATTCTCCCCAAAAGCAGTCACTGTTCTGATGTCTATTACCACTGATGAGTTCCACCTGTCATAGAACTTCATCTAAATCAGGGTTTCCCAACTTCAGCCCTAATGACATTTTGGGTTGATAATTCTTTGTTGTGGGGGAATTAGGGAACGAATGTGTGCCCTCGAATTCATATGTTGGAATTCTCACCCCAAAGGCTATGATATTAGGAAGTGGGCCCTTTGAGGGGTGATCAGGTCATGAGGGTAAAGCCCTCATGATGGGATTAGTGCCCTTGAAGAAGACATGTGAGAGAGATGCTGTCTGCTCTCAACCATGTGAGGATGCAACAAAATGGCTCTCTGCAAACCGGGAAGTGGGCTTTCCCCAGATACCAGATTCACCAGCTCATTGATCTTGGACTTCCAGCCTCTAGAACTGTGAGAAATGAACATTTGTTGTCGAAGCTACCCAGTTTACGGTAAGTTTTATAGCTATCCAAACTGAGATAGGGGTTGATGTTGTGGCATGCTTAGCAGCATTCCTGGCCTCCAGGAACAGCTCCCAACCCCCATGGTGACTGTGGTCAATAGCAGCTCCACTGCCTCCAGTTGTGGCAACCAAAAATGTCTCCAGACACTGCAAATGTCGCCTGAGCGGCCAAATTGTCCCTGGCTGAGATCCAGCACTGTCAGTGGAATCATGCAGTATGTATGCGTAGACAGCTGTCTTCTTTTCCTCAGCATGTTTTGGTAATTCTTCTCTATTGTTGAGTGTACCTGAAACTCATTCCTTTTGTTGGTCGAGGAATATTCCATTGTAAGAATATGCCCCAATGGACTTCTCCATTGTCCTGTTGGTGGAAGGCTGGGCTGCTTTCAGCGTTTGGCTAGGATGAGTCACGTTGCTCTCAGTAGCCATGTCTAAGTCTTCTTGCAGATTCATGTTTTCCTTTCTCTTGGATAAATACGTGGGAGTGGATAAAAACTGTTGAGTCATAGGGTAGATTTATGTTTAACTTTTAAGAAACTTCCAGTTTTCCAACGTGGCTTGCCATTTTCCCTTCCACCGGCACTAGTGACCATCCCAAATGTCTCACATCCTTGTCCACACTAGTGTTGTCAGTCTTTTTGATTTTAGCCATTTTAGTGGGTGTGTAGTGGTGTCTACATTTTTTTTAACATCTTCCTGGGTAATTCTCACAAACAGCTGTATTAGTTATCTATTGCTGTGTAACAAACTACCCCAAAACACAATGGCTTAAAACAACAATGCTTATTATCTCAGTTTCTGTGGGGTCAGAAATCCAGTCATGGCTTACCTAGGTCCTTTGGCTCAGAATCTCTGCCAGGCTGTGGTCAAGGTGTCCTCTGGGGCTGTGCTCATCTCAGGGTTTGACTGGGGCAACCTCTACCTCCAAGCTTGCTCTTGTGGTTGTTGGCAGGATTCAGTTCTTCCTGCGGTGCCCTCGGGTCTTTGCACATGGGGCTCTCTATAGGAAAGCTTTCAACATTGCAGTGTGTTTTATCAGAGGGAGTGGGTGAGAGAGAGCAAGGAAAATGGAATGTCATTTTTTTGGTAATCTAATCTTAGAAGCATTGTCTTCTCACATTTGCATAATCTGTTCATTCGAAGCAAGTCACTAGGTCCAGCCCATACTCAAGGACAGGGGATTATACAAGGGCGTGGACACCAAGGGACGGGACACTGAGAGGTCTCATCATAGAGGCACCTACCATGGTGGCTCTGATGTGAGAATGCTTGATCTAGACCAGAGCTTCCCCAACCATCTGTGAGAGAGGATCCAGTTTAGCTTAGTTTAGTTTTGTTGTAATGCTCACACTCAATGTCTATATTTATCACAAATGAGTAAAAAAGTAACAACAACAAAAAGTAGTTCATCAACTGGTCCCTACACACAAACCCCACTTTTTGTAGCACCTGACTAGACCCTAGGGTCACATAAATATTGCCGACATTTGTCGAGGGTTGGCTGGGCTAGCCTCTGTCCTAAGAGCTCTGCGTGAGTTATCTTATCTAAGCCTCAATCCAACCCCAGGAGATAGATGCTATTGTTAGCATCCCCATTTTACAGATGAAGAAACTGGGCACAGAGAAGTTAATTAATCAGACCCAAGGTCACACAGCAAGTAATTGACAGAGCCCAGACTCCAACTAAGCTGTCTTGTTTTAGAGCCTGAATACCTGACCAGCAGGATATATTTCATTATATACACGTTAGTGTGCATAATCGCCAGTATTAGAGGCCAGAGCGACAGACTCTTGCAGGTCCCTTTGCCCTGGCCTCACTACCCCCTTGGCGGGGGCTTAGCTATACTATAGACCCCAGCAGCAGCAGTGGCCCATGGTTGGCATCATCTGAATACTGGATGCTCAACTGGATGCTTCTTCTCTGCCCTCCCCTTTTTTAAAGTTCAAGTTTAAGGAGCAAAGATGACCTCTTTTTCAGCTGGATCTGCTTCCCCCACCTGCAACCTCCTGGGTGGTGCAGTGCTACTGTAAGAGGGATGTCCCAGCATGAAACCCCAAATTAATAAACAGCCCTAAGGTGAAAAATTAATCATGTCACAAAAGGGGTCACCTAGCATCTTTGGTAAGGTTAAACGTTTGTTTACAGATCATTAACTACATAATTAAGTTTTGGTTTTCCAACATAAGCCCCATAAGGGAAGGACAGCATCTGTCCTGTTTACTCCCATATTCTGAACACTTAGCATAGGACCTGGCCTGTAGTGGGGCTCAGTAAATATTTGTTCATTAATGAAGGTTCAGGTTCCACCCCCCGTGCCATCTGTCTCTGCCTGGATTATTACTGGAGGCAGAGCCGGAGGCGTCTGTGCTACCCTTCATGAGGAAGCAGGAGCCAGGGAATGGTGGGCAGGGCCTGGGAGGAGAGAGGACAAGCACAGGGGCATTACTGAGTCACTGCCACTTGGCATCCAGGGTGACTGCTGGATTTCCAGGGGTCATCTTCCAAAAGGCGACTGAAGGCACTTCTGGGAATAGTGAGGAGGAGGAAGGAGAATTCATTGCCTGTCTTCCTGCTCACAGGGCTCGAGTTCCTCCCATGGAGATGTTTGGGGTTTTTTCTCTCTTTTTTTTTATTATGGTAAAAGAACATAACATAAAATTTACCATCTTCACCATTTTTAAGTGTACAGTTCAATTTGTGTGTGTGTGTGTGTGTGTGTGTGTGTGTGTGTGTGTGTGTGTGTGATAGGATCTCCCTCTTTGCCCAGGCTGGAGGGCAACAGTGCAATCTCGGCTCACTACAGCCTTCACCTCCCGGGTTCAAGTGATCCTCCCACCTCGGCCGCCTGAGTAGCTGGGACTACAGGCGTGCACTACCATACCCAAATAATTTTTGTATTTTTTGTAGAAATGGGGTCTCACTATGTTGTCCATGCTTGTCTCTATCTCCTGGGCTCAAGCCATCCTTCTGCTTCAGCCTCCCAAAGTACTGAGAGTACAGGCATGAGCCACCGCGCCCAGCCTCAGTTCAGTGGTATTAATTCATTCAGGATGTTGTACAAACATCACCACCATCCATCTCCATAACACTTTTTGTGCTGTAAAACTAAAAATCTATACCCATTGAATAATAACTTCCCATTTTCCCCTGCCCCAGCCTCTGGCATCCACCATTCTACTTTCTGTCTCTATGATTTTGAGGACTCTAAGTATTTCATTTGAGTGGAATCATACAATATGTGTCTTTTTGTGACTGGTTGATTTCACTTGGCATCATGTCCTCAAGGATCATCCATGTTGTAGCCTGTGTCAGAACATTCCTTCTTTCTATGGCAGAATAATACTCCGTTATATAGATATACCACATTTTGTTTATTTATTCATCTGTTCATAGATATTTGGATTGCTTCACCTTTTAGTGATTGTGAATAATGCTGCAATGAACATGGGTGTAAATATCTTCAAAGACCCTGCTTTCGAATATTTTGAGTGTATACCCAGAAGTGGAATTGCTGGATCATACAGCAATTTTATTCTTTTTTTTTTTTTTTGAGACAAGGTCTTGCTCTGTCACCTAGGCTGGAGTGCAGTGGCATGATCTTGGCTCACTGCAACCTTCGCCTCCCGGGTTCAAGCGATTCTCCTGCCTCAGCCTCCCAAGTAGCTGTGATACAGGTGTGCACCACAAAGCCCGGGCTGATTTTTGTATTTTTGGTAGAGATGGGGTTTTGCCATGTTGGCCAGGCTGGTCTGGAACTCCTGACCTCAAGTAAGTCACCTGATTTGGCCTCCCAAAGTGCTGGGATTATAGGCATGAGTCACCGTGGCTGGCTATTTTTCTTTCCTTTTGTTTTCTTTTCTTTTTTTTTTTAGACGGAGTCTCGCTCTACACCCAGGCTGGAGTGCAGTGGCGCGATCTCAGCTCACTGCAACCTCCGCCTTCTGGGTTCACGCCATTCTTCTGCCTTAGCCTCCCAAGTAGCTGGGATTACAGGCGCCTGCCACCATGTCCAGCTAATTTTTGTGTGTGTGTGTTTTTAGTAGAGACGGGGTTTCACCGTGTTAGCCAGGATGGTCTCGATCTCCTGACCTAGTGATCTACCCGCCTCAGCTTCCCAAAGTGCTGGGATTACAGGCTATTTTTCATTTTTTAAGAAAATACTATACTGTTTTCCACAGCAGTGATACATTTTACATTCCCACCAGCAGTGCACAGAATTCCGATTTCTTCACATCCTCACCAATGTTTGTTATTTTCTGTTTTGTTGATAGTAGCCATCCTAATGGGTGTGAGGTGGTATCTCACTGTAGTTTTAATGGCATTTCTCTGGTGATTAGTGATGATGAGCATCTTTTCATGTGCTTATTGGCCATTTGCATATCTTCTTTGGAGAAGTGTCTATTTAAATCCTTTGCTCATTTTGAATCAGGTTGTTTGGGTTTTTGTTGCTGAGTTCCCCTATGGAGCTTTAACTCTCTGCACATCTGGGTTGCTTCTGAGTGGACAGAGTGTCCCTGGTGTCTCATAACTCAGCAGGCATGGAGAAGTCCCAGGGCAGAAGGCAAGAGGGGCATGGCTTGAGCCCAGTGTGAGGACCTGTGTTGCTGTGCCCATGGACAGCTGGTTGGACACAGTGGGGGGAGCAAGCAGCCAAAGGTCCCAGGGACAGGTGAGGCGGAGAATCTAAGGAGGCATTTGAGGGGTCTGATGCACATCTGAGGGTGTGATTCTTCTATCCAGATGTGCATGCAATGCCAAGAACAGCTGTGCACCCATCCTCTAATTGTTGAATGCCTGTCTCCACTGGAAATCTTCCCTCATTCATCCTGCAGATATACTTCCCAGGCTCTATTCCTGGGCTTCAAGGGACACGTAGACAGAGAATATCTGATTCTAAGTCCTGTCCCTCCTGCACCCATGGTGGAAGGCTGGAGCAAGGTCTCTCTCTAGGGCCCTGCTACCCTGAGCACCTCCTTCCCCCAGACATTCTTGTTCTTCACCTAGAACCCTCTCCCAGGCTCCCTCTCTCAACCCCTGAACCTATTTTCTGTTTCTCTGGCACTGAAGTTTCAGCTATTTAAGTGCAAATATAGATGCATTTGAAAGATGTGATGGAACCAGGTTTGAAATGCAATAAATAAGATTGCACAAGAGAAGGAGATAGGTAATCAGCTGCTGCTTTTGCTCCTTGAAAAGACTCATGTAGCTGTCATCAGACTCTGCTCTTGGCCTGGGCAAAGGCTGTAAGTCATTCCCAGCTAAAGCCAGCCATTTGCCACACAGGATAAAGTGGGATAAGAATAAACAGCAAATGAGGATGCCTTGGGCTGGATGCAGAGATTCAAGAGGGTTTCTTTCTACCCTAGGCCCAGTTTCTCTACACCAGGGTCATGATCTCCTGTGATGCTTGAAAAAGGCAATGCATCAGTTTGGGATGCTCTTGGCTGCAAGGCACAAAAATCCCAATTCAAACTGGCTTAAACAATAAGAACAGTACTACTCACGTAACTTGAAATGCAGAAGCAAGACAGATTGCTGGATTGGTTGGCTGAGCAGCTTAATGACATTGCCATCAAGGACACAGGTTCTTTCTGTCTCTCCACTCTGCTGCCCCAAGGCTGACTCACCTTGCAGTCACAAGGCAGGGCCACCCGCTTCCTGTCCAGGGAGGAGGGGACTTCTACTACTGTGGAATCCAAGTCCCTCCCTTCCATCTGGGTTGGTTTCCCCAGGACTGGTGCCAACCCCTGGGAATCAGTCACCAAGATAATGCCAAGAAATGGAAGGATCTGACCTCTTCCTGGGAGCTGGGGATGGGATGGAACCTAGACAACCTGGTGTTGTGTAGGGCGGGTAGATGGGAGAGGGAATGGATATTGGTAGACAACCAAGAAATGCCCAATCTTTTGCTCTAGGGGTGCATTTTAAGCTCTGGTAACAAGCTCCTGAGGTTATCAGGGACATACAAATTGAGATCCACTGAGGAGGGAGGAAGGCAGAGCCAGAGTGTCAAGACTTGAGGCAACACAGAGTGAACTTCATTCAGAGCTGAGCCCAGTGATTATTTCCCCCTTGAAAATGCAAATTCATCCAAATTGCATCAAACTGGGAATGAAGCCCAGCCCTTTTCTCAGACGATTGAATTGGGATGAAACCAAATATAAACACAAAAATGTTTCCCAGACCACCCAAACAGTCTTAGTTCTGGTCCCAACCAAGTGACAGTAGAGGGTGACTTTAAGTCAGGTGTGTGCTGAGGCCCAGCAGCCTCTGGGAACGCTTTTGTGCCGATGAATGGGAGGGAGTGGCAGTGGGTGGGCCCCTGAGATGCTGTGATTGCCATTTAGAATCCAGTGGCAAGACCGACAGGGATTTTGCAGGGGGCAAGGGGGTGGTGTTGAGAAGCAGCTGCAGGGCAATGGAAATGACAAGAAATTTGAAGTGAAAACATCTGGAGGCTGGATGATACATACCACTTGTCAGTTGTATGATCGTGAGCTTCCCTGAGCCTCAGTTTCCTCATTGTGAAACAGTAGGATGAAGGTAATACAGAGTTATATGAGATATTGAAGGTGGAGGTGACTTTGTGTAGGGTAGAAAGACGGGGACATTAGTCATCGCTCTGTGTGTCTCCTCCAAGGACCCTGAGCATCTGCTGTCAGAAGCACAGACTTTTACTCCCCCAAGCCCGGTCTTCGCCTCTGCCTTCCAAATCCCCCTCTCTTTCAAGGTCTCAGTCATGCCCTGGCTCCTCCCTGAAGGCCAGCTCGGCCTCCCAGGCACCCCTGATTGTGCCCTGCATGTACTGTGCACTGGCCATCATGTGTTATTTACACATACTGCCTCCCGTCTGCTTCTGTATTGTGGTCCAGAGTGGCCAAATATACTTATTTATTTCACCTGTTTGTGATCATCCCTAACTCACCTATACCTGAAAATAAAGCAATGGTGTCTCTCATCTCTTTGCAGCCTAAAAAAGCAACTCAGAATGTGGAGTGGGATAGCCTGCAAATCACTTGTCACTTAAGGTGACGGCCCAGAGAGGTGAAATGACCTGCCCAAAGTGACCCAGCTCCAGCGGCAGGGTTGGTACTGGAAGCCAGCCTCCTTGATGCCAGTGACACTCTCAGTGGGGGTGGAGGTGCAAAGGGGACCTGATTTTGTAAATCATACATGTCCCTCCCAGGGTGACTGGTTGCTGTGTGTAACAAGATAATGATAAATGTTTTTGATGGGGACTGCTGTGCTGGGGAAAGATTTGGAGGCAGGAAAAATGTCGAAAGCCATGGGGGCAGTGGGCTTTGGGCCAGGCTGATCTAGGCTTACTCTGCTGCTGCCCTCACCAGCTGCATGATTCCAAGTGACTTCACTCCACCGAAGTCAGAAATGCTTTTAGAGCCTATGCGTGCCAGGCACATTCAGTGGTGATCAGGCTAGAATCAGGTCCTCGCTTGGGTTACCTTATAATCTACTGTGCAGTGTTTCTGAGAGAAGAACTGAGGGTTTCTTATCTCTCCGAGCCTCAGTTTCCTTATCTGTACAAGAGGGGTAAGCTCTACCTTTTAGGGAAGTTCAGAAGAAAACACTTGGAAATGCAGGGGCAGGAAGTGGTTGTCCAAGAGGTCCCCGAGAGTCCGGCCCCTGCTTCCTGCCCCTTTGGGCCCTGCTGCAGCTTCTTATCCACATCCCCTCTGTTTGTCCAATGGATGAAACTAATTAAGGAATGCCCCTGTCACCTAGGTCCGGTCTCCTTCAGGAATGGTTGGGGACAGAGTCTCAACCAGGGCAGAATGTCCAGGATTCATCCTGGGATAATTAAATAAAGAGGGTACAAAAATTAGAAACACAACTTTTTGAAATAGTGTAAACTGTTAACTGCCTCTCCTGCCAGACCACGTCCACTCCCTCCCCTACACAGTGCAGGATCACTGCTGCCACTGGGTAGGGCAGCCTGAGTCCTGCTGCCAGCCATCTGCACCCACTACTCGCTTCAGCCATGGAGATGGGAGGGCCAGGAGGGCTAGCATGGAGGGCAGGAGGTTTCTTGGGAGACTCAGTCATAGACCTCAGTCTTCAGATCCGCCTGTCTTAACCTGAGGGCTTTTTTATGGGCTGCCCACCCAGAGTGCCAGCAGTTTAAGCTCTAGACCTGGCCTTCAATCCTGAGGACCAGGAAGGCTCCTATTGCTACCTGTCATACAACTTTGAGTCTCTCAAATAGGAGGGAAAGACAGAAGATCCCTGTCAATGTCTCTGTAGATGCTGTGTGAGGAGCCCCATATACTTAAGGGTTGACAAGCAGGTGGGTCTTTTTGAAAAGAAAGATTCCCTTTCGTTCCAAGCGAAAAGGGCCTAGCCTAGAGCACACAATTGGGCAAGTGGTACACAGGCTACATTTTGGCTTCTACTCTGTCCTCATCCAGAGATTTTTGTGCAGTGCACAAACCATTCAATATGGCAGCCCTAGTCACAGGTATTGATTGCATGCTCCCTGTGAGCTGACACCATGCTAGGCACAAGGGACACAGCAACTTGATGCCCAGTGACACTCTTACTGGGGGTGGAGGTGCAAAGGGAAATTGATTTTGCAAGTCATACATGTCTCTCCTAGGGTGACTAGTTGCTGTGTGTAATAAGATGATAAATATTTCCGATGGGGACTGCTCTGCTGGGGAAAGATTTGAAGGCAGGACAAACATCGAGAGCCATAGGGGCAGTGGGCTTTGGACCAGGCTAATCTAGGCAGGAGCAAGACAAGACATAATTCCTGTGCTCATAGATCTCACATGCTAGTGGGAGAGTCTTAATACAAACAGGCCAGCCTATGACCAAAACAATATAGGGTGAGATTGATGCTGTGAAGCAAAGAGTGGGATGTGGTGATAGGGAGGGACAGGCTTGGGGGAGGGATTTAATTTAGATTGTAAGGTTAGAGATGGACTCCTTGGTTCAGACTTCAGGTGTGAGATGGAGCCAGCCATGCAAAAACAGGTGGAGGTAGGGGTGGACAGTTTGGGAGGAAAAGTTAGGGGCTGGAAGCTGGACCAAGGAAAGAGCCCAAGCTGTTTGAGAAGCAGGGAGCTCAGTGACTGGAGATGAGCAAAGGAAGGATTGGGGGCGATATCAGAGAGATGAGCAGGATCAAGCTAGGCAAGCTGCAAGGAGTCTGGATTTTGTGTGGTGGGAGCCACTGGCATTTCTGAGCCATTAGGTGGAGAAGAGGAGGGAGGAAGGGAGAAGGGAGAAGGAAGAGGCAAGGGGAGCAGATGAGAGCAGCAGAGTGGGGACCACCTGCAGCAGGTCCAGGCAATATCCATGGGCGCAGCCATAGGATGGATGGGCCGATGGATGGAGGAGGTATGGATGAACAAGGCCCACATCTCAGTGGATTGTGGATTTGAGTGGGTTTGGAGATGATGTTAGACCTTCCTAGGTTGTGCTCTTCAGAGCAGAATGAAACCACAACTCTCCCTCTGCATCCTACAACAGGTCAGTTCACCGTTTCTCCCTTCCATGGGGGGAAACAGACAAGAGGGCTCCTTTGTGGACTAATCAGAGTAATTTGTGTTTGCAGTTCAATGTTAAAAAGTCCACGGAACCTGTTCAGCCCCGTGCCCTCCTCAAGTTCCCAGACATCTATGGACCCAGGCCAGCTGTGACGGCTCCAGAGGTCATCAACTATGCAGACTATTCACTGAGGTCTACGGAGGAGCCCACTGCACCTGCCAGCCCCCAACCCCCGAATGACAGTCGCCTCAAGAGGCAGGTCACAGAGGAGCTGTTCATCCTCCCTCAGAATGGTAGGGGTCTCCTGCCCCCTGCACTTCCATGGGCAGCACTCCAGTGGGGCTTGTCAATGTCTCTGTAGATGCTGTGTGTGGCCTGATGAGGAGGCCGAGTGCCCCGGCATTTGACGCTGGCCAAGCAGATGGGCACTGGGCCTCAGAATTATGGTCCTTTCTTCCTGACAACATGTTGCCATACCACTTCTCCCCCAGACCGCCAACTTTCCACTGGAAAATGGAGTCCCTTTCTAGTCATATGTGTGCAACTATGAGAGAGGATAAAGAGCCATGGTTAAAACCATGGGCTTCAGAGTCAAGGGTTTAATTTGCTGCCCTTTCATACACTTATTGTGTGGCATGGGTCATGCTGTAACTCCATGAACCTCGGTTTCTTCATCTATAAAATGAGACTAGACTATTATCTGTCTGGTAGGGGAGTTGTAAAGTGTAGATAAAATAACACACATAGAATGCTTAATTCAGAGCCTGGCACAAAGGAGGTAACAAAAAACATATTGGGTTTTTTGTTGTTTTTTTGAGATAAGGTCCCAGGCACATTTTTTTTGAGATGGGGTCTTGCTCTGTCTCCCAGGCTGGAGTTCAGTGGCATGATCGTGGGCCACTGCAGCCTCAATCTCCCAGGCTCCAGTGATCCTCTCACCTCGGCCTCCTGAGTACCTAGGACTACAGGTGCATGCCACCATGCCCAGATAATTTTTGCTTATTTTTTGTAGACATGAGATCTCACTATGTGGCCCAGGCTGGTCTCAAATTCCTGGGCTCAAGTGGTCTTCTTGCCTTGGCCTCTCGAAGTGCTGGGGTTACAGGCATGAGCCACCATGCCCCGTCGAAACATATTGTTATTATTTCTACTCTCCTTTTCATCAGCATCCACATCAAGAGTGCAGCACCTTTAGGTGTACTATGCTGCTGCTGGGCACTGGGGAAGATATGGGAAGAAGAGACATGATCGTCCCTGACCCAAAGAATATGTAGGCGTTTTAGAAAGACAAAACATAAAGCAGGGAGAGTAGATTGTTGTGTAGTCTCTGTTTTGTTTTGTGTGGTTGATGAGGGAGCCAGTGGACACAGATGCAGCCTAATGGGCTGTGACATTGACCCCACCTGTTGTCTTGGTGTGGCCACTGTGATTCTGCACACAGCTGGGAAGACTTGGGTTTGGGTTCCTGGCATAGGTGATAGAGATGAGAAAGGTGTAATCAGGAAAGCAGAACCCCAGTGTGGGTGGCAGTGACGATTTCGACTTTCTTAACAGGTGTGGTGGAGGATGTCTGTGTCATGGAGACCTGGAACCCAGAGAAGGCTGCCAGTTGGAACCAGGCCCCCAAACTCCACTACTGCCTGGACTATGACTGTCAGAAGGCAGAATTGTTTGTGACTCGCCTGGAAGGTATGGCTCTTATTTGACTCTCGTGGGCTTCTGTGTGTCTATCTCCCCTGGAGAAGCTGTGCAGGCAGGATGGGATCATCTGCAGCTGGAGAGAGCACTGGATTAGGACTCTAACAACCAGACCCTGGAACACATGGAGCTTAGACACAAAGATTTCCCACACTCCCAACCCCAACAGTCCAAAGTGGGGATTCCTGGTTGACAAACGTTTTTTCTCCAAATGGTGATTCAAGGACCAGACTCCTTCCAGCTGTGGCTCCATAACCCCCCTCTCCTTGTCATTTGTATCCTTGCCATCTGTATCTGGCAGATGGAAGGAGAAAGAGAAGGAGAGGGCGTAATCATTCCTTAACAGCCTTTACCTGGACTTGGTGGACGTCACTTCCGCTTGCATCCCATTGGCCGTAGCTCAGTCACATGAGCACACTCAACTGCAAAGTGGGCTGGGAAATGTGGGCCGACAGGTGCCCCGGAAGGAAAGGCAATGAGTTTGGGGTGAAGAACTAGTCGTCTCTGCCATAGATGAATTTGAAATTGGACAGGGCTTTGTGCTGGACACACAGCATGTTCCGAATGGTCAGAAAAGTTTCTACAATCTAAGAGCCAAGCGGCCTGAGGGTGGCAGGATGTCCTTGGTTTCTCTGCCCTGACAATTCACTTTAAGGTCAGCAACTAAAGCTAAGACTTTGCAAAGGAATCAGGGCTAGCAATGGGGTCAGATAAATTGGAATTTTGTATATAATTCTATTTTCTGAGGCTTTTTCCTTGTATTATCTTTTAAGATTTTAAAGCACCTTCCTCCTATACTTTATTATGTTTGGTCTTCACACTAGCGCATTTTACAGATTAGGAAACTGAGGTCTGGCAAGTCATATGACTTGTCAAAGATCACTGCATCTAACTGGTGACAGAGCCAGGACTAAGCAGTCCCTTGAAGTTCAGTGGAAAGCTCTTGCTGTTAAGACACATAGCCTCAGTTCTTCATCTTCTCTTCTTGTGAAATGTCAGCTACCACTTTCCAAACGATCCCTGAAGAGCCAGTCAGAAAAGTACCCAAGGTGTACATTTCTGGGCAGAGCCACACATTGTGAAGCATTGAAAACACCAAGGTTCAGAACATAAAGCCACACTCACTCATGAGGTAAGAGCCAAGTGATTCTCATGGAAAATGGTTATGTGGTGACTATTTAAAGTTCAGAACAAATGGTTACATGTCAGCAGCACCACTAATAAAGGCCCCCAGCAGCAAGCCTTGGCACCTTGGCAAAATTTCAGAATCCGGAGTTCAGAGGGCTCCAGGAAATGCCAAGTCTTGTCCCTGCTCTCCAAGAAAGAGAATCGGCATGTGCTGAGGCCAGCCCCCTCAAATGATCTATTTCTAAATGTCTCACTGAAAGGCGATTCCCTGGTGCCCAGGGTGGTCAGCCTTTCTGACACCCAAGGTCACGTCGTTAAGCTGGATTCCACAGCCCTAAGCAAGGCGTGCTTCTGCCCCCTCCACTTGTCCTCAGAAAGTCCCACGCCTGTGTTGTTCTCCTTGCCTGCAGCTGTGACCAGCAACCACGACGGAGGCTGTGACTGCTACGTCCAAGGGAGTGTGGCCAATAGGACCGGCTCTGTGGAGGCTCAGACAGCCCTAAAGAAGCGGCAGCTGCACACCACCTGGGAGGAGGGCCTGGTGCTCCCCCTGGCGGAGGAGGAGCTCCCCACAGCCACCCTGACGCTGACCTTGAGGACCTGCGACCGCTTCTCCCGTCACAGCGTGGCCGGGGAGCTCCGCCTGGGCCTGGACGGGACATCTGTGCCTCTAGGGGCTGCCCAGTGGGGCGAGCTGAAGACTTCAGCGAAGGTAGGGTAACCCCTGGGTTAGAAAGGTAAAACCTGCCCGTGCAGCATGGGATGGCAGAACCTGGTGTCCTCCCAGCAACTCAGTCTTAGGGAACAAGCCTCAGAGACCTCCCTGGCTTGGGGCTGGAAGGGAGGTTGGAATCTTGAATGGGGCAGAGGGCTAGAGGAGACCCATAGCCCAGGATCTGGGATTCCTAGTGTCTGCTCCTAGTCTTGGCTCTAACTTGCCATGCAAAGACTCTCTCTGCCGTCATGGAAAATGCCATGCTGTGTGTATTACCTTTACTGCTATGAAGTACTGTCCCCATTTCAATCCAGTTATACTCTGTGTGCTCCTACGATGTGGCAGACACTGCAGGACACTCTACCTTCCTCCGTTTGTGTAGGTGAGCATGAAGGGTGGAGCCCCACCACTCAGGAGTGTACAGACTAGGGGACAAATTGGCACAGACAAATGATGACGATATTTGATGTGTTCCACCCTGAGCCATGTAAGAGAGACCTAACCAATGTGCTCTGATAAAGAATTCTAGAAGGCCCCGTGTGCTAGGCTCTGAAGGAGCAATCAGGGCTGGGGGCAGGCCCAGAGCCCGGTGGTCCATGCAATCCCCAGACTCAAGATGATTTCCCCATATCTGCTGTTGGGGGGCCACAAGTGGGAAAGAAGGGTCTTCTGAGATGCCACAGCCCTCAAGAGAGGGGACCCTTGGGGAGAAAATCATTGTTTCCCATGCGCCAGGACAGCAAGGGGATCTGGGAAGGTCAGGGCTACAAGATGGTATGTAGTTACTTAGGCCCCTGGGTCAAAGCTCATCTAAGGGCCTGCACTGTGGTTCCTTGAGGAAACCTTCTGGGTGACTAGTCTCTCAACCAGATTGGCAGTGCTATACTGATCTAAAGACTGTATAACCTGCATAGCCCCAAATAGGTGTTATTATATTAGCCCCTTTCCAGAAAATGTTTGACAACCCTCATGCTAAAGCAAAAAGCAAAATACTGATTAGGGCACTATTTTTTTTTTTTTTTTTTTTTTTTAGACAGAGTCTCGCTCTGTTGCCAGGCTGGAGTGCAGTGGCGCGATCTCGGCTCACTGCAACCTCTGCCTCCTGGGTTCAAGCGATTCTCGTGCCTCAGCCTCCTGAGTAGCTGGGATTACAGCCACACGCCACCACGCCCAGCTAATTTTTGTATTTTTAGTAGAGACAGGGTTTCACCATGTTGGCCAGGATGGTCTTGATCTCCTGACCTTGTGATCTACCCCACCTCAGCCTCCCAAAGTCCTGGGATTACAGGCATGAGTCACTGCACCCGGCCAAGGGTACTATTTTTTAATGCTCACCATCAGTTACTATGCTTAGGACTCTACCTGAGTGCTGCCACTCTCCAAATCAACCAGATGAGAGAGACACCATGACTATCCCTCTTACAGATGAGGAAACAGGGTCATAGCAGTTCAGGAATCCACACAGGGTCCCACAGCCAGGAAATGGCAGACCTTGAGGCCGGGTTGGTCTGACTCGAAATCCTGTGCTATCTCATTACCTGCCATGAAAGCCACCTGACAAATATGAGGTGTGACCAGCAGGCACCTTTCCTAATAGACACCCAGACTGCAGGAGGGAAGAGTACGTTTCACCCGCTGTCTGCTCCTCTTTTTGCTATGATTTCCTCCTTGCTCCATTTTTTCCTCTTTCCCAGGCTCAGAAAATTGTTAGAAAAATCACAGCCACTCTCAGATGGAACTCAGCTGTTCCAAAGCCCACTCTCTAATTAGTGTGTGATTTGGGACTTCTGTGGAATCACAGATGGGGATCCTGGGAGAAGGCATCAATACTTAGGATTATTAAACTAGTAAACTAGCTTTCTCTCGAGATGCAGAGACTCCCCTGCTGGGCTCTGAGACTTGGTACAGCCCCAAAGGGCAGAAATCCAGCCAATCTAGGCAGAAGTCTCAGGCACCTAGCAGCTTCTCTCACTGCCCTCTAGAAGAGCAGCCATCATTCACTCATTCATTCATTCTGCAAATACCTTGCCCAGTTTCTACCATGTGCCAGGCGCTGTGCCAAGAGCTGGGGACATAGCAACAGTAATTAAGATGAAGCCCTGACCTTGCAGCTCATCCATCCTAATAATTATCATACTTTCTGTAGCTGTTTCTGTTCTGCAAATATGTACTCACAACCACTTTGATCACTGACCTGTTTACTACAAATGTGAACAACCTCAGAGGGTGGCATGGAGTCAGAAGTAGGAGGTGACTTTCTGGGTGTATAGGGCAGGAGAAAGCTGGAAGTCCAGGCCAGGCAGCCCCTCGCCCCAGCTAGAGGGTGTGGGCTGATTTGAACAAGGTGAGTGGAGCCCTCAGTCATTGCAGCCCAGATGTTTTTCTTCTCTAGGCCAGATGGGTTAACAGACTTGCCCACGGTGCCCAGTTCTAGCTGGAAGATACTCAGCCAAAAGTGCCATGTGCATCAAGAGTGACTCACAGGGCAATCCACTCCAAGAGCAGTCTTTGATTATTATTATTATATTTTAAGTTCTAGGATACATGTGCAGAACGTGTAGGTTTGTTACATAGGTACACATGTGCCATGTTGGTTTGCTGCGCTCATCAACTAGTCATCTACATTAGGTATTTCTCCTAATGCTATCCCTCCCCCAGGCCCCCACCCCTGACATGCCCTGGTGTGTGATGTTCCCCTCCCTGTGTCCAAGTGATCTCATTGTTCAATTCCCACCTAAGAGTGAGAACATGTGGTGTTTGGTTTTCAGTTCCTGTATTAGTTTGCTGAGAATGATAGTTTCCAGCTTCATCCATATCCCTGCAAAGGACATGATCTCATTCCTTTTTTATGGCTGCATAGTATTCCGTGCTGTATATGGGCCACATATTCTTTATTCAGTCTATCATTGATGGACATTTGGGTTGGTTCCAAGTCTGCTATTGTGAATAGTGCTGCAATAAACATATGTGTGTATGTGTCTTTATAGTAGCATGATTTATAATCCTTTGGGTATATACCCAGTAATGGGATGGCTGGGTCAAATGGTATTTCTAGTTCTAGATCCTTGAGGAATTGCCACACTGTCTTCCACAATGGTTGAACTAGTTTACAGTCCCACCAACAGTGTAAAAGCATTCCTTTTTCTCCACATCCTCTCCAGCTTCTGTTGTTTCCTGACTTTAATGATCGCCATTCTAACTGGCGTGAGATGGTATCTCATTGTGGTTTTGATTTGCATTTCTCTGATAAGCAGTGATGATGAGCATTTTTTCATATGTCTGTTGGCTGCATAAATGTCTTCTTTTGAGAAGTGTCTGTTCATATCCTTTGCCCACTTTTTGATGGGGCTGTTTGTTTTTTTTCTTGTAAATTTGTTTAATTTCTTTGTAGATTCTGGATATTAGCCTCCAAGGGTAGTCTTGCATGGTTCACTAAGACCTGAGAGAAAGAGAGGGGCAGGGAAAACCAGGGAAAGGAAGAAGAAAGAAAGGATTACTTTAGTCTGCAGGTACTTTCAGCAGCAGTGCCCAGGGAGCAGGTGTTGAAATTGTCTGGCTATGGTGCAGCCGGCTAGGCTAGTTAGACCTCACCCTATGCAAAAGTGAAAAGCCCTGCAGAGGCTGACAGGTGCTGACTCCTCTCACCTGGTCTGTAGGTAGCAGAGGACTCAAGTCTGGTAACCCTGTGGCTATAGCCCGGGCTACCTGTGGCCCTCTAATAATCAGTGATGAGCCAGGAGGCTGGTGCCCATCCCAACTCTGCAGTCACCTCTCTGGGTGCCTGGTACAAGTCCCTGGGCCTCAGTTCCTTCACTGTGAAATGAGAGGGTTAGGGAGGGCTGTCAACTGAGAAAGCTGGAGAGCCATGGATTCAGGACTTAAGTTTTGCTGTCAGACTGGACCTCCTTTCCAAGGCTTGGTTTTGCCACTTCCTGCCTACATGACCTCTGGCAATGATGTTCCCTTTCTGAATCTGAGGTTCTTGTGCTTAAAATGGGAACAAAATCAGTAGCCCTCTTGAGGTTGTCATCAAGATTATAAATGGAATGTGTTACCCTTTTTTCACAAATGTTTATTGTGTGCCCACTGTGTCCCAGGTGCTGGAGTTGCATAGTGTGAATGGAGGCCACAGTGGAGCTTACTTTCTAGTGGGATGGACAATGTAATTGCACTTCACACACAGTGTTTAATAAATGTTAGCTGCTACCATTCATTTCATTGCCAAGATCCTTTGAGGCTCCCAAATCATTTCTTCATATGACCAGTCCCTCAAGACTTGTGGAATCATTGGGGTCATGCAGAAATGGAGGCTTAGAAAAGTTAAGTAACTTACCCAAGGTCATAGAGGTAGTAAATGGTAGGATTGGAACTCAGACACAGTTAATCTGGTTTAGAGTCTATGCTCTCAGCATTACTCTTATTCTGGGTTATTAATAATTGTTGTTTTGACTGTTGTCATTAGAATTGTAATTTATGACCTTTACTAAGAACTTGCTATATGCATTTTCTCACTTCATCCTCTGATATCTATATTTCTTCATAGCATTTAATGCTGCCCGATGTTATATATTTAATCACTTCCTTTCTGTCTTCCCCATGTGACTGCAAGCTTCTTTGAGACTGATTCTGTTTAGTTCATGGCTTTAATTATGGCATCTGGAATATAGTAGGTGCATTGCATATGCTTGCTGAATGAATGAATCCACTAGAGGCCACAGTGAGCAAAGAAAAACCGATTTCAACCCTTCTGAGTGCCTGGTCCAGGATGGATGAACAGACATCCTGGGTGTGACAGAAGGGGAGGAAGCTTAGGGAGTCACGGTGGCTGTTAGCCAGGGCTCCAGCCTGGTACCAGACCTCATTGAATTACCCTCATTGCACAGCTGGGAAAGAGGGACAAAGCTGGAGGGAAGGGCCACAGGACTGAAAGCTGTGACATCTGGAGGGACAAGCTTCCATGGGGCCTTCCCCCACTCCCACTCCCCACTCCATCTTGGCACAGCAGGCCACACATCTGCCTCTTCCTTGGGATTTCGAGGGAAGGGCATCTTCTTCCTGCTCAACAGAGGAGACTTCTGACCTTCAGCTGATCCCTGCCCACACACTCCCTTCTCTTTCCTGCCAGGTCTCCCCAGAGCTTGGATTGCAACCAAACACCCACCTCCTAGGAGGGGTCTTTCGGTCATTCTTGTCCCTTGACGGATTTGTTGAAATTCCAAATAAACTCCTGTACGAATTTCAGGAGAGTTACTCTAAAGCTGCGTGCAGGGATAGATGTGTTTGTTTGGATGCCTCACAGGGGCATCAGCACCTCCTTCAAGGTGTGGTTATTGCCAGTTGCCTCTGGGCATGATCTACCATCATACACCCCAGCACTTCATTGACATTACTTGTCATTCTGTTGATGAAGCAACCTCCTGGAGCTGGAAAGAACTATCTTTTCAAACATAGTAATGAATTACAATTCTCCCGCTGCCCCAGGAACCTGATGGGTCCATGCAGGGATTCTGAAACTGTTCTCTGAGGCCCTAGAGGACAGAGGTGTCCCAGGAGCTTGGGGGTGGCAGAAGGTGAAGGGTAATGGGGAATTCTGGCCTCCTCCCCGCTGCTGCATTCTGAGTAGCCTTTCTTTGTTCTGTTTTGTATGTTGGATTTGAGTATATGGTATATGAAAAATCACATTTTGAGGCAAACAAAGAAACTGCTATTGAAGCGCATGCCGCATGGAATTCCTCTGTGCCTTGCTCTCTTCTGCAAGGGTGGACACCCCAGCATTGACGGGTAAATGGTTTCAAGGATGCGTGTTGGATGCAAATCCAGCATGGTTCCAGCTTCAGCATTTGTTGATGGGTTGGAAGGCGTCCCCAGGTGAGACTCCCCTCCTGCATCTCCTTTTCTGTTTCAGGAGCCATCTGCAGGAGCTGGAGAGGTCCTACTATCCATCAGCTACCTCCCGGCTGCCAACCGCCTCCTGGTGGTGCTGATTAAAGCCAAGAACCTCCACTCTAACCAGTCCAAGGAGCTCCTGGGGAAGGGTGAGTGAGATGTGAGAGGATGGCCAAGGCCCCTCCAGCTACCGGGAGTGTGTGCTGAGGGAGGTGGTGCCTGGGAGGAAATGGTCACAGGTAAGCAGGGAGGTGGAATATGAGCACATCTACGGAGCCATGCTCAGCGGTGTTCTTCACCCTAAGTTCACAAATTGATTTTCGAGGACACACTCACTTCTATGAGTTCCCATCCATTTACTCTTGGATCAATCCCATCCATTAGGACCCCAGTGTGAGCTACCTGGGGTTCCCTACCTTGGAGATCCACTATGAGAACCATCAGCCCTAACCACAGAGCACAAGAAGCCAAGGGTCAGACTATAGCCGTGGAGTGAAGGGCCTGGGCTGTCGGGAAAACTTGGCCCAGCCCTTGTCACCCACACCTGGCTGGACCCACCTTTCAGGCAGATGTCAGGAAGGCCAGGTTATTCCCCTCCTGTCTGAACTCACCACCACTGCACTCCTGCCACCCACCCCAGTCTCTTCTCTCTTCTCAGCCTTTGCCAACTGCCACCCTCACACCAGCTGAGTGTGGGTGATGGCAGAAGGTGTGTGGGTACATGGGCTGAGGCCTGAGGCTTCAGGCGTCTGTGCCCCATATACCCAAATAAGCTTTTCTGCAACACCCTGGAAGCCTCAGTTTTTCCTTCTGGATACCCCAGCCCAGGTCCAGCATCTCGGAGACCAAAACAAGCTCTCCTATATGAGCAGGAAAGCATCCTCAGCTAGCCAGATAATACCTGGACTGGAAGCCACATGCGCCTAGCAAGATATAAATAAGTCTCTATTTATAGCAGGGTACAAATAAAGAATTGCCACTGCATTCTGAATTTCGAGCAAAAGACTTGGGGCTAATGGAATCAGAAGAGTTGGTCTTGCTGGCAGGTTCCTGAGTCAAAGGTCAAAGTTCAATGCTTTTATCTCATTCCCTTTAGACAATTCTTTGCTTCTTGCTCTCTTTTATAGCTCCTGTCAGGACAATTACAGTACAACACTTCGTCTCTCAACTCTCTCTGTAGAAATAACAAACTAACCTCCCAGAGGTGATAATTACAGCAATAAATACAAAGTAACAATTATTCTCACATTAGCTTTGGAAACATTGACTAAGTAATCCAGTCCAGCCTTGTGATGTGACATGAAAGCTCGCCTGGTGACCTGTTTGTGGATTTCCTTGGGGCCAGCTCTCTTGGTGCAGTGCCCTGGGTTTGGGGGAGCGTGCAGGAACAGGCAGTCTGCCTTCATCCCTCTTCCACATGAAGTTGGGGGTCTTCAAATAAAACTTTAAAAAGTACGGATGAGAAGAACTCAACCAACCAGCAGGGGATCTCCTATTTTGATAACAGACAAACATGCTTACACCAAGAATCAAGGGGATGAAGAGTTGGGAGCTGGCTTCATTTTTCTGGTCTGAGTTTAAAATCCAGCTGCAGGACCCCTGAGCTGTTGTCATGGACCTGGTTTGATGTGAGGATATGAAGTCATGTAGCAAAGGTGGTTCCCTCTTGGTACTCTAACATGCCCCAATCACAGGCCACCCAGTGGCCAGCCTTCTATATCATGGTATTGGCCGTTTCCTACACTTTAGTGTCAGTTCTATGGAGGCAAGAACTTCTGCTGCATCCCCACTTCTAGACCAGTGCCTGCCATAGGGTAGGCACTTAATATTTGTTGAATGAATGCATGGCCTAGTGGGGGAGTGGAGAATAATCCCCAATGCAAGGAAATGAAAGCATCCTGGATCGACTCCTAGAGTTATAGATTGTCCGGGTGGGATGCTTTCCTGCTGGTATAGCAGAGCCTTCTATGGTCACATAGACTTGGGACCTGTGCTGGGGTATCCAGAAGGAAAAACTGAGGCCTCTAAGATGTTTGGGTATATGGGGCACAGATGTCCGAACTCTTGAGCATCTTTCCAGCACCAGGAGGGAGCTTTGTCCTGGGCCCTGCCAGATCCCAGAAACTCACTCTTGTCCCTTCTCTCTGTCTCTTTTTCCCCTCTGCCCCTCCCCAGATGTCTCTGTCAAGGTGACCTTGAAGCACCAGGCTCGGAAGCTGAAGAAGAAGCAGACTAAACGAGCTAAGCACAAGATCAACCCCGTGTGGAACGAGATGATCATGTTTGAGCTGCCTGACGACCTGCTGCAGGCCTCCAGTGTGGAGCTGGAAGTGCTGGGCCAGGACGATTCAGGGCAGAGCTGTGCGCTTGGCCACTGCAGCCTGGGCCTGCACACCTCGGGCTCTGAGCGCAGCCACTGGGAGGAGATGCTCAAAAACCCTCGCCGGCAGATTGCCATGTGGCACCAGCTGCACCTGTAACCAGCTGCCCAGCTGCCTCCCTTCTTGGACAGCCCTGACCCGTCCTCTGCAACCTCCTTTCTGTGCCCCTTTCCTCATTCTGACACCCAGAAGACAGTGACAGATGTGTTTGCAAGGCTGGGATGGCTCTCTCATCATACTCTTGTTTCTTAGAAATAAGCAAGACAGAGCAGGAAATGGAATATGCGGGTCACACTGAGGAATGCATTTTGCTCATCTGTGTTATTGAAGGAGGTGCTTATTAAATACAGTTCCTATGCCTGTTTTATAGGTGGGGTTAGGCCAGATGCAGAGAAAGCTAAATGTGGGAATCATGGATGCAAAGAAGAATTTGGCTTTTTGAAAAACAAGCATTTCAAAAATGATGAAGGAAGTGAAAGTATCCTGGATCAACTCCTAGAGTTAGAGATTGCCCAGGTGGAAAGAAACCTTAGCCAGCGTTCAATCAAGCTCACCATGCAGGGCAGTCACCCGGCAGTTCTCAAACTTTAGCATGTGAAGAGTCACCAGCAGATTCCTGGGCTCGCCTGGAGACATTCCTAGTCGGTATTCCTGGTCGAAGCCCAGGAGCCTTCCTTTTTAACAAGCTGATGTAGAGGGTGGAGCACTGTATGTGGAGAAATTCCTTCTACAATATTCCACACAGGTTTTTGGCCACAGTCCTTGATGGAGTCCCAAAACCATGGTGCAGCCAGTTCCAATGCTGGACACCTCAACCATCAGGGTGAAATCTGGGGCCTCAGCTTTTTAATTTAATTATTTTAATTCTTAATACTTTAATTTGTGCATTTCATAAGCCCCCTGCTCTTGGACTGAATTTTGTGCTTTTTATTGAAGAATTTTATTGTTTTTATCTTAAAATCAGTTTCTATTATCCTTGGGGAGACCATCCCTAACAAAGTACAGGTGGGATCTCCTGTGAGTCATTGGCTGGGTTCTGATTGCTAGATGTCACACCCACCAGCATCACCAAAGTGACTCTGAGATAGACCGGTCCCTTCTCAGCGTTCCAGTCACTTCAGGAGGAATTTAGTTATTGACTTAGTCTATGACATCTGGCTACATGTAGGTAGAGAAGAAAGATAATTTTAAAAAGGAAATCAGGTCTTTTGCAACTGTGCCTCCCTCTGTCTGTTTTCACTTGAATGGGTAAATAACCAGCAGCTAGGTTTTGAATTCCTACCTTGTTATTCTAAACAGATGTCCACATTGTTAATTAAATCTAAATTATGAGCCTTGCTGAGTGGATACGGTACTTACACCTGAACCAGGATTCCTGGGTTCTGTTGTTGACATTGCCCTTCAGCACCTGTTTGGCCAGCTGTGTAAGATAGGACTAATGACTAGGAAGCCTACCCCAATGAATGATATACTAGATGAAATAGTGTTCAAAACCTGTAGGCACTCTCTGGCTAAAAACAAACTCTGAGGCCACCAGCAGATCATCTTTAAGCTAAGTTACTATTTTTCACCTTTTTTTTTAGACGGAGTTTTGCTCTTTGTTGCCCAGGCTGGAGTGCAGTGGCACGATCTCGGCTCACTGCAACCTCCGCCTCCCAAGTTCAAGCGATTCTCCTCTCTCAGCCTCCTGGGTAGCTGGGATTACAGGTGCCCACCAACATGCCTGGCTAATTTTTGTACTTTTAGTAGAGATGGGGTTTCACCATGTTGGCCAGGCTGGTCTTCAACTCCAGATCTCAGGTGATCTACCCTCCTCGGCCTCCCAAAGTACTGGGATTACAGGCCTGAGCCACCGCGCCCGGCCTATTTTTCACTTTAATTTGGCAGCTGAGAATGCCCAGAAAGTGCCAGAAGCATCGTGGCATTTCCAGAACCATGGATTCTGCCTTTGGACCCCTCTCTATTAATATTAAAACTCTGGGCCTTCAGATGTCACCCTAATCCACTTCCCTAAGACAGAATTTCTGGACAAGATGGGTAAGGGCTTCATTCCTTCAACAAGTCAAGTCATACTTGGCCTCTCCCTGAGAATCTGAGCAGGAGCCTTATAACCTGTGGTCATTATTTTTTCTTTCTGTACAGAAATAGAAAAGCATTAGAAATAACTTCTAACCATCCTCTGAAAAAACAGAAAAAATATCGAATCCCTCTTTCATGAGAAGTCTTTTGGATAATTGGAAACCTTCATCACTGAGGTTGGCCAGCCCCTGCCAAGTGTTGTGTAGGCAAAGCACTTGTTAGTGGCTTCCTATGAAATGTTTTAGAGATCTCTTCACCATACTGGTTTCTTCTCTTTGGTTGGTGTGGGTAAAAGAAAACAAAACATTTCCTATAAGCTGAAAGCTGACCAGCATTCTCTTCTTGGTAACATCTACTACTCCAATCTAGAAAATTTGGATTCTAGACCAAAAATCAGGAAACATGGCTCCTTATAAATCTGTGCAGCTGCCTTATAGTACCATCAAAGGAATTTCAGGTGGGCTGGGCGGGGCCCCGATCCCAGAATTATCAACTCCACCCATCATCATTTGGTCATGAAGCATCCTTTCATTCTTCTTCTTCTTTTTTTTGGGGGGGCGGGGCGGGGGAGGGATCTCAAAGTTTTAGTCTTCCAGAATCCAAATTAAAGGTTGCCCCTGATGGGGGCCAGGTTCCGCCACAGAACATCTTAGATGTCAGCCTTGACCTCACTTAGCAGGGATTACAGAAATGAGATACATTTTGAAGGAGAGTTGTCTGTTATGTTCACTGTATTCTAAGTGCCTGGGATAAAGCTGTCTCATGGGTGCTCCATATATATTCATATATATTTGTTGAGTGAATTAATGAATTAAGAGTGGCTGGCAGAGTAGGCAGAAAAAGACACTGCAAATGGCATAAAAATTAAAGTCCTAGCTGAGTTCTCAATGGTAAAGGCATCAGATGTCTTAGCAGTCAAGCTAGAAATTCATGACAATGAGTATTACTATTTGCCTAATGGCAACTCATTGCTCTCCATGTAAATGTAATCAACAGATGAAGAGAATATAATTGCTCTGCTTTTCCACTAAAACTCCATCTTAGTGAATTTTAAATTATCCAGAGATGTCAAACTGCCAAATAAAAATATTTCAGTAGTCTTTGCATCAGCTTACCTTGTACCAGAAACATTTCCAATTTACTATCAAATTATAGTAACTGAGCCTGTGTGAAGTATCTCATCATTTTCGAAAGGAACACCTTGTGTGATGCCAGTGAGCATTTCTAAAAAGGGTGTGAGGTAGAGGTAAAAATAAGGTGAGAGACCATTTCAGAATGCACTGTTGCTCAAAAAGGTGATCTGGTTCTTTCTTCAGAGATTTCTACGGGGATAGAAAATCGGGAGTCTGCCCTCATTAATCTGTGATTCCACCTCTTGCACCAAATCAATATCTATTTGTTGAGCACTTATTGATTAAGACCTTGCATATGTCTGTCCATTTTGATTTGAGATACAACTTTTTGTGTGGGTTGAATGACAAATCACTCCAAACAAAGCTGGGCACAGAGAATCAGCTAGGAGACCAGTTATTCAGGGTCCATTTCTCTTGGATGTAAAGGAGTCCTGGGTAAAATGTGGCTGTAACCTAAACCAACTAGTCCTTGTGATTTGTTTCTGCCCTCTGTGTTTCCTGTTGTCAAATGCTAAGTGTGTGTTTTGCAGTCATGAACTAAAGCACAAAAAGATGCATGAGACATTGTAGTCATATGTCTGGTGTGACACTTTGGAGCAAAAACCTTGCAGTGGTAAATAAAAAATTTCCAACAGGGTCAGCTGCCTGGTGTTTTCTTTTTTTCCGTTTTACCTAATATTTTGGCATATAAAATGCAGAAGAAATCATCTGATAAGCACTTATGAGCCACTGCCATGTTTAATAAAACTTGACAACTACAATTGAAGTACCCTCAGTGCCCTTTACTCAGAAGACCATGACCTTGGATTTGGGGTTTATCATCCCAGGCATTCCCTCATACTTTTATTACATGTCTCTGTAAGCCCTGAGTTCCATAAAGTGTTTTTAAACTTCATTTAAATTGTATCACACTATTTTCACTCAACATTAAATATTTCAGTTTCATCTGTGCAGACACATGCAGCTCCAGTTTATTTCTTTTTCACTGATGTATGATATTCCATTGTATGGATATGCCACAGTCCTATGCAGTTGATGTATATCTACATGTTTCTTTTTCTTTTTTTTTTTTTTTACTGTTACAAGAAATGCTGCTATGACATTCCTCTGCATGTCTCCTTGTGCGCTTGTGTGAGTTTCTCTAAGATATATACCCAGGAGTGAGTCATAGAGTACTCTGTGCATGTGCATGTGTGTGTACCTTGGTGGCCTTGCTTGAGTACTGAATCAAAGAGGCTACATACAATTAGGAATGCCAAGGTTGGGTGAAGCTTTTCAGGGATTTGGCTTCATTGCTGGGGAGAAAAATTTGGTGGAAACTACTAACTTCTCTTTCTTTAACATTCCCCAAAGAAATACTCCATCAATGGAAGGGTCTAGTAGCAGCCAGTGGTACTCATGAACTCCTGGTGGCAAGCAGGGACAAGGGCACTCCTGGAGTCCTGTCATCCTAAGCCTTCCTGGTGGCCACTACAGCCCTGGCCTCTGGAGGAAGAGGGATTAAGCAAGGGGCAGAGCCTGAATTTTCAAGCTAGTAGAAAATTAGCCAGGTCACACAGAATTAAAATAGAAGGTTCTTAAATAGGATAAACAATCCATAAAGAAAGCCATGAGATGTCGTTGCTTTCCAAGTCTGCACATAATTCCCTATTTTATATTATGTATACACATACATTCTATTGTAATGGCAACTAGCATTTAAATTTTCATAATAAAGTAGGATCAGTTGGTTTTATCCCACATAGTCGAATGTTATGCAGACTATGTTTCACAGGTAACTATGAATATGGCCCACCTGAACCCAAAACTCATACTTAAGAGTCTGGATTGATGTAAAAGAGAAATGGAAGAGGGAAGCAGAGTTCATGAGTCACTTTATACATGGACTTTCCATTGAAATGCTTCGAATAACAAGCACTGTTCCTGCGTATAAAATTGACTCATGTCTAGAGCATTGCCTCAGAAGCTGGGAATCTGCAACCCGGCTTGGCTTTGTGACTGACCACTGTAAAATGAATTTGGAGCAAATGATCACTAAGGCTCCTTCCAGCTTTAACATTTTGTGATTCTATGACCTAGACTGTCAACAGCTTTGGCTCCTTCCAGCTTTAACATTTTGTGATTCTATGACCTAGACTGTCAACAGCTTTTTTTTTTCTTTTTTAGACAAGGTCTGGCTCTGTCACCCAGGTCAGAGTACAGTGGCACAATCTAGGCTCACTGCATCCTTGACCTCCCAGGCTCAAGCAATCCTCCCACCTTAGCCTCCTTAGTAGCTGGGACCACAGGCACATGCCACCACACCCGGCTAATTTTTTGTATTTTTTGTAGAGATGGGATTTTGCTA
Organism: Homo sapiens; assembly: GCF_000001405.40. Taxonomy (NCBI): domain Eukaryota; kingdom Metazoa; phylum Chordata; class Mammalia; order Primates; family Hominidae; genus Homo; species Homo sapiens. The sequence goes on along the minus strand of NC_000011.10, from coordinate 45,238,591 downwards.
CGTTTTGCCCAGGCTGATCTCAAACTCCTGGACTCAGGCGATCTGCTCACTTTGGCCTCCCAAAGTACTGGATTACAGGTGTGAGTCACCACACCCAGCCAACAACTTACTTTTTACACATACCTTTAGCCTTCTATCTTGTGCATAAAACAAATTAAACCTACATACATGTGTACTTGCCCTCCCTGCCCCATGCCTGCCTGGCAATGTCCCCCGGTATCTCCTGACACTCCCTCCTGACAGCTACCCACTCCTCTAGACAACCTGAAATGGCACCTGAGGCTTCAAGTCAGCCTCTTCTCATTTGCTTAATTGCTAATGGAGCTGGTGGTAATTTTCCATCCAAGAGTTTCATTTTTTTTTTTTTTAGAGCCAGTTGGAAGCATCACCATTTCAGGAGCTCTGAACTCTAGCATCTGTTCTGTCTCCCTCCTGAGGCAGACGCCTGGCAAGGATAAAGCCACAGGATGTGGCTGTGGATGGATTTAGGGAGCTGGGCATTTTCTTAGTCCAAGTGTTGGAGAACTGTCCCCTTGCTCCACTTCCTCATCTCCTGCAGGTGAGCCAGCACAGATGGCCCCTGGCAGGGACCTCAGCAGCTTCCTCAAGCCAGAGAAGAAGACCCCTACCTTGGAGGAGGATGGGAGGAAGCCAGACTTTCTCCCAGATAGGCGCCTCCATCTCTAGAAGCCAGACGTTGCCATGGAAACTGAGCTACTGGTGGCCACTGTGTGATTTGGCCCCTGTGCTCGCTCATCCCCAGCCAGGTTTGGTCTCCTGTCAGTGCAGCCTATCCATGCTAGGGCATATAGTTCCCCAGCTCAGTTTCCCAGTGCCCTTTCTTGGTGTTTCAGGACAGCCTGTTGGCAAGTGAGCAATGGCAGAAATCCTGTTTCAGAAACCTAGGGATTACAACCAGGGACAAGCAAGGAGGAACCTGCTTTTCTAGCCAGAACAAACAGAACCTCTCTGCAGTCCCTTTCTCGGGGGCCAGGTGAGATGAGCTGCAGGAAGCAGAACAAGGTGCCCTGAGGATCTCTCTGAGAGGGGAATGGTGATTCCCATTTAGGTAGAGGCATCCACGCCAGTTGAAGATGTAAGTGGCTCTGTATTAAAAGTCACCCCAGGCAGCCCCAGGGATTCTGGATGAAAGAGGATGGCAGCAGGAAACCTTGACGCTTCCTAGCACCTCATTCACCCTGATCTTAGCGGTCGCAATGAGGATGATAATGATAATCAGCACCTAGTAAACCATGGCTCTGGGCTAAGCACTGAAGAGATAGAATAGGATAAGTGACTCATCCAAGGTCCCATAGGTTGAAAGAGGCACAGGAGGATTTCAGTCTGGGACGGTCTAAACCTAAAAGGTCTAGGCTCTGGGGTACAGCCAGTAGCCCAGGGTCTTTATTGGAAGATCACTTACATGCATAGGCAGTAGCTTAAAAATGCTACTTGGAAGCATGAACTCTGAGAATCACCAAGCTGGAAGGAACTGGAAAAGTTCTCTTTCCTATAGGAACTAGGAGGCACCTGGCTGGATTGGGCAGAACATTGTCCAAGGGGCAAGAGCAAGTTGGAATGGAGGGGAACTCAAGTGAGTACCATGGGAACAACCTCCAGCTTTGTGGAGTAGGGGCTGGGTCAAGGTTAGATGCAACCAGAGGTCAGGCGCAGGGTCTTTCTGATCAAGGAAGGAAACCAAGATAGAGACAGGCAACATGGAAGAACCTAGGACCTCAGCTGTGACCAAGACAGCATTGCAGGAGTTGCACTTCTATCAGGAGTGGCTTAAGTTCATTCACCCCTTCAATACCCACTGATTAAATGCCCACTATGTAGCTTTTCCCTTGTGGGTGTTACCATATGGAAGGGGAAGACGGACATAAAACAATCTCTGTCTTTCTCTATCTCTCTCTGTCTGTCTCTCTCTCTCTCTCACACACACACACACACACACACACACACACACACACACACACAGAGTAATTATACAGTTTAGATAGGCTGGCCAGGAAAGACCCCTTTGAGGCTGCATTTTAGATGAGACCTAAAAGAGGAGAAGAGTTCAGTCATGTAACCATCTGGGAAAGCTATCCCAGGCAGGGGGCTCATGGCATCAGAGGATCCCGAGGTAGAAAAGAGCTTAGTGAGTTGAAGGCAGTGTGGCTGGAGCCCAATGCAGGGGAGGACAAGATGAGGCTGGGAGGTAGGCAGGGCTGCACTGTGTGGGGCTGATGGGTCATAATTAGGAGTTTGGATTGAATTATAAGGGTAATGGGAAACCAGTGGAAGGTGTTAGGCAGAGCAGATGCCATGACTGAATCTAAGTTTTAAAAGATCATTCTAGAAATTGTTGCATGGTAGCCTTTCAGGTCTTCAGGCAGCTGGTCATTCTCCTAAGTCCTCTCTGGGTTGGACTCAACTTGCCCTTGAATCTTGGGGAAGGAGGGACAGGAGAAGCTGGGGAAAAGAGGGAGGAAGGGAATGGAATAGACCTCACCTCCTTATCATTTCCTACAAGCCCCACTTTGGGGAGACCAATTTCATGGTGAAGTGCAAATGGGGAGTCTTTCCTTCCCTTGCTTCCTGGTGATGAAATCATTAACATGTTCCAGATACTGCTGCAAAGGTGGGTCAAATCTGTGTAGCCCAGCATGGGGGCGGGCCTGAGCCTGGTTCACTTGGGCTGATTTGGTGTGGACAGCTATGTCTCTTTGCTCCTTCTTTCCCTACACCTCCTCTGGGAAGAAGAAAACTAGACTGTTCCATGGGTCTGTAGAGTGGCTTTCACAACAGGAGGCCTCTGAGTGATCAACCACGGGAAGGAAGCCTTCAAGGGCTGGGAGGAAAATGGCAGAAGACAGAGGTTAAGAAAAAGGAACTAGGAAGGCTCCTAAAAGGAAGACAAATGGGCAGGGCAGGGAAACTGGGAGTAGGAGGACCGAGCAGCTCAGGAGGAAAAAATTAAAACATATTATGTGTCTTCACTGGATTTATACTAATTTTTGTAAAACAATGTGGGGAAAGCATCACTCATCACCCTTATACCAGTGCCAATGACAAACCATTGAGGAAAGACCCTTCTCCAGGGACAGGTCTGCAAGTAGAGAACCATGCCAGACAGCTTGAGGGAGAATGAGAACAACAGTTTATCTGCAACAGCCCTTGTGTGCTGCCTCCAGGAGATTCTTGTGGGATGAATGCATATGGGGGCAGAGAGATTTATTTTAAACGGTTTCGGTCACACCTCTTTTGGCCTGCCTGGTGGGCGAGGCACGTAGGTTACTTGCTGGAAAGAGACTCTAATGGGGGAACAATGAGAGCAGCAAGAAGGGGCTAGTGGCCTCTTCTAGTTCCTTCCAACCTGGCAGCAGGCAAGCTCCTATTCTGACACCTGAGCCCTTGTGGTGGGGCCCGTTCTGAGTCAACCAGAGCACAGGCCGGGGATAGAGGCAAGGAGGCAGCAATTCAACAGTGGTGAGTAAATTTAAATGCTTTTATTAACAATCTTCTTACATTACAAGGATAATATGACAAAAAGAAAGTTTCTGCGTACATATTATGATAAACCAACATAGCTCTATTTGTATCCAGTGTTCTAGGTCCCGTCACACAGGTACTATAAAGCGTAGTCTGCAAAATAATAACATCAAGAGGTTTTTTTTAAAGAAAGTATTAACATATTAATATGTATGTGATAATAGACTCCTAGGTATTTCCCCCCATCCCCACTTATTTTTCCTTTGTGATTGACATGAAAATGGTTCAGCAGCGTGGGGGTGGAGAAGAGAGAGACGGGGGCTGAAATAGACGGAATCAGACTGCTGGTTCTTCCGGAGAGACAAAAGTGAAGACTGAGAGGTGCCCGAGGGCAGCCTGGCCTTTGTCTTTTGGTGAGCAGTATTGTGACCGCTGTCCCCCTCTGGACAGAGGGCTCGGTCCCTTGGTGCCCCTGGCGTGCTCTCTCTCTGAGGTACAGTGCATTGTGGGATTGCTACCTGGGGATGCCCATCCCCTGGCCGTGGGTCTAGTCCACTGCAGTGGGAAGAAGGCTCGGCCCGGCCTGGTCTCTCTTGAGCCAGGTACTGGAGGGTGTCCCAAGACCCAGTTGGCAGCTAACTGTGGCTCAAGGAGGTGGGCATTGGCAGAACAGACCCGCCCTGGGCTGCAGGTGGAGGGGTGGGCCTGCTGGAGACTGAGGTACTTGTAGGATGGTGGGGAAGAGCAAGACAGGGGCAGAGGAGGCTCAGGATGGGAGCAAATGCCCCTTCGGACCCCAAAAGCAGAAGGCTGGTCTGGAGAGAGGGAGCATGCAGCTGCCCTTGCTCCATCATCTGGTGCCTGGTCAGGCCCTCTCTCCTACCTCCAGGAGGAAAAAAACAGAGAGAGGAAACTGCGAGCAAATGGGCTTCTGGGTCCCGTCAGGGCTGCACAAGCCCTCTGTCATGCTGCCAGCTTGCACCAGTGCCCCCGCGTGGCCCCCAGACATCCCCGCCCGGCCCGGGCTAGGAGCTGGTGATAAACCCAGGGAGGGGCCCTCCCCAACGAAAGTGGATGAGCTTGGGGTATCCCAGCTCAGCCTCTGCCTCAAGTCACAGAATGCGAACAGTGTATGTGAACTAAACCTGCCTGTTACGGCGGGAGTGGGGTAGGGGCCACGGGGCCTCTGTGAGGGAGGGGGAACAGCGTTGTCCTGAGTACAGCCAGCAGCAGCTGCTGCGCGGAGCGGGCTGGGCCAAAGCCCTGCTTCTGGACTGGAGTAGCCATTGAATTTATGAGTGTGCAGATATGTCTCTCCCACCGTTTCCTGCTAGCTGATGCCCCCTGCCCTGGCCAGAAAGCCTGTGGATGGTGGGCAGCGCTGCCTGGCGATGCTCATGCTGCCCACATCCTCTCCTCCTGACAGTGGTTGAGCAAGTGAGGGAGGCCAGGACGGCTGCACTTCAGGGGCTTGGCCTCTAGGGGCAGCAGAAGCATCTAACAGGGCAGGGGCGGTATCTTTCCTGGACCAGCTCTTGATCCAGTTTGGACCTTTCCTATTGCCACTGACGCTGCTCAGTCCTGGTGCGGGAGGGTTTTGAAGGAGTTTGTGCAGTGGTCCCTCCACCAGGAGTCAGAGACCACGTCCTACTGCCAAGCAGCAGTGACCGCCTAAGCGTGGGCTGTGGGGGTGGGGAGAGGTAGGGGGCACCTCAGCTGGAGCTCAGGGGGTATCTCCTTCCAACCTCAGACCAAGCCTGTGGAAAAGGAGAGAAAGTGCATGGAGCGAGCCGGGACCCAGCCACTCTCCTCTCCAACACTCCGGGTAGGAGGCCCCCTTGCCAGCCAACCCTGCCTGCTGGCCTTCCCCGGCTCCCTCTCCGAAGGCCGTGCTCCCTTCCCCTTTGCACAGCACAGCGCCAGGCTTCCCACTGCTCTCCCAGCTCTATAGACTCTATTTTTATATCTATTTAAAACATAGAAATGTATAAATATATAGGATATTATTTATAGATATATAGACGTGATTTACTCTCTTACTCTGTGTGTATACGTACTGTATATGTCCATATATACAACATATATGCTGTAGCATCTGTATTCTACACTGCACATACCCCTGCTTCCATGCACTCTCTCCTAGGGAGACTGGATTGCATAGGTATTTCCAGGGTGATACCACTTGAGGGGGTGGGGGGGAAGGGAGTGCCAGATGGAAGTGGAGGGGCGTACCATTTTCCTCCCAAAAGGGCACTTTTTCTCCCTCTGGCTAACATGCAAACATTGCCTGAAAGGCTCCTTAAAAATATCACAGCACCATCCACTCAGCTCAAGCACCCTAACCAACAGATGGCAAGAGAAGGGCCCCCACCAAGTGGGAGATGGGTTTCCCTCCAAGCAGGAGAAGGGCCGTGCCAGTCTCTTGGGTCCTCCTGAGGACTGAGGAAGAGGCCAGACTAGAACCCATGACACGGCACCACCTCCCCAGAAGACTGGTGTCTGGAATGGGCACACCACTGCCCTCTGAAAACCCCTTTCTTGTCTGAGGAGGACTGGCCTGCCTGTTTCAGCTGTTTCAGCCTGGCCTGGCTAGATCTGCCTCTTGAAGCAGGGAGGGGGCACAAGTCCAATGCCTTCTGCCAAAATTGGACCTATGGGCCAAGAAAAAGCATGAATTCGACTTGGAAATCAACCCAGACTGAAAGCCAAAAGCAGACCTAGGTCTAGAACTCCCATTCCTAGAGGGGGTAGAAGGAAAATGAAAGGGGGGATCCAGAAGAGGGAAGTTATACTTCAACCCCTCAGGCCACCTCCTGGGTCCCATCAGGCTCCAGGTGATCAAGTAACATGGCACCAGCCCCTCAGTGCCGGCTGGGCCAGGGCTGTGGGCCCACAGTAGGGTCTCAGCTATTGTTTCCAGCCTTCTGCATGCTTTCCCCCCTGTTGGCACCACCTCCAAATGAATGGAAAACATTTAAACATTACCTTAAGTAATTACAAGGTACTTTTCCTAAATTAAAGGGTTGGCATAAGCAACTCAAGGGGAGGACCACCTCAGCAAAACAACTCAACTTGGAAACATGTGGCAGAGGCTGAGGTCAGAGACCCCCAAGTGCCATAGATTCCAGGGCCCAGCACTGAACCTTGCCATCCAGGGACCCTGGAACTTGAGCCTGCTCTCAGTCCCAAGTGAGGATGGGGAAATGAGGATGTGCCTAGCATCACAAGGTGTCATAGGCCAGTCATTAGAAAAATTAAATTAAATAAGGCTGCTGTTTCTGATGCCTGGACTCTCATATTCAACCAGGCAGGCAAAACTTGGGGATTCTGACATGGCAAGAGTTACAGACTTGACTGCGCTGTCCTCATGTTTCACAGATACTAGATGGCAGTGGATTTTTTCTTTGTCCTCCATGAAGGAAAAGCAGATCATATTAATCATAAGGGCTCTGGCTCCCAGGCTCTGCCAGGTATCACCTTGGCACAGTTGGCCACAAACCTGGGCCTCAAGGTTGATCTCACTTCCCACCAACCCTACGAGCCAAAGAAAGTCACTAATCAGCCAGCCCAGTTATGCCAAGTCTCAGCCCCAGAGACACACTTCATTCTAAGCCTGTAGTCATCACTCCTAAGCCAGAGGCTGAGTTAAAGGGCTCTGTCTTGTCTGAAGTAACAACATTTGGGATCCACCAACTGCTTTTCCACAGTTCTGTATACACATCAAGGGGAGATTAGGTTAGCCAAGCATATGCTCCCTGGGCTAGACCCTGAGTGTCCCATCAGTCCAAGTCCTTCTCAAGCAAGCAGAAGAGTGGGAAATGCCTATGACAGAAATCATGGGTAATCACATGCAGAATTCACAGGACAGAAGCACTGGGCCTCCCAGGGAGCATCCAAGCTGAGAAGAGACCCCGTGTAAATTGCAGTGGTGTATCACCCAAATTATTCCCTGTCCCATGGCAGTGTGGCCTACAGAGTGTCTGCCACAGCCCTGGCATGGCTAAATTCAGCAGAAGCCACAAGCACCCAGAGTTTTAGGGATGCCCTAACCTAACTTCAAGACCACCTGAGAGGTTAGCTTTTCCGAGGTCTGGTGGCCAGCTCAGGAAGTGACCCCTGCAGCTGCATGCTGTGCATAGCAGCTCATTCTGCTAGGCCAGAAGTGGGTCACCTGCTCTCAGCTTTCTCAGGAACTACAGGGTAGGCACTGGCACTGGCCCATAAGCTTTTCCCCTTCTAGCTGAAGATTTTAGCTCATTTTGGCCATGATCTCTTGAGAGGAAAAAGAGTAGCTCCAACTGACCAGGTGCTCAGGAAGACACTGGTTCTCTCTTCCTGGTTTTCAAATGAGCGGGAGCCTTAGCCTGCTCCTCCCTACCCATTACCCAATGTAAGGTGTAAGGCAACTGTTGGCTAGAAGAAAGGATCTCAACCTACTGTTTCTGCCCTCACCAAGCCCTGTCTTGCTAGCCATCTCTGCCCTCAACCCTTCTTAGTCTCTGCAATGTTCAGTGAAAACTCCCCAGACACAGCAGTTTGCGTGTGTGAGGGGAGAGGAAGTCCCAAGGCTGGGGCTGGGCCAGGTGGGACCTGGTGCTTTGCAACAGCATCCCATTTGACCACAGTTAGGTTTTGACCCTGATGGGAGGAGCAGATGGAGGGAGACATCAGTTTAAAGTGGGGAAGTGGAATGGGGCTGGGAATCTCAAAGCCTCAGAAGGAGGCTTTCAGCCTTTCCTTGCTAGTTCCTGCTAACTGTCTTCTTGCTCAGAGGAGGGTAGGGAAGCATGTGTGCAACTGGGGTGGGAGGTGGGGTGGATGTCACCAGGCAGGGGTGCATTGATTTGTTGAAGAAGGCAGCATATGAGGCCTGGCAGTGGGACAGTTGGAGGAACCCATTTTTTTTTGTTTTTTGTTTTTTAACATGCTACATCACTGTTGAAAACAAACAAAAATATTTCAAAAATAATATATAATATATATAATATATTTATATAATGAAAAGCTATTGACTAGCAGCAATGATTCTAAAGTTATCTTAGCACCAAGACCATGGAGGTGAAGGGGAAGGGATTGGTAGGGGATGAAGGGACTGGTGGAACCAAGAAAGGGCTATAACATGTTCAGTGTTGATGACATTTCCACTATGGTTCTCAACGGTGGCATGAGGCCTCAGAGACAACATAAACCAAGAAGGAAGGAAGCCACCACAGTTTTATAATGTCTGAACCAAGCAGGCTGAAGACATTGGGGCCTTGCCTGTGGCCAGATAACACCACCCTCTGCCAACCAAGAGATGAAGCTCTCAGCAGAACTGACCACATGTATATAATTCAGATCTTCCTCCCTCCCCCAAAATGACCTGCATCCACGTGATAGGATCTCTGCATATAAAATATGCATAAATCAGATGTAGGAACATGAACAGAAGTTTTTAACAGCTCACGCACATTTTTTAAAACTCCCTTGCGAGGTATACCGGTAGTTAAATGAATGAAAGAGCATTGATCAGACTCCTCTAGTTTAAACCACTACTTGCCCCAGGGAATAGGCAAGTGGCTATTTCTAAAGCTTATATTGTATATTGTGATTGTGTGTGTGTGTGTGTGTCTGTGTGTGTGTGTGTGTCTGTGTGTGTGTGTGTGTCTGTGTAGGCTGATGCCTTGAGAGTCCTCTCTTCTTTTCTCCATTTCTTTAGGACATCTCTACCCTGTTCAAAAAAGGAAGAGTTTACAGGCAGAGACACATTCCCCAGTTTCCTATGACCATGTAGCATGTTATCAGCCTTGTTGCAAAAGGAGGACCACATCTCTACAGACTCTCATTTGAGTTATGCATAACTTAGGGCACAATTTGCATTGACACTACCTGCCACTGAACTATAGCAGGCATTTCTTGATTATTAAAGGAAAAAAAATACCCTCAACACATGATATGATTATAAAGAAAAAGTATAAATAATCCATGTAACTCGAATATGTACTTTTCATTTTCCTTGTTTTTTAGCCAAAAATCACTCCCCTGTTGGGGTCTGGACTTCTTGGCTCTTCATCTCCCCAAAAGCCCTGGATTGGAATGGAATTATATTGTTTTATCCTCCACCTCGTAAAAACAGGAATGCTAAAAGCTTACCCCTTCTCCCTTCCCCAGGATTTCAAGCTCAGCGGTGAGGCAATGTTGCCTTCAGTATAATGGGTAATATTGTGAGTTTCCAGGGGGGGCTGGAAGGAAGGGATCCACAACCCAGGGATGGACGAGGCAACAGAGGTGAGGTGTGGCAGTGTCACAGTTTGACCGACACTTTTGTTTGTAGGACAGTGAAGGAACCCTCATCAGGAAATGAATAAAAAAAGATCTCAAGCTGAAGTCAGGTGGGGAGGGAGAAAGGTCAACCCCCCTGCCTCCCAAATGCAGACAGACAACCCACCCTGACTTAAGTCAGAGATCTGATTCAGCCGGACCAGAATGTCAATGAGGAGGCTGAGGAGCTCCCTCCCATCATAAAACCAAATGAAAAAAGAAAAGGCAAGAACATAAACCCAAACCCAGAGCCCCGCCACCCGCAAATGAAAACATAAACAAAATGAGCTACCTAAAGGTGATGACAGAGACCTGTCATTTTAGCTTATGCTGTTGGTGGACAGTAAGGTGGGAACACAGGAGGCCCCAGCACGTGCTTCTGTGAGTGAAAATGAGTTGCCATGTATGTTGCAGCTGCCAAATTTTGTAGACAAGAGTCAGTTTCCAACATTTTTCCTTTCTGAAATCTCCCAGTGGCTTCTGGTGGACGCGTCACCTTGGTTTTTAAAAATTTTCAGTGTGAGTTTATATATATATATATATATAATATAATATAATATAATATAATATATATTTATATAATATATCAAAGCTTATGAGTATAGATTAAAAAAATATTCAACAGCTTAGTGAACTCTGCAGCGCCAGCTCCCTAAATGTCGGGGTAAAACTCCGTCCCGTGGTCCATGGTCTGTAGTGCTGGCTTCTGCTCCAGCGCAGACATCCTACTGAGGACTTCTGCAGACAGCGCGTAACTGTTCCCAGACTTCTCCTCAAACCAGCTGTCCAGGGCTCGCTTGGCATCAAAGTTGGTGATTGGCGGTCCGTTTACAGCGATTGTCAACAGGTCGCTAAGCTGCTCCAGGGTCAGGCGGGAGCGGTGGTTTTTGCGAACTCGCTGGAGGGCATTGCGGCCTTTCTCGCAGCAAGCGGTGGAAGTGGGGAGGACTTTAAGAACCTGGATGATCTTGTTCAAGAGTGGAAACCTCTGTTTGTACTTGCAAATGTGGCTGATCAGGTCTTTGAAGCCATTTTTGGTGTAGTAATCAGCCTTGAGTTCTCGCCACTCCATCAACAGACTACCCCGGGGGTCCAGCCCTTCCCTACAGACATCCCGGGAAAAGGTCGGGATGGCCTCCAGGTGATCAAATATTTGCACCATATCCTCCTTGCCATAGCTCATCAGCTCCTCACTGCTCCTGGGCCAGGCAGCCAGGTCAAACACCTGGCAGGCCTTCACAAAGATCCGGCTGCGGGAGTCGAACCTCTGAGCCAGGATGACCTGGGTCTTCTGGCAGATCTTCTCCCTGATGGACTGGAACTTGGCTTCAGCCACCCTGAGGTTCTTCATGGCGATCCCGTTGAAGCTCTCTCGGAAATTCTCCTCGAACTCCTGCAGGTATTCTCCCGGGGAGTCAGCCAGCCGGCTGATCTCCTGGATGGCCTCCTCGATCTTGTCATCCACCTGGGACACCAGCAGGTACTCGCCCTGGAAGATGTAGGCCAGACGCGAGAGCACAGCAATCACGTCCAGCAGGAAGTAGATGAGCTTGATGGACTGGTAGTCCATGAGGAACTGCAGCAGGGCCAGTGCGATGGCCGAGGCGTCTGCCCGCTGGGTCTGGCTGCTGACCTCCTTGAGATGGGCCACCACCTCCAGGTAGTCCTTGATGAGAGCGTTGAGGACGTTCTGCTCGCCGATGATCCACCGCACTGCCCGGATATCGCCCAGGAACTCTGTCTCCTCACAAAGGGTGGCCGCCGTGGACCGCAGCTCGCACATGAGGCGCGGTGAGTAGCGGTAGAAGCTCAGCAGCTGCTTCAGGTTGTTCTCCAGCTCCTCCAGGCATGGGAGCTCCTTCCCGCTGATGGCATCCAGGATCTCCAGGTGGGGCCGGTGCACCATGAAGGGCAGGCACAGCAGCCAGGGCAGCGTCTTGCGGATGGTCATGAACATGCTGGCACGGAGGCTGGCTGTGATGTTGGCTCCATCTACACCCAAGCCAACAGTTGGCTTTTCATCCTGCAACCGGATGCCCAAGGCCGAGAAGGCCCGGTCAAGTGCCTGGAGATAGCTTTCTGTGCTAGAGAATCCCAGCTCCTGCAGGGACAGGAACTCTGTGGCCGGGGGCCCATCACTGCTGGTGTACTGAACATAGACAGCCACCGTGTCGGCCAGCAGGTCGTCGCTCTGCCCATCCAGGATGACGCTGAGGCAAGGTGACTGGCGGATGCGCTCCACCAGGTCTTCCCGCAGGGCCCGGGCGATGTGATGGATGAGGATCTGGCAGTCTCCCTCATTCATGTACTGGTCCACCACCTTGAGCTCACACTTCCTCAGCAGCTCCGCCAGGGGCCGGAAGTCCAGGTAGGGCCTGCCCTCCAAGGCCAGGTGGTAGGCGGTGTTGAAGAGCAGGGTCATGTTGCGACACATCTCCTCTGTCTTCTCCGGGTGCATGCGGAGCTTGTACAGTTGCAGGCACTTCTTGTGCAGGTTGCTCTGGCTGTGAAGTTTGATGGTGTGAATCTTAAACTGCTTGGAGCCAATGATGAAGGCCGAGGTGCGTGAGGACTGCACCGTGTACTGGCGGCAGACGTGGCACCACATCTCATTGAGGGTTGGGGAGTACCGCAGGAACCAGAACTTCTTCAGCCATTCCTGCTTAAAGCGCCGGATTCGGCGCCCGGTGGCCGATGACATCTTGGAGGGCTCATCCGTCGCTGTCATCATATCATTGGAGACAGATTCATCTGCTGAATCGACTTCCTGGTCATCATCCTCCATGATGGCGGGGCCGGAGACCATGCTTTCTGAGGCTGAAAAACAAATGGGAAAGAAACATTTATACCTGGGGGAGAAAACAGGCTTTTCCAAAATCCACAGGAAACACTCCTGGAAGGTAGGTGCCACACCATGGGAAACAGAAGTCCGTGGAAGCCTATGATGGATTGAATCCCAGCCCAGAATTAGTTTATGAGCACTCCTGCTTGCCCATGTGACTTTTACTCTCCCTGTGATTGTCCACGGTTGCCTTGTCACACCCACCAGATTTCAGGCTGCCTGCCCTTGCCCTCCATGTGTGGGTGTTTGAGGGATTTAAATGCCCCCTATCAACTGGACAGCTCAAGCTAGGAGAGTAGATCTAATGGAGGAGGAAAAGCACATCACACATTCCAAAGTTATATAGCAAGGACTTGGGATTCATTTGCCCTTCATTAATGTGAACAAAGGCATCTTGGATATGGCCCCAAGTGATTTCAGGATCAAAATGCAGTTTAGTTCAGACGCATGCTTTGAATACAAGAAACACCTCATTCTGAGCTAAGGGATGTGGTTAAAAGAGTAAGTGCTATGTAAACAGTCTCCCTCAGCTGCAGATATGAACTAGAACACCTGCCTAGTTGTCAACCAACTCTAGAAATCCAGGTAGCCAACAGAATAGGGCAAAGCCATGCAGGTGAATGGCCTGGATCCCCTCACTCTCCATCCTTCTAGAACTCCAGGCTAGGGAACTGGGACCATGTGTGGCAGGACAGAGATTCAGGAAGAGAAGAACAAGGCTGTGTTCCTGGACTAAGTTAGGGAAGCCAAGAGATCTCTCCAGTGGGACACCCTGCTTGAGACTGGGGACAGAGAAAGACTGGGTTTAGAAATTGGGCTTTGGGGTAAGACACCAGTACCAGAGAAAGGCAACGGGTCAAGAACACAGCACACACCCCTTCTGCAGCGGAACTTCCTTTATTGACAAGGAGGATACAAGGGCAACACATGGAGCACCTGGCAGAGCTGCCGATGGGTCTGCCAGAGACACTGAGGACCTGGGCTCCCACCCACGGAGGTAGCCGCCTCCACGTTACACTCCTCAGGTCTCCCGGAAGGTGGTTTCCACAGAGAGCTTTAGGCTACCCTCCACACAGCCCACTGCGTACTCTGCCCTCCGACAATAATCTCATCCAAACCAACTTACCTGCAGGGTCCGAGAACTCTGGGAGCTCCAGTACCTGTGGTGGCAATACGGGGGGCTCAGGAAGTTTCCCAGACTTAAGCATGTCTAATTCTGCCTGGAGCTCCCGAACCTTCTTCTTTAGGCGAATACAGTTAGGGCAAAAAGAGGTGGTGGGAAGTTCATGAGGGTCAGATGCAAGGGAGGCCTCGGCAGGACTGTCGGCCTTGAATGATGAAGGCTCCTCTTCTTCATCCTCCAATTGGCCTGGCTCCTTGGAGACCCCCTGGGGGACCTTCCAGTCCCCCTCCCCCTGGGTCTGGCCTATATTCTGCACACCATGGGTCATTGTTGTTGCACACTGACTGTAGGCGTCATCCTGGTATTTGGGGACTTTCCTGATGACCAGTGAGGTGCTCAGGGCCAACTGGTGGGCTTCCACCTTCGCAGATTCCAGTGAGGCCTCCAGAACATCCTTGAAAATCAGGTCAATTTTCTTCTTCTTAGCTTGGGGGTGTACATCCCCCTCATCAAAGCCACGCTTGTAGGGACTTTTGCCCTGTCTCAGCACAGAGAGATGAATGGGACCCCTCAGGTCTTCTGGGTTATCCAGAACCTGCTCAGACTTCTCCCTCTGCAACCTCTTCTCTCCTAGGAAGGAAAACCAGGGTGTAAGGAAATGGGGAAAACCCCCAAATTGGAGAAACCAACAGAAAACAAAGCAGGCCTCCTGTTAGGTCACCTGACACATCCCTCTAGATCTGGGCTTTTGGGGCAAGTGTTGCAAAGGGGAGATACGAATCACTCAGTGGTCCATCAGAGCTAGACTCATAGGACCTGAACGGTGGAAAGACCTTTTAGAAAGAGACAGTTTCCAAGAAGCCTCATGTCTACAAGCTCTACGGTTATAAGTTAAGAGAAATCTATAAGGGAGAGTAATTGAACATTCTTTCCTATGACCCTAGAAAACAACATCCCACTTAATCACACTGGGTGGTGGGAACATACCTCAGAGCCAAGTGAGTATCAACTCCCCCAACCTTTGCAGCTTCCCCTCAGCCCTAGCAATGACAAGATGGCTGCTTCGACTTGGTAAAAGGTACACATGAAACACCATAGGCCTCACTCCTTCCTCCTCCTTCGTTGCTCTGGAGACAGCCTACTTAAGGCAAAGTCCATCCTATGGCAACTGTCCTTTCTAATTCTCCCAGCAATCAGCAGACTAGGAACATGTGAGAAAGCATGATCTGAACTTCTGTTGTTCTCACTGACGACTAAGGGCAGAAGAAAGGGGAAGACAAGGAGACCTATGGCGCTGAGGGCTCCAACATGGCAGCCTCCGACAAGATAAAGGACAAGGTAGCCATAATGACCCAAAGCAGTCAGGAAATATAGCCATGTCTCCTCACTTGGCAATTCAAAGGACGTTTCCTTGCCTATTTCTTTCTATCATGTGAATTACCTCAATTCACTTTGAATTACTTTCAATTGTTTCAAAGACTTTGGTGAGCTCCTGAACCATAAATTATTTTAGACTGATTCCTTGTTTTTAATTTTTATTTTTTGAGACAGAGACCCACTCTGTTGTCCAGGCTGAAGTGCAGTGGTGCTCACGCAGCCTCCACCTTCCAGGCTCAAGTGATCCCCCCACTTCAGCCTCCCAAGTAGCTGGGACTACAGACACAAGCCATCACACCCTAATTTTTGTACTTTTTGTGGAGATAGGGTTTCGCCATGTTGCCCAGGCTGGTCTCAAACTCCTAGGCTCAAGCCATCTGCCCACCTTGGCCTCCCAAAGTGCTGAGATTACAGGCATGAGCCATGGCACCCAGCTAGCCTGATTCTTTAAAAATTACCAACATAGTTTCATAAACTGCCACAGAAGTGCTGATGCTTGCTGGTGAGAGATGCTAAAAAGGCAGAGGAATCTCTTCAGCCCTTAGAGGGTCCTGAAAGTAGCCTATGGAACTCAGAAATCTCAAAGGTTTCCTAGACCAGGTGCAGGGGCCCTAGGTGATGTGCCGCTGAACAATGACTTGAACTAAAACGTACTTAGGCTTCTGATGGCTCCATTTGCAAAAGACTTCTGATTGAAGGCCAAGGGTTTGCCAATAAGCAGTCCAGATGTTCCACGTCTGGTTTCCCATAGCTGGTATGGGTGCTGTGCCCTGCCCCATGTTTGACTTCAGGTTTCCTTTAGGTTACAGCACAAAAGGGAGTTATCTATTCAGGATGCACCTTTTCTGTCCTCACATGAATACCTAAGGAACAACTTTATCTCCAAGGCTTCTGGAACCCAGGCAGCTCCCCACAGCCTGCACTTCTATATCAGCTGAGCTACAGAAAGGGGAGAGATGGAGATAACTTGAAAATGCCACCTGTATGTCTTACAGATCAGATGCAGCACTTGCCCATTGAAAATCTCTAAAAATCAAGAGCCACATTTTCCTTTCCTCATGGGACAATCAGGCAGCAAACAACTGAGGACATCGGGAAATCAAGCCTAGAAATCACCAGAGATTCCTCGTCATTGTTTGAAAACAACGTTGTTCAAATTTCTTAGTATGATCTTTGTGGACTTAAGGCTTTCAGAAAAATCTACAGGCCAAAAGAGACCTTTAAGCATCATGAAATTGGTTCCAAAGCCTCCATACAACATGGAAAACAAAAACAAAGAAAACCTCAAAGTAAATTAGTGAATCAAAGTAGGTCAAATAACATAAATTGTTTGAATGCGAGCTTTAGATGCAATCTATTCTTAAAAGGTAACCACAAAGGAATAGTTTACACTCTCTTCAGGAAGACTTCTGGCAACAACCAATATCCCTACTTAATAAGAACTAATAATTCATGCTCTGGACTCCATCAGGGTGCCTACCTCCAATTACAAAGAAACCTCCTTCTATATAAGACCAAGAGTGATTGGGCATAGGGGATCTCCCTTTCAGAGCAGCAATGGCACACCCATCTGGGACACCACTAACCAGAGTCCGCTGAAGCTACAGGCTATAGAGGCACACATTTAAAAGCCACTGAGCTCCATGACCATTCCCAAGGGCTTCAGGATCACCCACAGCTGTGAAACTGCCCCACTGTGACTTTCAATTTCCTTCCTATTTCTTACTGCTCAGCCTGACCAGGAATAGACCCTCTTCCCTCCTGTATCTTCATATGTCTCGGTGTATCTCCTTTCAAGTCTGTCTGACACGCCTCCTTTGAACCACTCCAGAAAGCTCACACCCTTCTCTGAGCAATCCCCTGTGGTCTTGGGGCTCATGGAGGATGATGCAGCTTCAGGTGCTCTGGAGAAGACCACTGAGGGGAAGAAAAGGACATCACAAATCCAGAAGAATGCAAGAAGGTTATGACCAAGGGATGAAATCTGTGTTCTCAGATATGATTTCTCTGGGTTTTCTTTTCTTCTAGTGGTATGATTCTTTGGAAAGCTTCTTGGCTGTCTTCATTCATTTCTTCTTTTATCCATTCAACAAAGACTTATTGAGTCCCTACTATGTATCAGGCACTTTTACATGAGGCATCTCCAGAGGTCACATGGAAACCACTGCAGCCTCATCATGGAAGCACACCTTGCCAAGTGAAACCAACATGTGCCAAACCCTGAGATCCAAAGAAGACAAGAAATGAGTATGTTTATGGGGTCTCCTTTTACTGCCCATCATCTCCAGATACCTTTTACCAAGTCAGGCAGCAGCTGTGCACTCAATGTCCACAATTTGCTTTGCTCTGTTTTGCTTTTAAAGATAGCTTAATTTGAATAAGTCACTCCCACCCCCTTTTCATCTTCTCCCCTCATATTCCAAGTGAAGATTTATTTCCAATTAGTAAGTTGGTCAGGAACACGATATGGTGAGGCTTGGGAACAGCCTTGGTTCCTGGCACCAGATAGACTCTAGGTGTTTGGATGCGTGGTTTTAGTGGGGAAAAAAACAAACAAACAAACAAAAAAAACACCCTTGAAAGAAGGGCCTGGACTCACCAGTCTACACTGGTCAGGATGAGGATGGAATAAAAGGGTAAAGGACTAGGGGCTGAGAGTAGTTAAAACTGCTTCTGGATGGACACCGAACCCACCCGGCTTCCCACACCTAAGTCACCATCCCACCTCCTGCCAACCTTCTTCTTTTGATAGAGATTGTTTTTTCACCTCATCTCATTAGGACTGCAGTACAGACACCAGGAGGAACCCAGGAGGGGACTGGTTTTGTCTGGGACATCAGGTAACATTGCAGGTCAGAACTTAGACCTTGAAGTCAGACCAATATGGATTAGAAACCTAGTTCTGTCCTTCCTAGCCAGGTGGCCCTGGATGAATCACTGTATTCATTTGATATTCGGTTTGCACATCTGTAAGATGGGTAAAAGAATGCATGTGGGATCATGAGTATTAAAAGTTTATAGCTGAGGACTTCTGATGATGGAGGTGGGCATTGTCCTAAATGCCACATGTCCATGACTCCATCTACTTCTCAGGGTGCACTGACAGGGTAGGGATGGCTGCTATGATAATTACATGGGAACATGCAGAAAATCTGCTCACAGGCTATGGAAAATATATCAACACCAGATATTGCAGGTAACTGAAAAAATGAAAGGTCATTTCTTCTACTCTTCACAAACTTTTAACCACAGGGGTTCCCAGATACCCAACAGGCCTCTGACGGTGGTAGAGTGGGGTCCTTGGACTGTTGTCAGTATTTCACATATTGAGTATTTAGTAAATGTTACCTATTATTACGATCATTATTGAGGCAGTGGCAGTTTGTAACATCTTTTCATCAACTGGAGTTGGGGAAATAGGGTACATTTTGATTAAACATATTTGCTCGGTTTTGGGGGCGTCTCTCTCATGAATACTCTGAAATGTGTGTGGTAAGGATTTCTGAGACCATTTCTAGGGGTCGATAACATGCTGGGGTGGCCCCTGCTTGGCCCAGAGCTGCTGCTCAGACCTCAACCATCTGTTCCCCCGAATCACTCTGGGTCTTCCCATTGCTGGGAACCGTATTTCTCAGGAAGCTCCAAAACAAGCTATCCAGGCCTCCCCTGGGGCTCAGAGGTGGGCGCAGCTCATGTGGAGCATGGCACTCACCTCTGGCCAGGTTGCGGTGAATGGTTTCCTGGGACATGCTGTGCAGGCGCTTCATGTAGTCCTCGCTGTACCAGACCCGCAGCCACTCCCCAGGCCGGATGTCCCTGCACGCCCGGAAGTAGATGCGCTCACTGTGCTGGAACGCCAGCAGGTTCTGCTCCCTCTCCTCCCGGGAGATGACCACGTACCTGGTGGGGAGGGGAGACAGGTGAGAACGCACGGGCCACCCTTTGTTGAGTGCCCGCTGGTGCCGGCACAGTGCTGGGCAAGTGTGGATGGTTAGAAGTCCACAGGCACGTGGGCCCATGTGAACATCAGCAGAGCAGCTGCCCTGTCCGGAGAAGCAGCACCAGCCAGAACCCATCCCTGTCCCAACGTCACCGTGTTGTGGGACCTCAAGCAGATCTCCAAACCTCTAAGAATCTCTGTTTTCTGAGACTGGATATGACACCTGCCCTGCCTGCCTCACACCATATGGAAAATATATCAACTAAATATTATAAGTGATTGAAAAACTGAAAGGTTATCTCTTCTACTCTTCACTAACTTTTAACCACTGGGGTTCCCAGATACCCACAGGCCTCTGAAGGTGGTAAGGCTGGGGTCCTTCAACTGTTTCCAGTATTTCACAAAGCCTTGCTGAAATAGCCCCTGTGACAAGGTGTCCAAGAGATCAATTAATAAATGCTAAAGATCAAAATCTTTTAAAAAATGGGGGCTCCAGTGGGGACAGGGGAGGAAGGTAAATAACAGACTACAAAAGGTTGACAACCACTGGTTAATCTTACTAAATGATTTTAAGGTAAGGAGACTGAGGCTCAGAGAGGCCAAGCAACTTGCCCAAAGTCACACAGCTAATAAATGGGAGATGGAGCTTTGAGTCCTATGCACGTTTCCCACTGTAACTCATGGCTCCTATGTGGGCATGTAAAGCACCAACTCGGCAATGCCCAGAAAACCTTTAAAGTTCTGTCAAACCCTCAGAATCTATGGCCCTCGCCCATTCTCACTGAAACAACATGTGCGACATCCAGCCCACCACCCTACCCACCTCCAAAAGGTGGGATGAGGGAACACCTGCCGAGGAGTGAAGGTGTACAGATCAGAGGGCAAGAGGAAATTAGTTGACGTTTTAGGGTTCTGAGCTACACAAGCACCTAGGAAATTTGTAGTAAAAAATAAACTTCTTTATGTTATGGTTTGTCTCAAAAACAAGGGACAAAAATCAAAGTCTGTCTGATTGGTGTAGCCCAATGAATTATATCTGGAAAAGTCCAGGGGAAACAAAAATTCACAGAAGAATTCAGATGGATAATAAACAAATGAAAAGTATTCAGCATCACTAATAACAGAAACACAGCGTAGTACATTGTCTCATTGGCACAGATTTCTAAAAGATGATAATATCTCTATTGGTAAAGGTGGTAAGAAAGGTGTCTCCTGTACTGATGATGCAGAATTAACAGGTGCAACCCTTTAGGAAACAATTTGGCAATATGGCTCAAGAAACATAAGTTATGGATGAAGTATGCAAACCCGGCATACCAATATGCTGACTTGTATCATTGTGTATAGCAGTACAAAGGCAAAACATTTAAATGTCTAATACTAGATAAGATTTCGTAAATGATGTTACATTTATATAATGGAATGCTATTCATCTATAGAAAAATGTTTTCAAAGAATCTTTTATGACATGGAAAAATGGTGTTGAAATAAGATAGTGTGAGAACAATAGGACTGGAAGTAGACTATGGTTCCAATAATGCTTTAAAAACAAGCCCCAGTAAACGACTTGAAGGAAATATACCAATGTTTTAACAGTGACAACCCCTTACAGGTGGATCATCTTTGTAATTTTGCATACTTTCAAAGTTTCCCTCAATAAGCAACTATTACTGTCACGCACCTCACTCCTGACACACATATAAAGAAAAGAAATATACGAATGCCAATTCCAGTATGAGGTGACAGTGGTGGCAGCTAGCAGCATGGAGAATCTACATTCTAGAGGTCCCAGGGATGGCACCAGCTGCCCCTCATCTATATCCTGCCTTGCTCATCTGGAGAGCCTGGGAGGAGGCTGTTGCCTTCCAAGGAGGATCACTGGAGTCCAGGGAACAATCCATTCTGGCAACAGGATGCTGCAAGACCTCAGAAGGAGTAAGACCAAGGCAGATGGGAGAGCAAATGCTGGCTTTGGCTGCTTCAACCTTTTGAGAGAAGCAAGCCACAGGCTCCACCATGGAGGTGTAGAACTTGCAAGATTTACGGTGCTTAGATCCGCCAGAATTT
Source organism: Homo sapiens (assembly GCF_000001405.40). Lineage (NCBI taxonomy): Eukaryota > Metazoa > Chordata > Mammalia > Primates > Hominidae > Homo > Homo sapiens. The sequence goes on along the minus strand of NC_000011.10, from coordinate 45,217,462 downwards.
GCATCTTGTCCTAGGTCTGTGTTCTCTGTTAGCCCCAACACATCGGTGTTCTTATCACATCGGATATAAGCATCGCTATCCCTGAGTAGTGAAGACCACAGGGTGATTTCCACGCACCCAGCCAGGATGTTATTAACAAAGGACTTAAGAGAAAGGAAAAGAGCCCCTTTTCCTTTAATTTGGAGTGAGAGAAGTCACTCCAAATTAATAATTCCCAATCTCAATTCTACAACTGTGAGTCAGTCTTTTCTCCATAGCTGAGATTTCTTCTGAATATGCAAAATATTTCCAGTCCCCAATTTAGTGAGAGTCTAGGATTTGACATCCAAAAATAATCAACCTTGCGGTTAGCACAGAATAGAAGTTGTTCCAAACTTTCCTGCTCCCAGATACAAAAGGGAAACCATTCATTCGTCTTTTTTCTCACAAGACTCACTTGAATCATAGCACTATGATTGGAGAATACTGTCTTCTCCTTTTTTTCTTCCAGTTTCTAAACAACCACCAACCTCTAAAAGCTAGAATTATTTCTCTGACACTTGACATCAAGAGAAAAAGCTAGATGAGAAATACATTCCTATCTGGGATTTATTTATTCAAAAGAGCAACTTCTAGGGTGTGTCAAAAGGTTTAGAAAGACTCAAGTCAATTTAACTTTCCATCTTCTGGTCTTTTTCTATCCATCAAGAATCAATATTTGGAAAGCTAACCTCAAGGCGTTGTATAAATCACAAAGTATTTTCAAAGGCAGATCAATGCTTATTCAGATTTTGTTGTATTTGTTGTTCTGAAACTTAGCATTTGAAATACAATGTATATGGCAACTCTTGGTGAATCACAACCCATTCCCCTGACAAGATGTTTATGTTATACCATTTAAGAGGTAAAGCTAAATGAAGCCAGCTAGGTCCCCAGACCTGTTACCTCTGATTAGATCTCCTGCTTTTAAGTGTTTTGCCTTAACACCTGCTGGCTCGACCACCCCCCAGAACCCTTCTGTCCCCATTCACAACAACCCCTTTATGAAGAACTGTGCCTGTTCCATTCATTACATGGCTGCAGAAATCAGAAGCCCTCCCCAAGGAGTGGAAGGCTACCAGGAGGGGCAAAATCTATCCACTGTGGCTGAGCAGCTCTTTGCAAGGAGGTTTGAAGAGTTACCAGGTCACTACCTCTTGAGAGAAGGCACAGAGAATGCCTGGCTGAGACTGTTCTGCAAATGCTAGTGCTTATTGAGGCATTTCAACTCCAACCCACAGAATTTGGGACCTTTGGAGCAATCAAGGGGAAGGTGGTGGTGCTGCTGATGGCGGTGGAGAGCTCTGGACTAAACCTGTCATGATGATCCTGGATTGTTTTTATTCCAACCTCCCAGCTGACCTTGGGGACTGGATAGGTAAGTACTAAGACAACAATTCTCAGACCTCACCCACTGTGTCTTATCAAGTGCATCATATTTTCTAGCTGGGTCAGCACATGACTATTGTTTCTAACGCAAAGAAAACATAACACAGGGCATCCATTTTGCTGGAGGGAATTGACTAGGCCAGGCTCAGACACTATTGCATAGTGGGTATCTTCAATACAAAGGAAGCTGCCCCAGTTAAGGAGGCAGAACTAGGAAAAGACCGACTGAGAAGAGGCTGGGCTCTGTGTTCTCACATGCATAGGTCTCCGGGCTAGGAGGGGCTTTGGGTCACACATCCACCCACCAGATGGTCACCTGGTCATGGCTAGAGGCCTCCCTCTTCCAATTCATTTCTGTCTCTCACCCAAGTTTCCTCTTCCTGTTTTAATGTGCTAGCCCAACAATCCCCACTGAAGCCAAGAAACAGAAACTGAAAATCTTTTCCATCCCAAGTTGACAAGTCCTCACTGTCCCTTTTGCTCTGACTTCCATTTCAGTTTTACAGCTTCCAATTTGGCTCCTTCCCTCCCCAGGAAGAGAGAGAGCAGCCAGCCAGTCACTGCTTCATACATTGACCTTGGGAGAGAAGGCCCTGGGAATGGTTTCACGACATCTTTGCATCTCTCGGAAATTGGGTAGTCCTCCATTTCTATGGCCATGCTTTTTGGCCAAGAACTGTGGAGGATGGCAAGTTAGAACCTTCTAGAAAGGGGATCTGTGGGCAAGACTAGGGGATTTCCTGCCTGAGAGAAGCTCTCTGAGACTGGTATTAAGCCAGGGCAATGCACAGGTGAGGAGGCTTCCTCTTGGCAGAGGAGGCAGCTTTGGTTACTTTGAGAAGCCTCAGATCTAGGTGGGCAGAGCCTTGCCAGTGCCAGACACACAGACACCTGGATTGGTGGGGAGGGTCATGCCTCCAGGTGGCCCCTAAAGTGCACTGGCACATGGACAGCCCCTGACCCTTCTAAAGCCTCCTGTCCGAAACGGTGATTGTTTTTCCAGAACTTCTCGCTTACTTTTAGGGAACAAAAGGTAAAATTGACTTAGCAACACCTCACTTTTGAGCAGAGAAATGAAATATAACTGAGTGGTTTCGTGCATGCATGCCCTTCCTTTCCTCCGAGGGCCTGGCATGGTGCTGGATACAGGGAATCTGGCAGTTTATAGAATCAGGGAAATCAAGGGGCACTTGAGCCCTTCTCACCAACCTGCTTTTCCTTAAACATCTAACCCCTGCTTTGGGGTCCTCGAGGTTTTCACAGGAAACGAAGAAAGAGAATACACACCAAAGAAAGATCCTGGACACTGGGTGTGTTCAAAGAGTGAGATTGATTTCTTTTTATTGCCATCTTAACAAAAATACTTCGGAAGGCAATCTTTGATTCCAGCATCGGAGGCCGGGCAATTCCAGGCAATAATTAAGCCATCAGGCTGTTGGACAGGAGAGTGTTCAGTTTGAGGGAAGCAGGAACCCCCAAAGAACCACAGAATGGGGAGATGGAGCCAAAGGCACAGGGACATTGCAGTCACCTTCCATTCTCCCTACGTGGGACAAAGCTTGGCTTGGGTTTACAAGCAGCGCTCCAGGAACAGCCTTGGAAGGCACTAGATGCTGCAATCCTCCCAGCTCCCACTATGGCTGGGGGCAGGATGGGAGGGTGGGGGGTTGTTGGGTGGAGGGGTTGGCTGGGGGACTTCTGCTGGGGTCAGCTTCAGGTCAGGGAAAAAAAAGGACACAGAGCTGAGGTGCACCCAGGTCAGAGCTAAGCTTGTATCTGCCACCTGCCACTTCCCTCTCTAATGCTAAGAACCCAGTTTTCTCCCCACACTCCAACATGAAACATGAAGCTAGAGGTGTATGTAGCTAGTGCGTAGGCAGCCCGAGCAAGCAGAGGCAAGGCATGCTGGAACCTGGAATGGGACATGAGCCCCACTGGGCTCTGGATTCTTTTAGAAGCCAGGGAAGAGGTTGCCCTCCACTCCTGAGATCTGGCCCTGCCTCTCCAAGCCACTGGCTATGAGCCATAGAGCCAGGGCAGGGTGGGAGAATCACCTGCTAAATGCTAGGTGCCTCCCACCTCACCCAGGACAGCTGAGGCAGAAGCAGAGATACAGGGGGCAGAGGCCTGGCAAGGGGCAGAGGCCTGGCAAGGGGCAAGACCTGCCCCCTGCCTCCTCTTCCCACTACTCCAGATCTGGCCTCTGACAGGGGAGCTGGGAAAACCGATACCCTGGCTTCCAGTCCTGGCCCTCTCACTAACTGGCTGTGTCATTTGTCTTATACAGATGATGATGATAAAAATGATCATAATAATACCTGACTTGGCTGTCTTGAGCTGACTGTCCTGAGCCCCCACTGAGACCACCCAGACTCTGCAAGGGCGAGGAAAAGCATAAAGTGCTCTCTATGAATGCAAGACAGTCTTTTCCTTCCTCCGACGTCATCCCATTCTTCTCCCCACTCCAAAAAAGGCAAGCACAGCAGCTGAGCACGCGCACAAGGGCAAGCGGAGGGCCAAGGCGGGCACCACCCCCGGGCAAGGGAGGGTAGACCCCTCCCTGAAGGACCGACTTGACCTGCCCATCAGGCCTCACCCCCTTCAAAAGAAGCAGCATCAGGGCCTGGGAGGTCACATGTGGGAGGCCGATGCAGCAGCCCCAAGGTTGGAAAGTGGGACTCCATTCGGATGCTCCCCACTGTTGCGCCCCCCTCCCTGCAAGGCCTGCCACCACGGGACACAGACCAAGAGGAGAACGATCTCCAGGCCAAGCAAGCATCAAGCAGGTGGCTTTTCTTGCATCTTCAGCATCCGCCAAAGATGAGGGTGCGGGTCTGAATACATGCTCTGTTAGACCACAGGGCAGCGACCTGCGCTCGGTGAGGAGGTAACAGCGCCCCCAGTGTCCTACAAGGGTCATCGATCCTGTTCCTGGACACGAAAGACTGGCCCCTGTTGTGAGGCCAGACATCCCTCCTCCATGACTCTTCCTCCTAGTGCAGACTAGCTGGGTTAGAAATTGTGCTTTCTCTTCCGAGACCTGGTAGTCCGTGTGGGGGCTGATGCTGGGGAAGCTGGTGGGGGCTCTGGCAGGGGGGCTTGGGCCTGGGTGGCCTGGGGAGTGGAGCCCGTAGGGTCTGCCCCTTCTGGCCCCCGCTGAGATGCCTGAACCCCATCCCGGATCTCTGTCAGCGTCTGGCACATCTGACCGACACGGCTGGTCAGCTCGGCCATGGCCTGGCCGATGACGTGCATGCTGTTGGCCATGTCCCGGTGCACGGTCACCAGCTCCTGGCAGAACTGCCGGAACACCTCGGTCTGCTGGGCATGGACGTGGAGGAGCTGCCAGTCAAGGCCCGTGGTGGGTGGGCTGGGGTGCGGCCGAGGGGTCCTGCAGGCAGCCTGGGCCTGGGGCGAGGGATGGGGCAGGGCCTCTGGCTTGGGGCCCACCGTCTCAGACTGGTCTGAGGAGGAGGATGAACGGAGCAGGGCGGGCCTGGCCAGGTGGGCCTCTTCCTCCGGAGACCGCTGCAGAGGCACCCGAAGAGGCTGCCTTGAGGGCCCAGGCGCCTCCTCATCTTCATCATCTTGGGGGACAGAAACAAAGATGGAAAAGTGGTTACAAAAGGGAGAAGGAGGGAGGCCCAGGGGTTGGCCCTGCCCCTGAAAAACACCTGAGTATCCCCCTGCCCTGCCACCCTGCGGTCTAGTTTGGCCCCCGCCCATAGAGAAATCCACGTTCCCCAAATCCCTGAGGTGCGTGGGCCCAGCATCCCTGGGGGGAAGTTCCTCTTCCTCTCAACGGAACAGCTCTATTCTAGTGGGGAAGAGCCCAGGCCAGGGGACTTGGAGACCGTGGCCCACCGGCTGCGTGCCAACCCAGCAGCTCCTGACCTCAGCAGTCAGTTCATCTCTCTGCACCTCACTTTCTGCAATGATAACGACTGCCCTGTCTACACATCGAACCGCTTGGCTACCTAATTGGGTTGTTAAGAAGAGTCATAAACAAGATGACAAACATGAAGGTGCTCTGTAACGCTGAAGGAGCGGCACCTGCCTAAAGGTACTAAGACGCTCTTGGCCCTCTGAGCACCAGACTTTCTGAGGCCACGTCTGCATTGCTTGGGGCCATCCTGTGGCCTTGCTGGAATCTGCACACTTTTTTTTCCATAAGTTATTGGGGTACAGGTGGTGTTTGGTTACATGAGGAAGTTCTTCAGTGGTGACTTGTGAGATTTTGGTGCACCCATGACCCAAGCAGTATACACTGTGCCATATGACACAAAGGCATAAGATTGATACAACGGACTTTGCGGACTTGGGGGGAAGAGTGGGAAGGGGGTGAGGGATAAAAGACTACTAATATGGAATCTGCATCTTTAAATCACTGCAGCACATGCTGACAGGCTGAAGAAACTGGCAGGACAGTGCAGAGCAGGAGAGCCACCTCTGCAACCAGCCCTGCTGTCCCCCTGTCCCCCAAGGCAGGCTTCCAGTTCAGTCACATCGTGCTCCCATCCACAGGGGCCATCGGACAGAC